>NC_000005.10:171821930-172124960 GCF_000001405.40 Homo sapiens | reverse complement strand
AAATGATGTGAAGATGAAATACATAGCATAGTGAATTGCAAAAAGTAATGCTATTTAAAATAGTGGGGGAAAAAAATATATATATACTAAAGACCATTTAGTTTTTTCAAATTTAACATATGACCAAGTGTATTACAGGGAGAGATTACGGGCAGTTGCACAGAGACCGTTCATAAGAGTTGACCTCACAGGATACAACTATCCTGTGATTGAGATTTTTAGGATTTTAGACTTTAGGGATTTTGATCTTTGGGGATTTCAATATTTGGGATTATGGTATTTGAGATGGTCTCTTTTAGGATTATGATCCAAACCCATCTCAGGAATGTGTGAAATTTACAGTAGTCCATCCCCATCCCGGGCTGTAGAAATGTAGGACCCACAAGCCTTCGTTACAGAGCCACTTACTGCCCCATGGAGTTCCCAGGTAGATGACAGTAGCAGGGAGGATACATGGCACATGTTATATGGCTCTTGGGTGTGCCTTCTCTCAGCAGGCACTGCCTTTGAAGATTATCATTTGGGGGGATAGAATCTAACAGTATAAAAGTGATAGTCTGGTATGAATTGAGACTTTAGGTTATGAGGAGCCAGAATACTCAAACTTTTTTAGGTGGGGGAAAGGTCTGGGATGTGGGAGGTGGAATTTATTTGCACAAATAACTGAAGACTTCAGGGATGGCTAGCTTCAGGCACAGCTTGTTCCAGGAGTTTTAAAGAGTTATGATAAGAGATGGAGTGCAGCGGCTCAAGCCTGTAATCCCAGCCCTTTGGGAGGCCGAGGCAGGTGGATCACTTTGAGCTCAGGAGTTTGAGACCAGCCTGGGCAACAGGGCAAAACCCCGTCTCTACAAAAAGTACAAAAGTTAGCTGGGCGTTAGTGGTTTGCACCTGTAATCCCAGCTACTTGGGAGGCTGAGGCTGGAGGATTGCTTGAGCCCAGGAAGAAGAGGTTGCATTGAGCTAAGATCATGCCAGTGCACTCAGCCCAGGTGACAGAGTGAGACCCTGTCTCAAAAAAATAAAATAATAAAGAGTTGTGATATGGACTTGATTTCTTTCTCCAACTCTTGGCCCCACTGTCCTCTGTGTTAGCCCCATTCTCATGCTGGTTTTCTGCATGCATCTTGACAACAAGATGGTGTGGGAGCTCCAGCCATCACATCTGAATTCCAAGCAGCAGGGTAGACAACAGGGTAGAATAACCACCCATCCCACACTGAAGACTCTTTTAAAGAGACTTCAGAAAAGCTCCACATGGCACCTTGATTTATGTCTCATTGGCTGTAGCATATCACACACAGCTGGAATGGAGGCTGGGGAATGTGGTTTTCTAGCTGGGTAGCCATATGTGCTGATACTAAAAAAAGAAGGGGAAAATGGAAGCCAGCTAGCACCCCCTCTGTGTCCCCTGGTATGCAGCTTAACTGAATGAGCTTAGCTGGAGGGGAGCATCAGAGATGGAAAGGCATGGAAGTGTACTGTGTCCTCGACCTCATTCACAGCTAGGGCGTGCCCTAGGCTACAGCTCAGCCAGCAGACAAACCCTTCTCTGGCTCCCGTCCCAGTTCTCCTCGTGGTCCTGACTGCTCCAGCCCTAGGCAGTTTTCCCCCTGTTGGTGGCAGCAGTGAAAGGAGCATTTTGGGAATGATGATGTGCAAAGAGAAGCTGAAATGGGGACAGCTGACAAGTTCAGAGCCAGGTCCTCGTTGCAGCTCTCTGTTTAGTGTTGACCTTCCTGCAGATGCCTGCCCTGCTTAGAGGGGTTTCTGCCCCTCCATCCATCTCCACTTTGCCCCGCATGGCTGGGAAGCATTACTGGCCTGAGCTTGGGGCCCAGGGGTCCATTCCCTGAGGTCCATTCCAGGTTTCTCTTTTTGGAGGCTTTGGGGCACAGGACTGGCCCTTTTGTGAGATGGAGAGAATACCCACGTGGTATGTCACTGTGGGGCCATTCTATGTAACATCCAGGGCCTGTTCTGATTGGAATAGATATGGTTGGCCATGCCTTGCTGGCTATTAAACATCTTGGGTCTTGGCCGGGCGCGGTGGCTCACGCCTGTAATCCCAGCACTTTGGGAGGCCGAGGCGGGTGGATCATGAGGTCAGGAGATCGAGACCATCCTGGCTAACATGGTGAAACCTCGTCTCTACTGAAAATACAAAAAATTAGCCGAGCATGGTGGCGGGCGCCTGTAGTCCCAGCTACTTGGGAGGCTGAGGCAGGAGAATGGCGTGAACCTGGGAGGCGGAGCTTGCAGTGAGCCTAGATCGTGCCACTGCACTCCAGCCTGGGCGACAGAGCGAGACTCCATCTCAAAACAAAACAAAACAAATAAACAAACATCTTGGGTCTCCACCCTCTTATCGTGGAAAGGATGAGAGGCTAGAATTAGATGTGGTGTCAACGGGGACTTTGCAATGTTGTAGTTTTTTTAATAAGGAGAAGGTATTCATGCATTGCTGTGTAATTGAAAACTATTTCTAAAAATGTATTGGACTCAAAAGGCTGCATATTGTATGATTCCAATTATATGACACTTTAGAAAAAGGCAAGACTATAGGCACAGAAAACAAATTAGTGATTACACAGGGACTGGAAACGGGAAGAGTTTACTGCAAAGGTCACAGGGGAATCTTGGAGGATGGTGGATGGATTTTGTATCTAAATTGTGATGGGGGTTCCATGACTGAATATGTTTATCAAAATTTATAAAACTGTATACCTTAAAAAAGTGAATTTTTTATATATGTAAATTATACCTCAATAATCCTGACTTTAAAAAGTGTATCAGGCCGGGCATGGTTGGTCACACCTGTGATCCCAGCACTTAGGAAGGCTGCGGCGGGTGGATCACAAGGTCAGGAGTTGAAGACCAGCCTGGCCAAGATGGTGAAAGCCCATCTCTACTAAAAATACAAAAATTAGCCAGGTACAGTGGCAGGTGCCCATAATCCCAGCCACTCGGGAGGCTGAGAGGCAGGAGAATCGCTTGAACCCAGGTGGCAGAGGTTGCAGTGAGCCAAGATCACGCCACTGCATTCCAGCCTGGGTGACAGAGACGTCGTCTAAAAAAAAAAAAAAAAGTATATTAGCTAGGCATAGTGGCCCATGCCTGTAATCCCAACACTTTGGGAAACCAAGGTAGGAGATTGCTTGCAGCTAGGAGTCCAAGATTACCAGCTTGGACAACGTAGTAAGACTCTGTCTCCAAAAAACAAAAAATTATTTATTTATTTATTTATTTAGAGACAGAGTTTTGCTCTTGTTCCCCAGGCTGGAGTGCAACCACACCCGGCTAATTTTGTATTTTTAGTAGAGACGGGGTTTCTCCATGTTGATCAGGCTGGTCTTGAACTCCTAACCTCAGGTGATCTGCCCACCTCCACCTCCCGAAGTGCTGGGATTACAGGCGTGAGCCACCGCGCCCTGCCAAAAATTTTTTTTATAAACTAGCTGAGTGTGGTGGCACACACCGGTGGTTCCAGCTACTCAGGAGGCTGAGGTGGGAAGATTGCATGAGCCTGGGAGATCGAGGCTGCAGTGGGCCGTGATCCACTGCCCTCCAGCCTGAGCAACAGAGTGGGACCCTGTCTAAAACAAACAAACAAAAACAAACAAAAAATTAGGCTGGGCGCAGTGGCTCATGCATATAATCCCAGCACTTTGGGAGGCCGAGGCGGGTGGATCACCTGAGGTCAGGAGTTCAAGATCAGCTTGGCCAACATGGTGAAACCCCGTCTCTACTAATAGTACAAAAAAATTAGCCGGGCGTCGTGGCACATGCCTGTCATCCCAGCTACTCGGGAGGCTGAGGCAGGAGAATTGCTTGAACCTAGGAGGTGGAGGTTGCAGTGAGCCGAGACCACACCATTGCACTCCAGCCTGGGCAAGAGAGCAAGACTCCATCTCAAAAAAAAAAAAAAGGAAAGAAACCCAACAACAACAACAAAAAACAAAATTAAAGAGTATCTCCTTCCCACCTCACTGGGTTACTGCGAGGATTAAATGACAGTATGCACCGTGTCCTTATCCTCATGCCTGACACATTATAAGGGCTCCAAAAATGGTGGTGATTAGATCATAATTATCTTCATCATCATCATTAGTATTTTTGTCATTCCTATTTCATTTATATCAGTAAATTAGACATGAGCAAGACACATTTTTGCCATTAAAAAGATTGCGGCACATATTCCAGCCCTGGACTCATCTTAGAACCAACATAGCAATAATCCCCCTTTATTGCCTATTTTCCACACTGAGAACTGAACATGGCTGATGGCTGGAGCCCTGCCTATGTCGATTATAATCATCCCATTTCACAGACCAGGAAATGAAGGGCCAGAGAGCTTGGGCGACTTGCCAGTAACCACACAGCTAGTGAGAGGCAGCACCTGGGTACGGCCTCGGTCTGTGTGGTCCTGAAGCCCATGCAGGCTCTGATCCTGGCCCCTGGCTGGAGACACAGAGGTTCAGGATGAGGCCACAGGGACAGGGGGCAGGCAGCTTGCGGACTCCAGAGAGAAGGGTCCCTGGTCCAGGAGCCCTGGTCTGGGGCCTGGCTTCCCAGAGCAGGGCAGTTGGTACCTGCATTCCTGGTTGGCATGTCTATTATACCACTCCTGAGGGCCTGGCTGGGAGAGCTGAGCCTTGTGGATTCCTGTCCAGGCACCACTAGGCAAGCCGGACACAGCAGTGCTGTTGTAGGCAGAGGGAAGACTCGGAGCAGTGCCCTTTGGTGACCAGGCTTAGAAGCCGACAGCCTGGGAACCTGGCAGGCCAAGGGAGGTGGCTCCCCTGGTCACAGGGGTCTTGGGTAGCTACGTTGACTCAATCAGGACAGTCCTGTGGGACGCAGAGCACAAGGCTGTCACCTTGGAATCTTCTCACTCCCCTCCTCCCACCGCCTCCACATTCCGCCAGCTCCACCTCCCTAATCTGTCCATTGAGCAGCTTTCCTCCTCTCTGCTTTGGTGCCTATCTGGACCACTGTGATGACCTCCAGCTGAGCCCCTGCCCCTGCTGCCCAGCAAGCTCTTTGCTGTGCTAGAGGGAATTATTTGTTTATTTATTATTTATTTATTTATTTTTTGAGATGGAGTCTCGCTCTGTCGCCCAGGCTGGAGTGCAGTGGCGTGATCTCCGCTCACTGCAAGCTCTGCCTCCCGGGTTCACGCCATTCTCCTGCCTCAGCCTCCCGAGTAGCTGGGACTACAGGCGCCCGCCACTACGCCCGGCTAATTTTTTGTATTTTTAGTAGAGACGGGGTTTCACCGTTTTAGCCAGGATGGTCTCGATCTCCTGACCTCGTGATCCTCCCACCTCGGCCTCCCAAAATGCTGGGATTACAGGCGTGAGCCACCGCGCCTGGCCTATTTTGTTTATAATATAATAAATGCTACAAGCATAGCTGGGTCTCGCTATGTGGCCCAGGCTGGCCTTGAACTCCTGGCCTCAAGTGATTCTCCAACCTTTGCATCCTAAGTAGCTGGCACTACAGGCATTGAGCCACTGCTCTCAGCCATGGGAATTTTTTTTTAATGCAAAAATCAGACTGTGTCTGGCCCACTCAGAACTTCTCGTGGACTACCCACTGCATTTCAAATACAATGCAGCCTCCACAGCATGGCCCGAAGGTCCTGCAGAGCCAAGGCCTGCTGACCTCTGACCTCGAGTCACTTTCCCTTCATTTGCCCCCTCCCACCACACAAGTCTGTTCCCCTTTCCAGGAATATTCTTCCTGCTGCCCACCTTCCCGCTCCCTGCCTGCTCAGACCTACTCAACCTGTGAACCTCAGGGAAGAAGGGCCCTGGCCATCTCTCGGTGGACACTGAGTGATCTGCAGCGTGCGCACGTGGGCGCTGTGTCTCCCCATAAAGAACAAAAGGCTCTTGGCAACCAGCCCTCCGGCCTCTCTGGCCCTTCCGCATCCGCATACCCTGGTGCCACCACCAACAGCCAGTGGAAAGTTTAATAGGCAAAAAAGAAGAGAGAGAGAAAAAGCTTCCTCATGCTGAGAAAATGGGTCACCGAAGAGAGGGTCTCCTCAGTGGACACTTTTTTTTTTTTTTTTTTTGAGACTGAGTCTCGCTCTGTCACCCAGGCTGGAGTGCAGTGGCGCGATCTCGGCTCACTGCAACCTCTGCCTCCTGGGGTCAAGCGATTCTCCTGCCTCAGCCTCCTGAGTAGCTGTGATCACATGCGTGCACCACCACGCCCAGCTAGTTTTTGTATTTTTAGTAGAGACAAGGTTTCATCATGTTGGCCAGGATGGTCTTGAACTCCTGACCTCGTGATCCCCCCCGCCTCTGCTTCCCAAAGTGCTGGGATTACAGGCATGAGCCACTGCGTCTGGCCCCAGTGGACATTTTGGAGACACCAGCTCATGTCAGCTGTTGCCTCTGCTGGCTCCTTGACCTAGAGTGCCCTCGCCCCACCTATTCTCTTCCTTTAAGACATAGCCCAAATGTCATTTCCTCTGGGCAGCCTTCCAGTTCCCCCAGCTATAAGGGGTTCCTGCCCATTCTGACATCCCACATGCCTGCACCTCACTCTGTTCCAAGTGTCACTCACCGTTTCCATGTCCCATCTGCCTTCCTGCTCCAAGCACAGAGCCAGACACATAGTAAGTGCCCTCTCAGTGTCTGCAGACACAACAGATCTCTCTGTCTCAGTCGGGCTTATGTTTACAAACCTGAACTCTAAAGCCAGACCCTGGTTTGAATCTCAGATCTGTGTCTTCCCACCTGCATGACCTTGAGCGAGTGGCTTAACCTTTCCAAGCCTCAATTTCCTCATCTGTAAAATGGGGACAATAATTGTGCCTGCTTCATAGGACTGTTATGAAGACAAAATGGGTCAGTGCACATGATGTGCTTAGAAATGAATCCAGTACACGGTGAGCACTCCTTAATATTGGTGGCTTTTTTTTTTTTTTTTTTTTTGAGATGGAGTATCACTGTCGCACAGGCTGGAGTGCAGTGGTACGATCTCAGCTCACTGCAACCTCTGCTGCCCAGGTTCAAGCAATTCTCCTGCCTC
Organism: Homo sapiens; assembly: GCF_000001405.40. Classification (NCBI taxonomy): domain Eukaryota; kingdom Metazoa; phylum Chordata; class Mammalia; order Primates; family Hominidae; genus Homo; species Homo sapiens. The sequence continues at coordinate 172,117,913 of NC_000005.10, read as the reverse complement.
AACCTCCTGAGTAGCTGGGATTACAGCTGCCTGCCACCGTGCCCAGCTAATTTTTGTATTTTTAGTAGAGGTGGGATTTCAACATCTTGGCTAGGCTGGCCTTGAACCCCTGACCTCGTAATCCACCTGCCTCGGCCTCTCAAAGTGCTGGGATTACAGGCGTGAGCCACCACGCCTGGCCTAATGTTGGTGGCTTTTATATTTCTCCCTGGCGTGGGCCTGACATTTCAGTTTCCTGTGTCCAGGGCTTACTGAATTGACAGCCGTTCTCCTCCATTTCCAGAGCTGGACAGAGGCCTCACGGAGCCCCAGATACAGGTGGTTTGCCGCCAGATGCTAGAAGCCCTCAACTTCCTGCACAGCAAGAGGATCATCCACCGAGATCTGAAAGCTGGCAACGTGCTGATGACCCTCGAGGGAGACATCAGGCTGGGTAAGGGGCTCAGGGTGGGAAAGGTGGAGCCACAGGGTGTCTGCCTGGGGGTGTTGGCCTGGCCTCTGCAGGCCAGTGGGAGTGTGGACCTCATGGGGGTGTGGGGTCCTCACGCCTACGCCCTCTTGGCATGTCAGCAGTTCTCCCCTTCCTACTCTTGATTCTTTGCTTTTTTTCAATTATTTTATTTTATTTTATTTTTTTGAGGCAGTCTTGCTCTGTCACCCAGGCTGGAGTGCAGTGGTGCGTTCTTGGCTCACTGCAACCTCCACCTCCCAGGTTCAAGTGCTTCTTGTGTTTCAGCCTCCCAAGTAGCTGGGATCACAGGCACCTGCCACCATGCCTGGCTACTTTTTGTACTTTTAGTAGAGATGAGGTTTCACCATGTTGGCCAAGCTGGTCTCGAACTCCTCATCTCAAGTGATCTGCCCGCCTTGGCCTCCCAAAATGCTGGGATTACAGGTGTGCACCACTGTGCCTGGCCAGCTTCTTTCTAATCAAGAGAATTCGAATGAGAGTGATGGATGGAGGGATGACCCAGCTCCATCCCCAGAGGGAAAACAGTAGGACATTAAGCACATATATCAAAACCTTCTTTTTTTGTTGTTGTTTTTGGACAGAGTCTCACTCTGTTATCCAGGCTGGAGTGCAGTGGCGAAATCTCGGCTCACTGCAACCTCCACCTCCTCAGTTCAAGTGATTCTCCTGCCTCAGCCTCCTGAGTTGCTGGGACTATAGGCACCCACCACCACACCTGGCTAATTTTTGTATTTTTAGTAGAGACCGGGTTTCACCATGTTGGCCAGGCTGGTCTCGAGTTCCTGACCACAAGTGAACCACCCGCCTCGGCCTCCCAAAGTGCTGGGATTACAGGTGTGAACCACCCCGCCCGGCTCAAAACCTTCTTCTTTAAATGTCTCCTCTTTGTATTTTTAATGTTTTTATTTTTTTAACCAAAATAACACATACATGTGTCATCCCCTCACGTGTCTCCTTTTGCCATCCACCTGCAGAGACAAGCGCTTTGAGCTCTTCTCATGTGTACTTCTGCATCGCCAAATGATATGGCTACAATGCATTTTTTAAAGTAATGATTTTCGGCCAGGCATGGTGGCTCACGCCTGTAATCCCAGCACTTTGGGAGGCCGAGGTGGGTGGATCACCTGAGGTCAGGAGTTCAGGACCAGCCTGGCCAACATGGCGAAACCCCAATCTCTACTAAAAATACAAAAATTAGCCGGGCGTGGTGGCACACGCCTGTATTCCCAGCTACTCAGGAGGCTGAGACAGGAGAATCGCTTGAACCCAGGAGGCAGAGTTTGCAGTGAGCTGAGATTGCACCACTGCACTCCGGTCTGGGCAACAGAGTAAGACCCTGTTTCACGAAAACAAAAACAAAAACAAAAACAAAAAAACAAACAACACATAGTTGGTGCTCAATAAACAGTCACTTCCAGCATGACCACCACTTTAGCCTATGGTTAGTTACTTCAGCATCCCCAACTCCCAACCCCCATGCCCCGCCCAATGTGCTGGAGACTTGGCAGGTGGACCAGTCAGGAAGCCAACTGCCCATCTCTCACTGCTGCCTTCACCCAGCCCAGCATTGCTATTTCCTGCTACCAGCAGGCTGGGGGCCTGGTTCTTTCACTAGAGCTACCATGCACTGAGCCAGCATCTGATATGTGTTAACTCATTCCATTCTCAAAAGCCACTGATATCATCTTGCAGGATGGATTTGGGACCTAGCAAGACTGACTTATCCAAGGTCACATTGCCGATAAGAGGAACAACTGGGGTTCAAACCAAGGCAGCTGGGTCCAGAGCCTACGTGCTTAACCACTACCCTCTTGTCGCCTCTCTTAGTGGCAAATGATAAAAACCCACTTCCTAAGAGTTAAGGCAGACAGGAAAATGTGTACATCATGGAGCCAAATTGGAGAAGAAATACAGCTGGGTGGGCCTTAAAGTTAGTTGAAACCTGGAACATAAACGCTGCCAGGACCGTATCCCTGGCCCTTAACGCTGCCAGGACCGTATCCCTGGCCCTTGGCTTTCTGTGCATGTAGGTTCGGCTCCCAGACCAACCCTCTCCACCAAGCTCAGGATACCATCTAGTTTCACATTTCCCGGCATCATCTGCTGCTGCCTGAACCCGAACTCACCATTGGAGGCTTTGGCATCAATAATCCCAGGGGAGGGCTCTGACTGGCCCCGTTTGGCCCAGATAGTAATCCTTGGACCAATCAGTGAGGCCCAGGCAGGAGGGGGTCTCCCACAGGCCCGGCTTGTCTTCAGTCTCTGGCACGGAGGGTGGGGTCACGTGACAACACGGAAGTAGCCCTCGCCCCCGCAATGAGGCAGTGTGGTGGGTGGGGAGATGGTTTTTCAGAGGAAGGGAGGATTCGGACTGGCCAGAAAAAAAAATTGCGGTCTACCTACCCTGCCCAGCCTGTGAGAATCGCACAGGCCCAGCAGAGGGGAAGTAAGTGAGGCAGAAGCTTGAGGGATGGGAAGCAACAAGAAAGGGCTGGGTTGGCGGTGAGTGCGTGGAGGGTGTCAGGAAGACAGTGCAGTGTGTTGCGAGGAGGAGAGTCAGTGAAGGCCGAAGGTGGGGGGTCAAACCGGAAGACGAAGCCCTTATCAAATGGGCACGCGTCTCTAGGTTCCTAAAAAACGGAAGAAAATAAAAATAACCGGCCGGGTGCGGTGGCTCACGCCTGTAATCCCAGCACTTTGGGAGGCCGAGGCGGGCGGATCACGAGGTCAGGAGATCAAGACCATCCTGGCTAACACGGTGAAATCCCATCTCTACTAAAAATACAAAAAAATTAGCCAGGCATGGTGGCGGGCGCCTGTAGTCCCAGCTACTCGGGAGGCTGAGGTAGGAGAATGGCGTGAACCCGGGAGGCGGAGCTTGCAGTGAGCCGAGATTGCGCCACTGCACTCCAGCCTGGGCGACAGAGTGAGACTCCGTCTCAAAAAAAAAAAAAAAAAAAAAAAAAAATATATATATATATATATATATATAATTTTAATATACATAAATTTGGAGCTATACACAGCAAACCCGTAAATGTTTAGTTGTCAGTATTATAGTTTTTAATCTGAAAAATAATGAGTTTTTAATAAGCAACATGACTTTGGTAATCAGAAAACACACATACACACACACACACACACACACACACGAGAGTAGCTAGAGTCCTGTACACAATTTGGAATAAGACCCACAAAAAGGAGAATTAAGGTCCTTCCTAATCCTGCCAGAATAAACCACCACTCTCCGTGGGCTTCCCTCCAAGTCTTTTTTTGTCTGCAGAAAAGTCGGATCAGATAGTGGGAAAGAGCACAGCTGGGTGACCTTCTGTGCATTACTTAGTCTTTCTTAAGTTAAGCTTCCTTATCTGTAAAATGGGAGTCATAATTTTCCCTGCCTTAAAGGGTCATAGATATAAACGATGTGTGTAGGAATAGATATGCAGATGATATGCATAAGTTTCTTTGCACAGTGCTATGCATATGGTAAGTTCTCAGTAAATATTAGTTTTTCTTTTTTTTTTTTTTGAGATGGAGTTTTGCTTTTGTTGCCCAGGCTGGAGTGCAATGGCACGATCTTAGCTCTCCACAACCGCTGCCTCCTGGGTTCAAGCGATTCTCTTGCATCAGCCTCCTGAGCAGCTGGGATTACAGGCATGTGCCACCACGCCTGGCTAATTTCGTATTTTTAGTAGAGAGGGGATTTTTCCATGTTGGTTTTTGTCTCGAACTCCTGACCTCAGGTGATCTGCCTGCCTCAGCCTCCCAAAGTGCTGGGATTACAGGCATGAGCCACCGTGTCCGGTGACAATATTAGTTTTTATAAGATAAACTAGGATTATTATATATATATACAGTTTCCTAGTCTGGTTTTTAACATTGAATATCAGCGTATTCCTCCATATCCTTAAAGATTCCTCAGAAACATGATTATTTTCGTGTTTTTCTTGTACCCATCACAGGCACAAAATGTAATTTACCTATCAGAGCCCTGAGGAAAGCCCTGAATTGGATACTTGGGTTTCTCATGAGGTTTATCATCTTTACGAAATCATGCAGTGATGAGTGTGCTTGTTCATGGATCTTTGCGTCTCTTTCTGTAACATACCTTGAAGAGGAATTCTCAGAAGCAGAGTGCTGGGTGTGTGCAGTGAGTTGGGGTTTTGTTCATCCTGCAGCCGGCATGCCCTCCGTGCTGGTCATACCAGTTGACACCCCCCCCAGTGCAGTGTGCAATTCTCTTTTCACCACATCCTGGCCCCTACTGGGTTTTACTTAATAGAGAAAAAACAAAAAAACCCACAAAACCAAAAAACTTTGCTACATATGCATTTCAGTTTTTTAAACCATAGAAACAATACACTCTATCAAAAACATTTTAAAGAACAAAAGTGGGTCGGGCGCGTTGGCTCATGCCTGTAATCCTAGCACTTTGGGAGGCCGAGGCAGGTGGATCACCTGAGGTCGGGATTTTGAGACCAGCCTGACCAACATGATGAAACCCCCCGTCTCTACTAAAAATACAAAATTAGCCGGGCGTGGTGGCGCATGCCTGTAATCCCAGCTGCTTGGGAGGCTGAGGCAGGAGAATTGCTTGAACCCGGAAGGTGGAGGTTGCAGTGAGCCGAGATCGTGCCATTGCACTCCAGCCTGGGCAACAAGAATGAAACTCCATCTGAAAAAAAAAGAATAAAAGTGTGTAAAGTGAAAAATGTAGGGTCCTGGCCGGGTGCAGTGGCTCACACCTGTAATCCCAGCACTTTGGGAGGCCGAGGTGGGCGGATCATGAGGTCAGGAGATCGAGACCATCCTGGCTAACATGGTGAAACCCCGTCTCTACTAAAAAAAAAAAAATTAGCCGGGCATGGTGGCAGGTGCCTGTAGTGCCAGCTACTTGGGAGGCTGAGGCAGGAGAATGGCGTGAACCCAGGAGGTGGAGCTTGCAGTGAGCGAAGATCACACCACTGCACTCCAGCCTGGGTGACATGCGAGACTCTGTCTCAAAAAAAAAAAAAAAAAAAAAAAGTAAGGTCCCTTCTGTGCACTGCCCCCACCAAAATCCCACTTCCAGGGAGATGAACATTAAGTTTGATGTGCAGACTTCCAGACCGGTGTGTGTGTGTGTGTATGCACATGCGTGCAGACATGTACACACAAGATGCATATATTATTCCTTTAAAGATAATCTTCTACTGGAGTACCTGCACTTGGATCATTTCTGGAATCATGCTACACATTTTATAAGACTCATCAGTCAGTCAGCAACATGTTTGGGACATGTATTAATGTATTAGAGATACACTTCCAAGTTAGTCCATACAAATACAGCCTCATTCTTTTTAAGAGCTGCATGTTATTTCATAGCTGGGGTGAACCACAACTTATCTAACCATTCAGCAATGAAGCTCCAGCAACACTTTGGATGATTTCCAATTTTCCATTCTTTTTGGCTGTTGCTTTTATAAGCATCCATATATATTATAGATCTGGTTTTAGAGATGGATTTCTACAAATAGAATTGCTGGCAAACAAGTTTTTAAAACCCAGTTTTATTTTTTACATATATGAGTAAAGGCATTTTAGCAAATTCTGTCTCTTTATTTATTTATGAGCATGCTCATTCGATAAACCTGTTGAGTGCTTCCTGCTCCAGATAACGTGCCAGGGATACAACTGTGGCCACAGCAGAAATGATCTCTTTCTTTATGGAAATTACAGCGGAGAAAGGGAGATTTCCCTTATCTCCGCCGCCCTTGTCTCTAATACATTTTAAAATGGGAGGAGAAGGGGGAGTGTTTTCATCAGAAGAGACTGCATGGTGAAAATCCCTTTTGAATTGCTCAAGGGCAGCCATCAGCTATCAAGGGACACTCCCTTATAAACTCTGCGGAGGGAGCAAACAGGCTCAGTTCTCTGGGCTGCAAGGTGGGGCTGCCCCACTCTCCCATCTGGGCCCCATCGTGTGGGGCAGAAGGGGAAGTAGCAGCTACCCAAAGAGCTGGCTGGTGCGTGCCTGAGGGAGGCCCTGGGGACCTACGGTGTGTCATTGCACGTTGGTGGTTTCTGTTTCTCGTCTCTCTTCTCAGGAAGGGATCGGCAGGGCCTGTGGTCGGGGAGTGGCCACCTTTTGGGATCCTCACCCTGGGCCTGAGAGGCAGTCACTGTTCCCAAAAGGTTTCCTGGGATGGGATGATGTGCCAGCCCTTAGTGGTGTTTGCGAGGGAGCCAGGCCCACAGGGGGGCCTGGCTGACCCAGCAGGAAGGTGGGGCCAGCTTCCCATTCTTACCCTGGAGGCCCAGGGGAGCCGCCTGCCAGAGTCATCAGCAGAGCCAGGCTCTACCTGGGTTTCCTGCTTCTGCACCTCACTTGCAGCACCTGTTGGTCCCACTTCAGGAGGCTGAGGGCCCCCTGTCCCCTCTTGCTGGCCAGACTGTCCCCTGATATAGCAACTGCTGTCCAGTTAGCACTAACCGGGGCTCAGAAGCCAGCTTTCCTGACCACTCCCAGGAGGTGCCGGGGGGTCTTAGTTCAGCCTCAGCCTTGCCCCAGCCTGAAAAAGGCTGGACTGGCTCATGGGCCGGTGAAAGAATCACCATCTTCTCGCTTTTGCCACGAGTGGACCTTGCATCACAGTGCTTTGCGTTTGTCATTTAATCCTCAGGAAAACCTGCGCAATGGTTCTGTGCTATCACCCCCGTGTCACAGATGGGGAAACTGAGGCTCAGAGGCTTTGTAACTGCCCTGCCCGTCTCCTGCCTTATCTGCTTCCACCCCCGGCCCCCTCCTTCCGGCCAGGCTGTGTCCTGTCCCCGCTGGTCCCTCCAGCCTGCTGTTTCCTGCCTCCCAGTCTGTTTGCAGTTTTCTCTGCCTGGAAATACCTCCCCCAGATCCTGAGTTTGTGTCTAAAGTAGCTCCCCACCCTGCACCCCAGCACTGTGTTCTTCTCCCTGCCTTCTCAGCCCTGGGCCCTTCTCGCTGCCAGGCATTCCGGGGGTTTTGCCAGGTGCCTGTCGCCACCACGGGAATAACATGTGGCATGTCAGGCAGGACTTGGTTGCTTTCATCTCTGTGCCTAGAACAGTGTCGGGCACATAATAGATGTGCAGTTAGTGTATGCTGAATAAAACTGTCCTTCCTCCAAAGCCCCCAGCCCTCCCTCCATGACCGTCCCCTCGAGGTCACACCCCCTACTGTGCACTCTTGAGTAGCCCCGGTCCTGTCTTCCCAACACTTTCCATGTTAGGAGTAGATGTTTGTTTATTTGCTTACTCTCTGCTCCCCCAACTAAACTGTGGATTCCCCGAGGGTCCTCATTGTATTCTCTGATCCCGGCTAGTGTCTCGCTCCTGATGGAGCCTGGTGAGCACCTGAATGAATGGGTGAGTGGACAGTGAAGCAGAAGAGCAGAGGCTGGAACCAAGTTCTCCCGTATTCAGGCCCAGCCTCTTGGCATTGTGCTGCCTCCTTGTTTCACGTTGCAAGTCTGAAAGGAGCTCCTGGATACAGCTCATTTCAAGACCAGGCACTGGTGCCCGGGGTGGCCTGAAGTTGTCATAATGCTGCAGCTTCTTGGGATGAATCGTCCAAAGGCAGCCATCATCTAGCAGGGGACACCCCTCATAAATTCCATTCAGGGAGTTTCAAATGGAGCATCCCGGGTTCTCTCAAAGTGTTGTTTCATCCTGAATCTATTTTTCAGTCAAGATGAAACTTCACCACAGAAGGCAGGAGCCCTGGAGAAAATTTCTCTTGGTAGCGCTGAATTCTTCTCTTAGCAGCGGGTGTGTGAGGAAAGACTGAGAGTGTTGGAATGCATGTAAAGATACATCTTATTGGCCGGTCCTGGTGCCTCACGCCTGTAATCCTAGCACTTTCGGAGGCCAAGGCAGGAGGATTGCTTGAGCCCAGGGTTCAAGACCAGCCTGGGCAACATAGAGACTCCATCTCTACAAAAAATACAAAAATTAGCCGGGTGTGGTGGCATACACCTGTAGTCTCAGCTACTCGGGAGGATTGCTTGAGCCTGGGAGGTTGAGGCTGCAGTGAGCCATGATTGTGCCACTGCACTCCAGCTTGGGTGACAGAGTGGACTCTGTCATGAAAAAAAAAAAAAAGTGTTCATTTATTTTTGCTAGTCCTGCAAATAATACACTTTATCATAGCAAAGGTGTGGAAGTCTCACCACCCACACACAGCCATTTAAGTAGTGTGGTATATTTCCTCCAAGTCAGTTCAGTGTGTATTTTTCCCCTTTTTGGAGTGAGAGGGGCATGATTCTGACCAGACAGTATATTCAACTGTGTATCCCCCTTCTCCCCACTTAACCTTTTACAGTAATATAAATAGTAATCAGTAAGGCCGGGCGCAGTGGCTCACGCCTATAATCCCAGCACTTTGGAAGGCCAAGGCTGGTGGACCACCTGAGGTTAGGAGTTCAAGACAAGCCTGGGCAACGTGGTGAAACTCCATCTCTACTAAAAATACAAAAATTAGCTGGGCATGTCGGCACATGCCTGTAATGTCATCTACTTGGGAGGCTGAGGCACAAGAATCGCTGGAACCCGGGAGGTGGAGGTTACAGTGAGCCAAGATTGCGCCACTGCACTCCAGCCTGGGTGACAGAGCAAGACTCCATCTCAAAAAAATAATAATAAATTAATAAATAGTAATAAATACCGCCCAGGTTGGAGTGCAGTGGCACAATCCTGGCTCACTGCAGCCTCTGCCTCCTGGGTTCAAGTGATTCTCCCACCTCAGCCTCCCAAGTAATTGGGACTGCAGGGACATGCCACCACACCTGGCTAATTTTTTTTTTTTTTTTTTTTTTGAGACAGTCTCACTCTATTGCCTGGGCTGGAGCGCAGTGGTGCGATTGCAGCTCCCTGCAGCCTCCACCTCCCGGGTTCAAGCGATTTTTGTGCCTCAGCCCCCCAAGTATCTGGGATTACAGGCGTCCACCACCACACCTGGCTAATTTTTGTATTTTTAGTAGAGACTGGGTTTTGCCACGTTGGCCAGGTTGATCTCCAACTCCCAGCCTCAAGCGATCTGCCTGTTTCAGCCTCCCAAAGTACTGGGATTACAGGCGTGAGCCACCCTGCCTGGCCTCCATTTTTCTTAATCTATATAAAAAGTTTTAAAATCACTGCCTGATAGCCAAGCAATTATGGTTGTTTTCAGTGTGTCACTATTATTATAATTTTATAATGGCACTGTTATTATAATGGGATTTTGATTAACATCATTATGCATTTTTTTAAATTTAAGACTGTTTCATTAGGGCAGAGTCCTGGATTTGGAATTACTGGATTAAAATGGTATGGGTATTTTAAAGGTTCTTGCTATTTATTGCCAAATTGCTTTCCTGAAGGCTGCTGCCAGTGCAGGCTCTCGTTAGTAGAGAGGAAAGTGTTCATCTCGGTACTTCCTCTCAGCAGCAGATAGTCTTACATTTTTAATGCTTTCTAATTTGCTAGATAGAAAATGGCATCTGTTAGTCGACTTGGAATGTGTACCCCTGAGTCCACATCCCCGGCTTTTACCCCAGGGCTATGGGTGGAAAACGCTAGCTGAGATTTTGTCTTGCAGCTGACTTTGGTGTGTCTGCCAAGAATCTGAAGACTCTACAGAAACGAGATTCCTTCATCGGCACGCCTTACTGGTGAGTCGTGTAGCTTCTGGAAATGGAATGGACTGGATGTAAAAACTCTCCAAGGTGACCACCAGGCGCTTTAGACAGAGAGGGGCCGGAAGACAAGGGCTACACGCCCTGCCTCGTGGCTTACTAGCTGTGTGACCTTGGACAAGCTGTTTAGCTTTCCCGTGCGTCAGTTTCTTCATCCATAAAATTAGGGATATAATGGCCCCTACTTAATAAGGCTACTGTGAGAATGAAATGAAATGGTGCACATAGAAGGCACTCCATTAATAACTGAACTAGAATCCATAAAACAGGATTCAGTTCGTGATTTATTCGCCACGTATGTATTGAGGGCCGGGGATGGGGACCGTGAAGGTGAACAGTACAAGTTCAATTCCTACCGTCATGTGAAGTCTCCCTGGACTTCTGTAGTCTGTCGTGTTTCCTTCTTTTCCAGAACTATTACTTTAAAAGCAAAACACTGTCACTCAATTTCACGCCTGACTACTCTCTGTTTGCCGTGTTTCCAATTTTTTCATGTGCATTACTTGCCATTGTGTAGTTTGGGCTCCTTTCTTGCTTGCTTGTTACTCACCCTTGCTCTCTCTCTCCCCCCTTTTATACCTGTTTCTCCTCTCTGTGCTGGTGTCTTCTCGCCCACCCACCTCCACGCCCCTTTTTTTTTGCTCCGCACCTTCCCCTCCGCTCCCACCCGCCCCCTCCCCAGGACTCTGTGTTCCGGGTTGCTGCTGCCATCTCGCGGTAGGCATCGGAACTGCAGCAGGACGTGGCGGGGAGCCGCGTGGAGGCGTTTTTCTGTGGAAGAGCGTCCTAAGGAAGACAGTGGGATGCAAAGTCACGCAGATCATGATTCGGGAGTGCTGCCAACCCCGACAGTGGCTCGTGGTGGCCCTTGACCCTGAATGTCCAAGAAGCACCTGTAAAGGCCAGATTCTTAGCCCTATGTTGTCCCTTGGTTGGTTCAGGATGGCCCCCGAGGTGGTCATGTGTGAGACCATGAAAGACACGCCCTACGACTACAAAGCCGACATCTGGTCCCTGGGCATCACGCTGATTGAGATGGCCCAGATCGAGCCGCCACACCACGAGCTCAACCCCATGCGGGTCCTGCTAAAGATCGCCAAGTCGGACCCTCCCACGCTGCTCACGCCCTCTAAGTGGTGAGGGGCAGGGGCAGGGCCACCTGCCGGGGTGCCTGCGCCGGGATTAGGGCTGGAATATGTGGTGGACGGGGCTGGGGAGGTGCAGTGGTAGCGTTCTCCTGGTGCTGCTAGCTCCAAAGGAGAGGTTGGGGCCTGGGGGTCTTCAGGCGTTTCTGAGCCCCCCCGGGCCCTTCGTGCCTCTTTTTCCCTTTGTGTTCCTTTTTTTTTTTTTTTTTGAGATAGGGTCTCACTCTTTTGCCCAGGCTGGAGTACAGTGGTGCAGTCATAGCTCACTGCAACCTCGACCTCCTAGGCTCAAGAGATCCTCACACCTCAGCCTCCCTTGTAGCCGAGAGTACAGGCACCCACCACCATGCCTGGCTAATTTTCTGTAGAGACAAGGTCTCCTATGTTGCCCAGGCTGGTCTTGAACTCCTGGCCTCAAGGGATCCGTCTGCCTCGGCCTCCCAAAGTGCTGGAATTACAGGCGTGAGCTACCGTGCTGCCTCTGTGCACTTGACATGAGATCTTCACCAGAGCAAACCAAGTCACCCAAATAAGCTGGCTCCCACTGGGGAACAGGAGCCCCAGCTGAGCCGCAGGAGCCACATGGCACACCCTGGGCGGGACATCGGGGGCCTGGGTTCAAATCCCGGCACTGCTGAGTCTCCTCACTGCGTGGCCTGGGCACGTCCCTGCTCCTCGCCGATGTCTGGGTCCCCATCTGGACAGTGGTGTCCATGATGAAAAGGGCGTCGTGTAGGCCCTGTCACTGTTTTAGCTTGTGAAAGTTTCCTCTGTCCTTTGAGGGGCATGATTGGGACAGTGGAGTCTGTGACGTGGGGGGCTTCTCTCTGCTCTTGCCTCCTCCATGCTTACCTCTGACGCCTGTCCTCCCAGGTCTGTAGAGTTCCGTGACTTCCTGAAGATAGCCCTGGATAAGAACCCAGAAACCCGACCCAGTGCCGCGCAGCTGCTGGAGGTGAGTGGATTCCCCTCCCACTCTGCTCCCTGAAGGGTGGAGCCTAATGAACTCACCAGTGACCTGGACGCTGGGCATGTTCTCACCCCGCCCAGGGAACAGCATGGACAGCTGTTTGTCCATCAGCGGGTATTCCCCAGGCACCTCCTGAATGCCAGCTCTGTGTTGGGAGTGCCTTGGGGAACGAAGCCACCCAGACCTTGTCCTCATGGAGCGTGTGTTCCAGTGGGGATACAGGTGGCAAATAAGCAAGTATGTGTGCGTGGCAGGGGGTGGCCAGTGCCACGGAAGGAGATCCACAGTGCAGGGGTGGGGCGCCTGGGATCAGCTGTTGTCTTGTAAGGGAGGATAAGGAAGGGTTCTCTGGGTGAGCAGATGTCCACAGGAAGGGAAGGAGCAAGGCCAGTGGCCCAGAGGGAGAGGAGGCAAACGCCTGGGACAGCAGCATGTTCCACACATGCTGGGAAGAGCCAGGGGGTGGGGGTGGGAGGTGGGGGAGCAGGAGCACAGGGGCCAGGGGAGGGGAGACGAGAGCGGAGAGGCACTGGGGCGTCTGTCCCAAGGCTCGATGGTTCCCTAGGAGAACACCTGGCCTCAGCATATTCTCTCCCCACAGGAGACTTAGGACAGCAAAAGCACAGAGAGAACTCAGCCCAAGGAGGAGGTGTGTGGGAAAAGGTCTTGGGAGCCAGGTGCAAGCTTCCAGAGCCCTCTCCCAGTACAGTCACCAGGACAGCTTAATTCTCTGTGCTGTCCACCACGGAAGCCCCTTAGGGTTTTTAGTGGGTAGTGGTCACATAAGCACCCCCTGCCTGGCACAGACCAGAGTTCCAGACTCTAGAAGGAAAGGAGGTATTCCACCTAAGCCATATTGTTTGCAGAACAGTTTAGGCAGAGCGGGCCACTCTTATTAGTTAATGGTGGGAGCCCTCTCCTAGTTTGCAGAGACCAGCTGAGGATCCAACCTTGTTAGCGGCCCTTTCTGAAGCTTGCTGTGTTATTTTCTGCACACAGGGTCCTGCAGGGCCTTGCAAGCCAGAGCCAGGTCCTGGGCTTTATCTGTGCATTAGGGGAGACACAGCATCGACATCCATTTACAAGGGTCTTCCTGCCTTCTGGCTGCTGTATGCGGGATCAGGAGACTCTGAGCATCTCATTAGCTGGCTGTACTGCCTTAGAATGGGCAGGTGGATAATGGTTTCCTTGAAGCTTTTTGAACTATTGGAGGGAGCTGTGAGCCACTCTTTGCCTGGGCCCATGCCTCGAGTTAGGGCGTCATGGCTGGAGGCTGGGTGAGGTCGGTGTGTCCACAACAGTGTTCTGAGGGCTGTGCACAGCACTTGCCCGGTCATTTGCAAATCTGCCGACCAGTGTCCCCATGTCACTGCCACTGATGGAAGAGGGGGAGGAATGGGCCTGGGTGATGCAACAGGGCTGCCCTTTCACTGCCGTGTCGGCTCCGGTCCTGCCCTCAGCATGACAGCCTTAGAGGTGCAGTGGCAGGAAGGGGAGGAAGGCGCCACACCAGGCACTTGAGTCTTTGTATTCACCCAGCTTTTCCCAGCTTCCTACTGTGTGCCATGCACTGGGCCTGTGGTCGGCATTCTGAGCCACTGTGCGTCCTTCTGGGGTAGCAGCTTAGTTATTATGAGTGTGAGCTGGGGCGGGAAAGTCCAGGGTTCGACAGCTCTGCCATTTACTGGCTGTGAGCCCCTGGGCAAATGGCTTAACCTCTCTGTGACTTGCTTGTCACTCTGAAATGGGAGTGAATAGCAGCAGTCCCCTTACTGGGTGGTTGTGAGGATTAAATGAAGAGGTACTATGAAGCGCTTAGCTTAACTCTTAAGCACAGTGCTCCAGGAATGCTTGATGCATAGGACTGAGGTATTTATTTTTTTAAAAATGAAAAGAACCAGAATGCAAAATGAGGTCTATCTACTGCCGGGGGTGGGGGGTCACAGTTGTTCCTTTTACATTTCTATAACGTATTTGAAAGCAAATTTCTGGAGTGCCCAAAGGCCTCATTTTCTGGGTATTGTTGGGAGTGGGCTGGGGCCCCCCGAAGTGGGTGGGGTCGAGTGGGGCTGCTGTCACTGTCCAAGCCGCTTGGGGCCAATTGTTTCCTGTAAGAGGCACCTCCTGCCCTGATACATCCGGCCTCCAGGACATTCCACGGAGAGACCAGCTGTCCCCCATCCCCATATGGCAGCTCCGGAGCTGCAGCCTCAGCCAGGAATTTCCGCTCCATACTTGGAAAAAATGTCCTGCCAGAGGATTCTTACCGTCCAGCAGAAAGGGTTGCAGAACAAAGGAGCGATCTCTGGAGATGAATAAAGCACCTTTCACGCCTGTGCTGCTGCTGGCTTCACCCACGCGCCTTTTCCTCTCCAGTGAGAGAGGGTGGGCATGGCATTACCCCCTCGGGAGGACACCGGGATCAGAGCAGGGAGGTGACTGGCCCCAGGCCGCTTGGCTTTGAGTGACAGAGGTGGGCCCAGATCTTGGCTTCCCAGCCCCCACCTCCAGTGCTGTCAGCCTTCAGGGTGTCTACCGGCTTCCAAGAAGTGCCTGGCTCTCACGTCTCCCTGTGTCCCGCCCTGGGCGGAGTGATTCACGCCCCCATTGGTTTGTGATTCATTCATTGACTCCTGCAGACATTCTTTGGGCCTGGACCAACTTGTGGTTAGTAACCAGGCTCTGAAATCAGACATGCCATGCCCCGCCCCCCCCACCCAGAATCTGCATGGTTCTCACTCTGTGCCTCAGTTTCCTCATCTGTAAGATGTAGAGAGTGCTGGCTGCACAGGATTGTGTGAGTGAATGAGATTTTGTATGTAACATTTTTAACATACAGCTGTCACATGTGAGGTGCTGAGTAGATACTGGCTGAATTTGCTCTTAAACCCGTCCACTCTATCACAGCTGCTCTTGTCAAGGTTGTCAGCGGTTTCTGTGCCATGGGTCAGCCTTGGTGTTGGTCTCACTGAACACATCAACAGCACCAGCCCAGTCGATCTCCTCCTCCTGTCGGCACTCGACCTCCAGGCCTCCACACACCCTTGGTCATAAGCCTCTCCTTCTCCGTTGCCTTTGCTCGCCCCCCTTTGCCCCAGCTCATTAGTGTGAGAGTGCACAGGGCCCTCCCTCCATCTCCACGCACCCAGCGTGCAGCACTCCCAGCTCCATGCCTCGGCCCGCGTCCAGCTGTTGACTCCCCGGAGGTCCAGTGGGCATCTCACACTGAACGCTGAGCACTTGGATCTTTTCGCCGACGTGCTCCACCACTGGCTTTCCCATCTCGGCCGATGGCAGCTCCACCCTTCCAGTGGCTCAGGCCCCAAACCATGCAGGCACCCTTGCTCCTCTTTCTTCCACACTCCCTAGCCCACCTATCAGGAAATCCCGTTGTCCCTGCATTCGGTACGTGCCTAGACTTCAGCCTTTCCCACCCCTCCATTGCAGCCACTACCTGGGCCACCACCACCTCTCACTCGGGCTGCTGCCTCCTCGCTGGTCCCCTGCCCTCTCTGTTGGGTCTGGGCTGAGCACAGCAGCCAGAGTGAACCTTCTCAACAGGGGCCAGCTCATGTCCTCCCCGGGCCAAAGCTCCCCAGTGGCTCCCGTTTCACTCTAGGGAAAACCCAGAGTCTCAGGGCCCCTTAGAGTGCTGTGTGATCCGCCCCCCCCACCCTGCTGACCCCCATCGCCCCTCTCGCTCCCACACTCCAGCCTCACTCTTCTCCAGCCTGCCCAGCCGCCTTGCTGTGCTCTGAACACGGCATGTTCCTGCCTCAGGGCCTTGGCACTGGCTGTCCATGCCGCCTGGAATGGCCTTCCTCCGGATCCCTCTGTGACTGACTCTCCCTCTTCAAGTCATTGCTCTAATGTCAGCCTTGTGGTGAGGCCTCCCCCAACCACCCACATGAAATTGCAAACCCACTACACTCCCCACATTCCCAGTCCCCTTTCCCTGCCCTACTTCTTCCTTCTTCCATGGCACATGGCACTCAGGATATAACTTGCCTGCTTATTAGGTTTGTTGTCAAGCTCCCTGCCCGGCATGTCAGTGCCCTGAGGACAGCGTCTTTGTTTTGTTCGCTGATAGGTCCCAGGAACAGTGCCTGGTATATAGAGAGCCCTCAGCAAATATTTGCTAAATAAATTGACTTTTTTTTTTTTTTTTTTGGAGACGGAGTCTCGCTCTGTTGCCAGGCTGAAGTGCAGTGGAGCTATCTTGGCTTACCGCAGCCTCCACCCCCTGGGTTCAAGTGATTCTCCTGTCTCGGCTTCCCAAGTAGTTGGGATTACAGGCATGCACCACCACGCCTGGGTAATTTTTGTGTTTTTAGTAGAGGTGGGGTTTCACCATGTTGGCCAGGCTGGTCTTGAACTCCTGACCTGGGGAGATCTGCTTGCCTCAGCCTCCCAAAGTGCTGGGATTACAGGCGTGAGCCACCACGCCTGGCCAAAATTGACTTATTTTTACCTAACAAACTGTTACATAACCCTTTGTTCATGCCAGGTACGATTATAAATACTTAGCAAATGTCACCTAATTTAATCCTCATACCAACGCTCTGAAGTAGATGCTGTTCAGCTCTCTGTTGAGCAGATGGTAAAACGGAGGCACACAGCAGTGAAGTAGCTGGCACAAAGTCACACAGCCTGTAGGCCACAGAGCTGGGTTCTGATCCTGGTCCTCGGGTTCAAGAGTCTGTGCTCTTGACCTCTCTGGTAAGCTGCCTCTCCGAATGAATGAAAGAGAGAGGGAGGGAAGAAGACCAGAAGGGAGAGAGGATTGAAAGAGATGCCAGCGCCTGAAAACTGCGAGCATTATTAGGTGTTTTTATTCTTATTTTTATTTTTTTTGAAATGGAGTCTCGTCGTGTTGCCCAGGCTGGAGTACAGTGGCCTGATCTCGGTTCACTGCAATCTCCGCCTCCTGGGTTCAAGCGATTCTCTTGCTTCAGCCTCCCGAGTAGCTGGGATTACAGACGCCTGCCACCACACCCGGCTAATTCTTGTATTTTCAGTAGAGATGGGATTTCGCCATGTTGGCCAGGGTGGTCTCGAACTCCTGACCTCAAGTGATGCACCTGCCTCAGGCTCCCAAAGTGCTGGGATTACAGGTGTGAGCCACCATGCCTGGCCTTTTTGGCGTTTTTTAAAGCCCATCTTGGAGTATAGGACCCCTCTGGCTGATGGTTTCTAAGCACATAGAGGAAAAGTAGGCTTGAGTTCTTGGAAAGGACATCTGTTTAGATGGCAGGGGAGGCCCTGGCTAGAGAGCAGCTGCCGGTTGCCTTTTTCAGCAAAGATGGCACTGAACAGCCAGCCGGTGCCTCTTACTGGGGGGAAGGACTGGGAGGTCAAGTTCCTCTGTGATCTAGCCTTCCACTGGGGACACGTGTGCCCAGACCAGCCTACCTGGTGCAGGCTAGGATTCTCCCTTGCAGCATAGCCAGGGCGTTATCTCTCTAATGGGCCTCTAAACACATCTCTGGCGGCAGAGGAGCTGATGCCGTGGTGGAGGTGGTCTGTGTTTTGTGTCCCAGAGCAGTCTGTAAAACAGTGTTTGGGCCTAATCAGCCATAGGACGGGTGGCCCTGTGTGCCAGCCTTGCTTGCTCTGGTGCCTGGCAGAGCTGCCCTCCTCACCCACCCATCACAGACTTTCTTCCCCATGGCCCTCCTTCCTCCTCCTAAGGACGCTGGGGTGGTCAGGGAGGCAGTGGGCAGATGATTCTGCCTCAAGAAAGCAGAGTTCCTGGCCGTGCTGAAAAGCCACTGATTTGATCAATACATGGGGTGCCCCGATGAAAACCTGGTGTTTCCAGAAGCCCCTGCCTGTGTTTATTTATTTCTGCCGCGTCTGCTTCAGCCACTGCAGTGAAGCGTCCTGTGGCGTTTCGCTCAAGTTCACTTGTGTTAGATTGCGCAGTGTGGAGCTTAGGAACCTTTGGGATCTTGGTTCTCACCTTTGGGATCTTGGTTCTCACCTTTGGGATCTTGGTTCTCACCTTTGGTTCCAAAAAGCTGTGCTCTGGGGGCATGTGGGAGGGAATAGGAGTGGCTAGGAATGCAAAACAGGCTTTTCTTTTTCTGTTATTGTTTTTGAGACAGAGTCTCCCTTTGTCACCCAGGCTGAAGTGCATTGGCATGATCTTGGTTCACTGTAACCTCTGCCTCCCGGGTTCAAGTGATTCTCCTGCCTCAGCCTCCTGAGTAGCTGGGATTACAGGCATGCACCACCATGCCCAGCTAATTTTTGTTATTTTTAGTAGAGACAGGGTTTCACCATGTTGGCCAGGCTGATCTTGAACTCCTGACCTCAGGTGATCCACCGCCTTGGCCTCCCAAAGTGCTGGGATTACAGATGTGAGCCACTGTGCCGGGCCATAACGGGCTTTTCTGATTGTGCTGCTGCTCCTGCTGCTGACGGGGGTGATGGTGGTGATGGTAATGGTCATGGTGATGGTGATGATAGTGGTGATGGGTGTAATGGTGATGGTGATGGGGATGATGGTGGTAATGATGGTGATAGTGATGGTGGTGATGGTAATGGTCGTGATGATGATGTTGATAATGATGGTGATGGTAATGATGGTGGTGATGGTGGTGAAGGTGATGGTGGTGATGATGATGATGGTAATGGTAATGATGGTGGTGATGGTAATGATGGTGGTGATGGTGGTGAAGGTGATGATGGTGGTGGTGGTGATGATGGTAATGGTAATGATGGTGGTGATGGTGGTGGTGATGGTGGTGAAGGTGATGATGGTGGTGGTGGTGATGATGATGATGATGGCTGCCATATCTGAGCATTTACCATAATGCTTATAACAGCTGTTCCTAATATATAGATGAGCAAACTGAGACTCAGGGTTAAGTGACTTGCCCAAGTTGGTGGAAGCTGGATTTTACCAGGTGCCTTGGTTCTAGAGTCTACAGCCAGCACTCTTAACTGCATGCTACTTTGCCTCCTATGATTAGTAAACCCTTAACGCCCCACTCAAGACCTCTTAAAAGTACAGAGCAGCCAGAATGACATCTCTAAAGGGTAGTAGTGAATATCACTGCTGCACTGCAGCCTGTTGGTGGCTTGTGAGGACAGTCTCTGTGGCTCACCTGCACACACGGCCCATCCTTCCTCTGCATCCTGTGTGTCCCACCATCCTGCCCGTCTCATGGCTCCTGCCGCCCAACAAGCTCAGTCCAGTCTCAGGGCCTTCTTTGTACCAGCTGCTCCCTCTGCCTGGAATTCTCTGTGCCCAGATCTTTCCCTTGGGTCTCAGCTTGAATTTGACCTTGAATGAGGCCCCTCTGCCTGCAGACTTTAGTCTCCACCACCCTCAGCTATACAAGATCTGGAATTCTCTTGTTTATCATTTGAGCCACCGCGCCCGGCCAAATGAACTGTTTTAAATGAACAAACAGATAAGAATGATTTGTGATGAACATATACGTTCTGAATGTGTTTTCCAGGTGCTAGAAATTTGTTTTTTAGTCGTTTAAATACTTCCCCAGCAATCTTGTTGACACTTCCTCCCCGGATAAATTGTCTGAGAGTAAAAACAGTGAATTTCATCAGAGCCTTCCTGTATATTGTAAATGAGCAAATTCTAGCTTCATGATGCCTCCCACCCCACCCCATCATTCCTTTCCCAGTGGCCTTCGGTGAGCGTGGTGGGTTGAGGAATCCCACATCCCTGGCTATACCCGGGTGCCCTCACTCAGGATACCTCACACTGACTTAATATCGCTGAGACCTTTTGCTTTGGCGTTTTGCAAGGTCCGTAAAAGAACATTCACTTTTAAATAAGACTCTGACATTTGTATAAAAACCTAGAATAGAACATACACCACTCTGCCTCAAGATCTTGTATTTCCTTTCTTAAAACCAAACACATATGTCCACCCAAAGACATATACGAGAATGTCTCTTGCAGCTTTATTCATAGTTGCCAAAAATGGGAAACAGCCCAGATGTCCAGCAGCAGCAGGATGAATAAACAAACTGTGCCGTAGTCATACAGTGAGACCCTGCACAGAAATAAAACAGGAACAGTTTACTGAAATAGGCGACAATGTAGGTGAATCTCACAGTCATGACGCTGAGTAAAGGAAGCCAACGCGAAAGACTGCACACACGATGCTCTGTTTCTAGGAAGCTGAGGAGCAGGCTCCCGAGGCTGGCGGCGTGGGAGTGGGGTTGCCTGCCAAGGGAGACGGGAGCCTTCCCCGGTGATGGAAATGTTCTGTATCTTGAGCTGGGTGGCAGTTACGGTGCGTGCATATATATGTAAAAAGTCATTGAGGCTGGGCACAGTGGCTCACGCCTGTAATCCCAGCACTTTGGGAGGCTGAGGCGGGTGGATCACTTAAGGTCAGGAGTTTGAGACCAGCCTGGCCAACATGGTGAAACCCCGTCTCTACTAAAAATATAAAAAATTAGCCTGGCGTGGTGGCACATGCCTGTAATCCCAGCTACTTGGGAGGCTGAGGCAGGAGAATCCCTTGAACCTGGTAGGTGGAGGTTGCAGTGAGCCAAGATTGCGCAACTGCCTTCCAGCCTGGGCAACAAGAGTGAAACTCTGTCTCAAAAAAGTCATTGAGCTTTACAACCTGTGAACTTTGCTGTAGGAATGTTATTCCTCAACAAAATGTATGTAGCATATTTTATAAAACTATATATTAAAACCTTTTAAAAAGGAAAATAGACACCCTCCCTTGCAAACACGGCTTGAGCCCCTACTTTGGGCTAAGCATTTTCAAGTGCATGATCTCATTTAATCCGCATGACCTCCCTGTGGGTTCATTGTTAACGTGTCCACTTGAGAGATGAGGAGCCTGTGGCTCAGAGAGGTTAAGTGACATGCTCAAGGTCACACAGCCGCTGAGAGACACAGCTGGGATCTGCCCTCTTTCCAACACACTTGGGACTTTCCAGGCTGTCTCTGGGTCTCCAAGTTCATGTGCACATTTTGCTCAGGAATGAGGCTGGCCTTTTCTGCCCCGGGGGTGAGCTCCCCCAGCCTCTTCCACCCCACCGTGACCCCAGAGTGGTTCTAATCTGGGTGCATCTTGCCCCCTCAGCATCCCTTCGTCAGCAGCATCACCAGTAACAAGGCTCTGCGGGAGCTG
This sequence comes from Homo sapiens, assembly GCF_000001405.40. Taxonomy (NCBI): domain Eukaryota; kingdom Metazoa; phylum Chordata; class Mammalia; order Primates; family Hominidae; genus Homo; species Homo sapiens. The sequence goes on along the minus strand of NC_000005.10, from coordinate 172,096,512 downwards.
GTGGCTGAGGCCAAGGCCGAGGTGATGGAAGAGATCGAAGACGGCCGGGATGAGGGGGAAGAGGAGGACGCCGTGGATGCCGCCTCCGTAAGGCCAGGGAGAGTGGGGCTTAGCGGGGGCTGGGAGGACAGGATCTCAGCTGGCCCTGCTGGTGTGGGAGGGGCAGGGAAGGCCAGGACTCTGGCTCAGGCAATTTATTGCCAGCTCAGAGGTTGCAGACTCCCACGCTGCAGGTAACGTAAGATGGCATGTGGGCCGGGGTGAGGCAGCAGGGGGTGTTGGCCAGATCCCGATCCTGTGAGTTTTCAGGAGATACCAGAGATCTAGATTTTCACATGAAATCTTCCAATTTTTAAAAGTTGGTAACTGATTCATGGCTTCCCATCCTTTGTTCCTGTCACAGCTCACATACCAAATGAGACTGTTTTTAGCTCATTTTGGGATAAATATGGGAGGCTGCATATGGCCACAGGCAACACCCTGGCCCCCCTCTAGCTGCCCTCAGTGCCAAGGGGACCCATGTCTGGGCACATTTGGAACTCTTTTGCAGCTTCAGTGCTTGCTGGATTTAGATTGAAATTAAAGCTAATTTAAATTTGTAAAAACCCTGTGAGCCAAGGAAAACATGTCTGTGGGCTGGATTCTGGCCCAAGCTGTTGCTCCGTAATCCCTGGCCTTACTTGGGGAGGCCTCTTCCCAGGGATAGGGTGGCCATCCCGGTGGCTCCCTGTGCCTAGAGAAGCAGGGGCTGGACTTACCCATCAGGGGATGGAGCTGGCCCACATCCTTGTGCTGTGGACGGCACTGCAGCTTCCTCAAATTTAATTCAGTCCTGGGTGGAGCCTGAGGCTGGCGCAGACCCTCACCAGGGTGAAGAAGGAAAGCCCGAAGGGCAGGGCAAGCGGAATCATCACAACCACCCCCGCCATGCATGGAGCCCCTGGTGGCTGCCGGGCCCTCTACAGCTCTGACACAGGGTAACCAAGCTCCAGCTTACAGACAGGAAAACTGAGATCGATACAGTGAAGTGGCTGGCTGAGCCGATAGATGGCAGGGCCAGGGGTGGATTTGGAGTAGGAGAACCTCAGTGGGGCCTGGCTCCAGGAGGAGGTAGAAAGCGCTCACACCTGGCCTCATTGTCTGCATGCAGGAGGCTGATCTTTGTCCTGTGGGTATTGGGAGCCCCGAAGGGTTTCAGGCAGGGACTGGGTATTGGGGTGGAGGTGACAGAATCAGATCTGCGTTTTTGAGCCATCACTCTGGGTGTTGACTAGAAGGTAGATTGGAGTTGCTTCCACCAGCTGCCATAGCTGAGGTTAAAAACCGGTGGCTGGCAAGACCCAAAGGAATACTTATAGTATAAATCCATTCATACCACGTTTATAAGCAGGCACAGCTCATCTGTAGCACTTAGAGACCATAGGACAGTGACTATGTCAAGAGGTGGGAGAGCATTGCCACTGAGAAGGACGGGGCGGCAGGGGATGGCCCTCTGGGGCAAAGCAATGTCCCCTCCTGACCTGGAAAGTGGCTACATGGATACTCACTCTATTCACCAAGTTGGATGTTTATGTTTTATACACAGGAAGAATGTTCTGTTTCACCTTAGCATAGCAACATTTCCAGTACTTTCCACCCAACAAAGACTCTAAAAAACAAAAATGAAGCTGAAAACTTAGTGGCCACAAGGGCTGAATCCAGTCCCCAGACAGGCTTGGCTTGGCCTTTATATGATTTTTTAAAAAATATGAGTTAGTTGCCACCTAAAAATTAAGAGATGTCCATTAAAAACCTAGATTTCAAACTTGTCTTAAAAAATTGGAAGGTTTGGCTGGGTGCGGTGGCACACACCTCTAATCCCAGCACTTTGGGAGGCCGAGGCGGGCAGATCACTTGAGTCCAGGAGTTTGAGACCAGCCTGGGTGACATACTGAAACCCTGTCCCTACTAAAAAATGCAAAAATTAGCTGGGTGTGGTGGCATGCACCTGTAGTCCCAGCTACTCGGGAGGCTCCTCGGGAGGCTGAGGTGGGAGGACCACTCCCAGGTGGGAACCCAGGAGGTGGAGGTTGCATTGAGCCAAGATGGCACCACTACACTCCAGCCTGGGTGACAGAGCAAGACCCTGTCTCAAAAAAATAGATAAATAAATAAAATAAAAAATTAAAATTAAAAAACTGGGAAGGTTTGGCCACAGGGGAGCCATTTTCCCACATTGTCACAATTGGCTGGAATGGAGCGGCCACTGACCCCTCCCTGTGGGCCATGAGCTGGCCAGCTGGCCACAGCTGCCTCCTAGCAGGAATAACAGCTATTACATTCAGCTGAGATTAGAGATAGTGAGGAGATTGCCATGCCTCAAAATAAGTAGTAATTGTATTACGGTTAGGCAATAGGGAGTGCTGAAGACTGGCTAGGGAGATATCTGCTCTCCTTTCTTGGCGCTGGCCCACTTCATCTTGAGGGTGTCTGACTTTCTCCACTGCATCTCTGACTCTTGCCTTGAACATACAGCAGCATGGCCTTTAATATATATATATATATTTTTCTAGACCCTGGAGAACCATACTCAGAACTCCTCTGAGGTGAGTCCGCCAAGCCTCAATGCTGACAAGCCTCTCGAGGAGTCACCTTCCACCCCGCTGGCACCCAGCCAGTCTCAGGACAGTGTGAATGAGCCCTGCAGCCAGCCCTCTGGGGACAGATCCCTCCAAACCACCAGTCCCCCAGTCGTGGCCCCTGGAAATGAGAACGGCCTGGCAGTGCCTGTGCCCCTGCGGAAGTCCCGACCCGTGTCAATGGATGCCAGAATTCAGGTAGCCCAGGAGAAGCAAGTTGCTGAGCAGGGTGGGGACCTCAGCCCAGCAGCCAACAGATCTCAAAAGGCCAGCCAGAGCCGGCCCAACAGCAGCGCCCTGGAGACCTTGGGTGGGGAGAAGCTGGCCAATGGCAGCCTGGAGCCACCTGCCCAGGCAGCTCCAGGGCCTTCCAAGAGGGACTCGGACTGCAGCAGCCTCTGCACCTCTGAGAGCATGGACTATGGTACCAATCTCTCCACTGACCTGTCGCTGAACAAAGAGATGGGCTCTCTGTCCATCAAGGTAACACCGCCTCTGCCACCACGGGCTTGCAGCAAGACCATTGCAGGATGTTCTGTGGCTCCATTTTGGTTTCAAAAGCATTTAGGGGCTTCCTTGCATTTTAAGTGGTTCATTAGGGGGTTTTGGGTTTGACTCATAGTTTAATCTCCAAAATATCTGGGTTCAATATGGGATTTAGGAATGTAAAGCAGTTGGTTTGGGTTTAAATTTCAAAGCTTGGTAAAAGGCCCTGGTAAAATTTGGGAGAGAGAACTCTTAGGCCTTAGCTACAAATGAAGTTCTGTCATCCAGAGGTCAGCCACGAGACCCAGCTGATAACTGGTAAATCCAACTAAAGGAAACAGCTCAAAGCCATCTTCCCCGCCTCCGGGGCCTTTCTGGAGGTGGGCAGTGTTGCGAATGACGATAGCCACCGCACTAGAGGCCTGGGCTTGAGGCGAACCCTGTACAAAGTGCTTTAAAAAGAACAGACAGGCTCCTTCATCCTCTCACTTTACAGATAAGCAGATGGAGGCTCAGAGAAGTGAGGAGCCAGCCCAGGGCCAGGTAGGAGTGGGAAGATGGACAGACCCCAGGCTCCAAACTCTAAACCTTCCCAGTGGGAGCCATGGCCTCCTTCTTAGGGAGCTGGAAGGGGCTGACTCCTTTCCTGGCCTCCCCGATAAATCCCGGGGTGTTACTAAACTCACCATGGGTCACCTGACCCTCTACCCAAAGCTCATTTTAGAGGAAATACTGTATGATTTTGTTTTTCCTTCCCAAATGTACTTGGTGAAAAACACGCAGTAGAGACTCGAACATATTTGCTAAGCAAAGGGGAGTGACAGGAGCCGCAACGGCCAATCAGCTTTAGGCAGGGAAGGGAAGCACAGTTCCAACAGGCCACCGGGACAAGCATGCACAGCAGCTGTTACCTGTGAGCAGCGTCTTCCTTAGGACCGGCATCCTGCCACTTCTCTTCCTGAAGACACTGAGTGAAAAAAAGGTGTTTTTATTTGTTTTTTTAATGAGACAGACCCACCTAAAGCAGGGGCTCCCCTGCTCTTCTCAAGGCTGTGGAGAATGTTTCTGGTTGACTGCATTGCGTCAGGGACCTCAGGCCGTTCTCATGAGAGTCCCCCGCTGTGCCGGCACCCCCTGGCGTGACTAGGAGCCTGTTCCTTCAGGGATGGAGGCCCCCTGGCCAGGAGCAGTTCTCAGCAGAGGGCTGTGGCTGTGGGTGCCCTTTCTTCCCCTCCACTCTCACTCCTGCCGGCCTCTACTTCTCACTGCTGGCCTGACCCATCCTGACTGGGTCCTGGCACATGTGAGCTGGTCACCGTAGAGAGATGAGAGTCGGGCATGCTGGGTCCATGCTGATGCTGTCCAGAGCCCCTGGGCGAGGTGCCATGGGCAGGAGACAGGGGCCCAGACCTCAGGGAGCAAAAACAGTCTGCCCCTCTCGACTCAGCAGGAGTGGAGCTCAGCATAGATTTCAAGGGGTCAAGAGACCTGCCACGCTGGCTCCTCACTCCTCTTTCAGGGGCTGGGAGGCCCCGTGTTAGGAAGGCAGGGCTGGGCTACACCAAAAAGAGTCTTTGGGCCGGGCGCCGTGGCTCACACCTGTAATCCCAGCACTTTGGGAGGCCAAGGCGGGTGGATCACGAGGTCAGGAGTTCGAGACCAGCCTTACCAACATGGTGAAACCCTGTCTCTACTTAAAAAAATTAAAAAATTAGCCGGGCGTGGTGGCGCATGCCTGTAATCCCAGCCACTCAGGAGGCTAAGGCAGGAGAATCACTTGAATCCGGGAGGCAGAGGTTGTGGTGAGCTGAGACTGCGCCACTGCACTCCAGCCTGGGCAACAGAGCGAGACTCCATCTCAAAAAAAAAAAAAAAAAGAGGCTTTGAAACCAACCAAGAGGCCAGAGGCAGTGGGCAGAGCGGGAGGGTTATGGGGACACCTTCAGAATCAGAGCTGAGAACTTCCAGAGGGTACCACGTATTATGACACACAAACACCTCCAGGATCCCAGGTGGCACCTGCACAATCACTTGTGGCGTGTGCGATTACTCACAGGAAAAGATGACGATTATGCGTAATCTCATGGTGACTCCTAGCAGGTGGGGAGTTCAGGCCAGGTCAGCTTTGGCTACCAAACCAGTTATAAAAACAGCCTTTGGTTTTCGGGCTCCTTTGGATTTTGGCACCATGCGCGAGGATTGTGTGTGGTCTGCAGTAATAACTGTCAGAAAGAAATGCTAAGCATGGAACACAGGCCGGGAGTGGGCACTGCTCTGTGTGCCTGCCATGTGTTCTCTCACTGAATCTTCACAACCACCCTGGGAGGCAAGTAGTGTGACTATCCTCCCTGAACAGGTGAGGAAGCTGAGGCTCAGACAGGACAAGAGGCTGGCCCAGAGACACAGAGCAAGTAAGTGGTGCAGTGAGGGTTAGAACGCAGCTCTTTTTTTTTTTTTTTTTTTTTTTTTTTTTAGAGACGGAGTCTAGCTGTATGGCCCAGGCTGGAGTGCAGTGGCGTGATCTAAGCTCTCTGCAAACTCCGCCTCCTGGGTTCAAGTGATTCTCCTGCCTCAGCCTCCCAAGTAGCTGTGATTACAGGCACCTGCCACCATGCCTGGCTACTTTTTGTATTTTTAGTAGAGACAGGGTTTCACTGTGTTGGCCAGGCTGGTCTCGAACTCCTGACCTTGTGATCCGCCTGCCTCGGCCTCCCAAAGTGCTGGGATTACAAGCGTAAGCCACCGTGCCTGGCAAGAACGCAGCTCTTTCTGACACCATGTCCTGGATGCATGAGAGGTGCTGGCAGCAAGGTAGGGGAGGCCTCAGCACAGTTTCTGAAGGCTGAGATCAGGGAAGAGCAAGGGAATAAGCTCAGAACCCCCAGCTCCTAGGTTAAGTTGAGGCAAGAGGGACGATGGATGGCCACATCTCTCTGGGGGTGGTTCTGAAGCTGTGGGCCCAGCAGAGCTGTGGCCTCACCTGCTGCGACAGCCATGGGTCCTTAGCTGAAATGCTGAGACTTGTCTAATGGTTTTCCCTGGCCAGGACCCGAAACTGTACAAAAAAACCCTCAAGCGGACACGCAAATTTGTGGTGGATGGTGTGGAGGTGAGCATCACCACCTCCAAGATCATCAGCGAAGATGAGAAGAAGGATGAGGAGATGAGATTTCTCAGGCAAGCCTGGGAAGGGCCACCAATGGTGGTAACAGGGTGGGGCTATGGTAAGAGGAGTGGGCATTGGTCCTTTGGTGAGAGGGCTGTCTGTCTACAGCATGAAGTGGGGGAATCAAGGAGGCAAAAGGAAACTCATTTTGCCTGCGATCCTGCACTCCCCCATCTACCCAACCGTTCACCTATCTATCCACTCATCCATTCATTTATTCACCCATCTATCCACCTACTCACCTATCTACCTATTCATCTATCCACCCATCCGTCTACCCATCCTTCCACCCACTCACCCCTCCACCCATCCACCTATCTACCCACTCAACTTTCCATCCATCCATCCAACTGTCCACCCATTCATCTACCTATCTACTTAATCATCCATCCTTCCATTCATTTATCCACGCATCAATCCACCTACTCACCTGTCTGCCTATCCATCTATCCACCCAGTCATTCACCCATCCATTCATCCATCCATTCATCCACTCATCCACTGATTCATCTACCCACTCACTCACCTTCCATCTATCCACCTAACAATCCACCCATCCTTCTACTCACTCACCATTCCATCCTTCCCTTCATCTGCCGAATTATCCATCTGTTTATCTATCCATCCACCCAATCACCCATCCGTCCATTTTATCCTTCTATCCATTTATCTACCCATCTATCTATTTACCTACTCCCTATCTACCTTTCCGTCTGTCCACCCAATCATCCATCCAGTCATCCATCCACCCACCCACTCATCTACCCATTCAGCCTTCCACCTATCTACCTAACCATCCATCCATCCATCCATCCATCCATCCATCCATCCATCCATCCATCCATCCATGTATCCACCAACCCACCAGGTTGGAGACAAGGTGGTGACCCAAATAGATAAGGCCATTGCCCTTGTAGAACTTACACCTAATGGGCCAACATACAGTACACAAGATAATCCCTGATTGTGGTACATGCCATGAAACAAGTAACAGGTGACATGATAGTGAGTGCTTGGAGTAGGGGAGGCTGCTCCAAGGGAAGCCCCTGAGCCAGGCCTAAAGGATAAGGGGAGGAGAGCTGGGGGAGCCCAGGGGAAATTGCAGTTGCTGAGGCCCTGAGGGATAACTACTCAGCTTGTTTAAGGGACTGGTGGAGGGAGAGAGGGAGATCTTGACTAGGATGGGCAGGCTCTGGGCTCAGGCTGGGGCAGTGGCCGGGAAGAGGGAAAAACATGGTCAGATTTGACCTACATTTTGGAGGCAAAACCAGTGAGTTGGTAAAGGACTGGAACAGGGAGGAAGGTGTGAGGCAAAGCTGTTTGCTAGGATCAGCTTTATACTTTTCAGTTGTTCATCCCCCACTTACAGCCCTCCTTCGGGAGACCCTATTTCCACATTTTTTAAACAAATGAGGAAACACTATTTCTGGGCAAGTAAGTCACTTGCCCTGGGTCTTCCAGTTAGGCAGGGGTAAAGCTGAGATTCTAACTGGGTCTGTGTGTGTGAGAATTCCTTCAGGTTTCACTGGACCATGTAGCTGGCAGGGGTTGGGGGAGCTTAACACTTAGGGAGGCCATGGAGCCACGGAGTCCCCTGGGGGCCAGGCCTTTGCAGGGTAAATTCATGGTTAGTGTAGAGAAAATTTCTAGAACATTAATCACATATTTTTATACATGTGAATTAAAATTTTTTTAATTTTATGTATTTATTTATTTTTTGAGATGGAGTCTCGCTCTGTCGCTCAGGCTGGAGTGCAGTGGTGCTATCTTGGTTCAGTGCAACTTCTGCCTCCCGGGTTCAAGCGATTCTCTTGCCTCAGCCTCCTGAGTAGCTGGGACTACAGGTGCCCGCCACCATGCCCGGCTAATTTTTGTATTTTTAGTACACACGGGGTTTCACCGTATTGGCCAGGCTGGTCTCAAACTCCTGACCTTGTGATCCGCCCACCTCGGCCTCCCAAAGTGCTGGAATTACAGATGTGAGCCACCGCGCCCGGCCTAATACTCATATTTTTTTAAACGTTTAACCATGCAGCTGGGCACAGCAGCACACACCTGTAATTTCAGCACTTTGGGAGGCTGAAGTGAGAGGATCACTTGAGCCCAGGAGTTCGAGACCATCTGGGCAACCTAGTGTCTCTACAAAAAAATTTTAAAATTAGCTGGGCACATACCTGTAGTCCCAGCTACTCGGGAGGCTGAAGTGGGAGGATCACTTGAGCATAGGAGGTCAAGGCTGCAGTGAGCTGCGTTCATGCCACCGCACTCCAGCCTGGGTAACAGAGCAAGACTCTATCTCTCAAAAATAAATTTAAGGCCGGGCGCGGTGGCTCACGCCTGTAATCCCAGCACTTTGGGAGGCCGAGGCGGGTGGATCATGAGGTCAGGAGATCGAGACCATCCTGGCTAACAAGGTGAAACCCCGTCTCTACTAAAAATACAAAAAATTAGCCGGGCGCGGTGGCGGGCGCCTGTAGTCCCAGCTACTCGGGAGGCTGAGGCAGGAGAATGGCGTGAACCCGGGAGGCGGAGCTTGCAGTGAGCCGAGATTGCGCCACTGCAGTCCGCAGTCCGGCCTGGGCGACAGAGCGAGACTCCGTCTCAAAAAAAAAAAAAAAATAAATAAGTAAATAAATTTAAAAAATAAATTGTAAAAAATGAAAGCATAGGCCAGGTGTAGTGGCTCACACCTGTAATCCCAGCACTTTGGGAGGCCTAGGCGAGTGGATCACCTGAGGTCAGGAGTTCGAGAAAAGCCTGGCCAACATGGCAAAACCTGGTCTCTACTAAAACTACAAAAATTAGCCAGCTGTGGTGGCCGGCGTCTGTAATCCCAGCTACTCGGGAGGCTGAGACAGGAGAATCACTTGAACCCAGGAGGCGGAGGTTGCAGTGAGCCGAGATTGTGTCACTACACTCCAGCCTGGGCGACAGGGTGAGATTCTGTCTCAAAAGTAAATAAATAAATAAATAAATAAATAAATAAGCCAAAACCAAATAAAAGTAGTTTTAGATGTTGTGGATCTCTTCTCCCTCTAGGAGACAGAGGGAGGAAAAACAGACTTTTCACTAGTGTATCTGCATACACCACACACACACACACACACACACACACACACACACACACACACACACTGGTGTCATCTGTGTGGGTCGGGAGGCTAGGGCACAGGTTGCTTTGGCAGATGAAACCACCTTCTGTTCTAATGGTCACCTGAGAGGCACCCTGGACTCTGAGTTTCAACCTCAAGAGCTGGGTTTCCATCACCTCCCCTCTGGGCAATTGAAGTTCTCAGGGATAAATTCTAGATTGGCCACACCCCATGGAGAAGCAGTGCTCTCTGGCCCTGGCTGTGGTTCCCCACCCTCCTCCTGAGCAGAGCAGCTGTGTGCTACTCAGGGTCAAAAGGGGAGACCTCGAGGAGGTGAAGAGGTGCTCGGCAGGAACCGGGATTTTCTCGCTTGCCTGCCGTGGTCTGGAGGTCTGAGCGCCTGTAAACTAGGCCAGGCCACCAGACCACAGGGGTGTGGAAGGCCCTGATCATCCCCTGCTGGCCCAGGCCCCTGGTCATACCTGACCCCTGGCGTTTTTGGAGAATTGGGTCACACCTAGGCATCTGAACCATGTGGCTGAGCATTTATCACATTCTCAGACTGATGAGGCTTCCGGGCAGAGTTCCTCCTGTCCTTCCCTAAAACGGCTTCTGCCGTTCCCTCGCTCTTGAGCCTCAGCCTTCTCTTTGCTTGCCTTTCCTTCTGAGAGCACAGGTGGACCAGGGAGTGCTAGAGCTGGCTGCCTGCCTTCTTTCTGTACTCCTTTTAGGCTTTTTGTCAGTTCTTCTCTAAACCTTAGTTTCTCTTGAGTCAGGATTTCCATTTCCTCGTTAACACTCTCAAAACCTGCCTCCTCTCTTCCCACTTTCCAGAAAAGCAGAGGCTCAGACAGTCTTCCCTCTGTGGCTGTAGAAAGCGCCTCTGGCTTTTCCCAGAGGCAGGGCAGCCATTGCCTCTTCTTCCTTGGTAGAATTCGACCAGTTGCCATTTACAGAGTGCTGGTCATGTGCCACGTGGGCACTTTACCTGTGTCATCTCATTTATCCTTCAAAGGACCCAACAGGTAAAGATTGTTAGCCTCATTTTGCAGAGGAGGGAGTGAGTCCCACAAGGATAAGTGACTCCCCGAGCGGGCACCCAGCTGGAAAGCTGACTGAGCCTAGATTCACACAGGGGCGCTGCGACCCCAGAGAATGCTCTTGGCCTCGCTGCACTGCCCAACCCCTCCTTGTGCTGCTCTTGGGGGGCAGTTCTGTGAGCAGTTATGGCCCCTCCGAGTCATGAGGAAGGCCACTGGGGTCAGAGCGTGGCCTCATGGGAATCAGCATGGTGCCGCACTGGACTAGGACACAGGCCTCACGGACCCCAACCCTGAGAGGCCGCCAGGAGCCTCCAGTTCAGTCAGGAGGCCTAGGTTCTTTCTGTAGTAGTTTGGTTTTTTCTTTTTTTCCGATTATATGAATGATATGTAGCAATTTTCTCTCTCTTTTTTTTTTTTTTGAAATGGAGTCTCACTCTGTCGCCCAGGCTGGAGTGCAGTGGTGTGATCTCGGCTCACTACAACCTCTGCCTCCCAGGTTCACGCCATTCTCCTGCCTCAGCCTCCCAAGTAGCTGGGATTACAGACGTGCACCACCATACCTGGCTAATTTTTGTATTTTTAGTAGAGATGGGGTTTCACCATGTTGGCCAGGCTGGTTTTGAACTCCTGACCTCAAGTGATCCGCCAGCCTCAGCCCCCCAAAGTGCTGGGATTACAGGTGTGAGCCACCGCGCCCGGCCTACATAGCAATTTTTAATGGATTTGCTCATTAAGAAACGTGGTTAACACTTGGGGCTTATCCCTCCGATATTTTTTCTGTGAGTACACACATACACTGACAACATAAATATATATATATAATTAGGGCATGTTGCTTAGGTCAATTTTTTTTTCTTTTTTTAACACAGGATCTTGCTCTGTTGCCCAGGCTGGAGTGCAAGCGGCATAGTCACGGCTCACTGCAGCCTGGACCTCCTGGGCTCAAGCAATCTTCCGGCCTCAGCCTTTTAAGTAGCTGGGACCACACACATGCACCACCATGCCCGGCTAATTTTTGTATTTTTGGCAGAGATGAGGTCTCGCTATGTGGCCCAGGCTGGTCTTGAACTCCTGAGCTCAAGTGATCCTCCCAACTCGGCCTCCCAAAGTACTGGGATTATAGGCATGGGCCACCACGCATGGCCTAGGTCAAATTTTTATTATATATTTTTTAGCAGATAATAAAGGTTAAACATCCCAAATCAAAAAATCCAAAATCCAAAATGCTCCAAAATCTGCAACTTTTTGAGCACTGACATCAAATTCTCACTGGAACATTTCGGACTTCAGATTTTCAGATTAGGGATGCTCGTTCAGTAAGTATAATATTCTACAATCTAAAAAAATCTGACACCCAAAACACTTCTGGTCCCAAGCTTTTTCAGTAAAGGATACTCTACCTGTATAAGGTCCATGGTTCGAAATTAAAAAAAAAAAGAAAGAAGATAAACAGTGAAAAATTTCCCTCTTCATTTTCCTACCAGAAATCCAGTTCCCTTTCCTGTGTTAGTGTTTTATGGTTTAATCCTTCCAGAGATACTAGAAAAGTAAACAATACATATATGTGTGTACAGAGACATTGTTGTCCTTTTTCTCCCAGATAAGGTGGCATAACAGACCTATTCTTTAATATCTTGCTTTTTTTTACCTAGAGATTACTCCATATCTGTTCATAAATATTATTATTATTATTATTATTATTATTTTGAGACAGAATTTTGCCCTTGTTGCCCAGGCGGGAGTGCAGTGGCGCTATCTCGGCTCACTGCAACCTCCGCCTCCCGGATTCAAGCGATTCTCTTGCCTCAGCCTCTTAAGTAGCTGGGATTACAGGCATGCACCACCACACCCAGCTAATTTTGTATTTTTAGTAGAGATGGGGTTCTCCATGTTGGTCAGGCTGGTCTTGAACCCCCGACCTCAGGTGATCCACCCTCCTCGGCCTCCCAAAGTGCTGGGATTACAGGTATGAGCCACTGTGCCCAGCTGAATTATTATTTTTAATATGTTTCCTTATGTAATTAAACATTTTCTAAAACTTGATTTTTTTAAGGTTGTATAGAATTCCATCATATCAATATACTTTATTTACATAGACCTATATTGATGGACATTTGCTTCCAATTTTTTACTAAATAACATTCATTTTAAATGACTGATTATTCTTTTTTTTTTTTTTTTTCTTTTTTTTGTGTTGTTGAGACGGAGTTTCGCTCTTGTAGTCCAGGCTGGAGTGCAATGGCGTCATCTCGGCCCACTGGAACCTCCACCTCCCAGGTTCAAGCGATTCTCCTGCCTCAGCCTCCTGAGTAGCTGGGAGTACAGGCGTGTGCCACCATGTCCAGCTAATTTTTGTATTTTTAGTAGAGATGGGGTTTTGCCATGTTGGCCAGGCTGGTCTCAAACTCCTGACCTCAGGTGATTCTTCTGCTTTGGCCTCCCAAAGTGCTGGAATTACAGGTGTGAGCCACCACACCCAGCTGAATATTCTTATTCAGTGGTTTTGTGCATCTATAAATATTTCTTTAAAATCAGTATCCAGAAGTGGAAACTACTATGTCAAAAAACATAAGCTTATTACCAAATTGTCCTCCAGAAATGTACCAGTTTCTACCATCAAATTTTCTACATCATGAAAATGTAGTTTCTACATCAAATTTTCTGCATTATGTTTTCTACATCAAGAAATTATAGTTTCTTTTTCATTTGTATTTTATATCTATATAGGTGATTCTAAAATTTCTTTTTATCTTTTGCTTCATGTCTGTTCATGTTCTTTGCCACTTTTTTTGGTTAGGATAATCTTCCTTTTTATTGATTTGTAAGCACTCTTTATTTATTAAGATTATTAAGGTTTTGTCTGTCAATAAATATCAAATGAAGCCTGAGTTCTAGTCATGCCTGTGCCCCAGACTTGTGTGATTTTGCTCCATGATCCAACCTTCAGTGTTCCAAGTTGCAAATATTGTGATCTCTGAAGCCAGTTTCTTACTGTGAAATATCTGTATCCTTTAACCTTTCAGGCGCCAGGAACTCCGAGAGCTTCGGCTGCTCCAGAAAGAAGAGCATCGGAACCAGACCCAGCTGAGTAACAAGCATGAGCTGCAGCTGGAGCAAATGCATAAACGTTTTGAACAGGAAATCAACGTGAGTGCGAGAAAAGATGGGACCCTGCAGGGCTTCTTGCCTCCAGGTGTTCTCTCAGTGGAAGCTACATAGTGGGAATGATTGGGTAGTGGAGAGTAATTCACAACAATTGCCCAATTCCTGGGGGCTTCCCGATCTTGTTAGGCAGTGACTTGTTAACACAGAACCCCGTGAAGGTCACAGCGATCCTGAGTCCCACAGGAGGATCTCCAGAGGGGAAATAACCTGTATTGAGCACCGTGCAACAACACATGGTCTGGTCTCCCTTTTGCAGATGAGGAAATGGAGACTCAGGCTAAGTAACTTGCCCCAGGTCACACAGCAACGGGGTAGTAGAGCTGGGATTCAAGCTTAGGTCTGATCACAAGCTCTGAGTTCTCCCCATTCCACTTCCCATGTCCCTCCCAGGTATAAAGTGACTTCGCTAAGTTTCTCAGAATTTCTGCTCCTTTCAGGCCAAGAAGAAGTTCTTTGACACGGAATTAGAGAACCTGGAGCGTCAGCAAAAGCAGCAAGTGGAGAAGATGGAGCAAGACCATGCCGTGCGCCGCCGGGAGGAGGCCAGGCGGATCCGCCTGGAGCAGGATCGGGACTACACCAGGTTCCAAGAGCAGCTCAAACTGATGAAGAAAGAGGTGAGTATGTGCTCAGTGGGGGCAGGGGCATCTCGGAGTATTAGGGGCCTTCTTGGTTGCAAGTGATCGTGGCCTCAACCTCACCTTGGCAGCAGAGGGGTACGGCTGAAGAGCTCGGGAGCAGGTGAGCCTGGATCTGTGTGCCCAAGCTGCGCCATGAGGAGCCACTTCTCCATCTTCTGAACTCTGCTTTCCTCTGTGTTGCTATGGCTCAGGGCAGGCCTCACCCTGTGGCCTCAGGCAGCTTCCTTTACATCCTCCCAGCTTAGCAACCCCTGCCGAGAAAGAGCGGGGAAGAAGGAAGGGCTGGTGGTCCGGGGGAATTTGAGATGCTGTTCCCAGAAGGGCGAGTGGGTGCTGGGTGGGTAGGCACATACAACATGCCCTCTATGCTCCACCCTCTCTGCCTCCTCCTCCTCCCCATGTTGGAAGGGGAAGGGGAGGATGGAAGGAGGTATGTGGTCCTGAGGCACATCTCTCGAGCTGCTCTGGAGAGAGGCATCTGAGTGTCAAAGAACAGCCCATGCCTCCCTCTGTGGAGGAAGGAGACAAGCAGGCTGGAAGCCCCCAGGGCAGGAACGCCAGTCCAGGCTGTTCCCAGTCTCCCAACTGGTAGCAGTGGATGAGCAGCCTCTGAGGGTGGTCCTCAGAGGACCTCAGAGCCCAGATTCCAGACTTTACCATGGTGGGCATGACATTCGGGGGCATCCCAGAGGCCTTGGGAAGCTGCCTCTGGGAGCCAGGGTTCCTGGCCAGCTGAGCAGTTGAGGCAGTCACCTTAGGCACAGATATACCTCGGAGATACTGTGGGTTTGGTTCCATACCACCGCAATAAAGCGAATACTGCAATAAAGCCAGTCAATATTCAGTAAACCATGCTGTACACAGATGTGCTGTCACCTGGGCTTTGTGGCTTCATTTTTAGAGCACAAGCAGAGTAGATTTAGCCTGATTTTTTTTTTTTTTTTTTTTTTGGAGATGGAGTCTCAGTCTGTCACCCAGGCTGGAGTGCAGTGGCACAATCTCGGCTCACTGCAACCTCTGCCTCCCGAGTTCAAGCGATTCTTCTGCCTCAGCCTCCCGAGTAGCTGGGACTACAGGCACGCACCACCACGCTTGGCTAATTTTTGTATTTTTGGTAGAGATGGGGTTTCACCATATTGGCCAGGCTGGTCTCAAACTCCTAACCTCATGATCTGCCCGCCTAGGCCTCTCAAAGTACTGAGGTTATAGGCATGAGCCACCATGCCCAGCTTAGCATGATTCTTAAGGGCCCTAGGATTTTCAAAATGGTAAATGAGCATTGGCTTCAACTTCAAGTCACCATCAGCATGAAACCCTAACAAGAGAGTCAGCCTGTCCTTTGAAGCTTTGAAGCCAGGCATTGACTTCTCTGTAGTTATGAGAGTCCTAGATGGCATTTTCTACCAACAGAAAGCTGTTTCATCTACATTGAAAATCCATTGTTTAGTGCAGCCACTTTCATCAATGATCTTAGCTAGGTCTTCAGGATTACTCACTGCAGCTTCTCCGTCAGCACTTGCTGCTGCACCTTGCACTTTCACGTTATGGAGATGGCATCTTTTCTTGAACATCATGAACCAACCTCTGCTAGCTTCCAGCCTTTCTTCCTCAGCTTCCTCACCTCTCTCAGCCTTCACAGAATTGAAGAGATTTAGGGCCTTGCCCTGGATCAGGCTTTGGCATAAGGGAGTGTTATAGCTGGTTTGATCTTCTACCCAGACCACTCAAAGTTTATCTCAGCATAGGCTGTTTTGCTTTCTCATCATTCGTGTTCATTGGAGTAGCACTTTTATCTTTCAAGAACTTTTTCTTTGCATTCACAACTTGGCTAACCGTCTGGTGTAGGAGGCCTTCCTTTTGACCCAGTAGGTTTTCTCCATGCCTTCCTCACTAAGCTTCATCATTTCTAGCTTTTGATTTAAAGTGAGAGACACGCAACTCCTGCTTTCACGTGAACACTTAGAGGCCATTGTAGGGATATTAATTGGCCTAATATCAATATCGTTGTGTCTCAGAGAATAGGGAGGCCTGAGGAGAGGGGAAGAGACAGGGGAAAGGCCAGTCTGTGGAGCAGTCAGATCACATTCAACACTTATTGATTAAGTTTGCTGTCTTATATGGGCTCGTGGCACCCTATAACAATTACAGGAGTAACATCAGAGCTCACTCATCACAGATCGTCATAATAGAGATAATAATAATGAAAAAATGTGAAATATTGCGAGAATTACCAAAATGTGAACAGACAGGAAGTGAGCACATGCTTTTGGAAAAATGACACTGATAGACTTGCTCGACACAGAGTTGCCACAAACCTTCAATTTGTAAAAATGACAGTATCTGCAAAGTGTAATAAAGTGAAGCATGAAAAAATGAGGTATACCTGCACATTTCAGAGGACCCAAAAACTCAGTCATCAAGATAAAAAAAATTTTAATGCAGCCGGGTGCCATGGCTCACACTTGTAATCCCAGCACTTTGGGAGGCCCAGGCGGGCGGATCACTTGAGGTCAGGAGTTCGAAACCAGCCTGGCCAACATGGTGAAACCCCATCTCTGCTAAAAACACAAAAAAATTAGTCAGGCATGATCACAGGTGCCTTAATCCCAGCTACTCGGGAGGCTGAGCAGGAGAACTGCTCGAACCCAGGAGACGGAGGTTGCAGTGAGCCGAGATCATGCCATTGCAGTCCAGCCTGGGCAACAAGAGCAAAACTCCATCTCAAAAATAAATAAATAAATAAATAAATAAATATATGTATATATTCTATTAATTTCCGGATCTGTTAATTTCCAGAGAAGCCAGACAAACAAACAAAAAGTCCAATATTGAACAAATAAAACAGTTGCCAACATGCTAGGGAAGCATATAGACTGGCTGACTAGAGATCTGGAGAGATCTGCTTTAGATGGGTCTGGGAAAGCCTCTCAGTGTATGACATGTAAGCTGAGTACAGAAGGATGCTGGGAGGCCTAAGAACCTTCCAGGAGGGTGGGACAGCACCTGCAGAGGTCCTGAGGTATGAGAAAGAGCTTGGAGTGTTCAAAGAGCTGGAAAACCATCCATGTAGCAGGAGCTTAGGAAGCAAAGGGGAGATTGGCACAAGGTAGAATCAGACAGGTAGGCAGAGACCACGTAGGGCAGTGGGCCACAGGCAGGAGTGTGCTATTTTAATAATCCTGTTAACATCCTGTCCTTACATAGATGTTTTAGCATTAAATGAGAAGTACATTCAGGGTTAGACCCAGTATCTGCTTGGAATAAGAGCTGGGTAGATGCCCATTCCCTCCTTGGCTCTGCGCCCTGTCACATGTGCACACCGTGTGTGTGTGTGTGTGTGTGTGTGTGTGTGTGGACTTATAAGAGTGGGAGAGAGAGGAGGCGACAGAGGAAGTTGCCTAGTTTAGGAGGGGATGGGGGAAGCCACAGATCTCCTCACCCTTTCCCAGAACTTGCCCTTAACAAAGTTGGACTTCCTCACCAGCAGGGTTCCAGGAAGGCTCTCGAGCCTGCCTCTGAACGAGGCAGAGCGTGGGATCTGGCACCTGGGGTTCCGCTCACATTCAGTTTTTTCAAATATCTTTTTCTATGGGTGTTTTTCTTCAAGAAGTTTTCATGGAAAGAAAGAGCTTAACTTCTTTGCTCTTTTGGCTTTTTTTTTTTTTTTTTTTTTTTTTTTTTTAATGATGAGGCTGGAATGCAGTGGCACAGTCACGGGTCACTGCAGCCTTGAACTCCTGGGCTCAAGTGATCCTCCTGCTCCAGCCTCCTGAGTATTTGGGACCCTGCTAATTTTTTAAAAAAATTTTTGTAGGAATAGGGGTCTCACTTACTTGCCCAGGCTGGTCTTGAATTCCTGGCCTCAAGTGATCCTCCTGCCTCGGCCTCCCAAACTGTTGGGATTATAGGCGTGAGCCATTGCACCCAGACTCTTTTGGCTTTTTGAGGACAGGGCTCACACCGTTTAGTAAGATGGTGTCCCAGTTACTGGTCTTTTGTGTAGGCAAACTTTCTTGCTTTGATTCTGCAGTTTACTTATGTAACACAGCGATGGCAGGAGGCCAGTGAGAGGCTTTGCTCCATGGCAACCCCAGATATCCCAGATGGCACTGTCTTGCCATTGCCTACTCCACACTCCTAAGAACTCCTTCTCTGATTCCAAAGGTCACCTCTGTGAGGGCTGCAAGGTGCTGGGTGAGGAAGTAGGA
This sequence comes from Homo sapiens, assembly GCF_000001405.40. Lineage (NCBI taxonomy): Eukaryota > Metazoa > Chordata > Mammalia > Primates > Hominidae > Homo > Homo sapiens. The sequence goes on along the minus strand of NC_000005.10, from coordinate 172,078,093 downwards.
ATTCCAAGTAGGAATGGGAGGTCTGGCCTATTGCCCTTGACATAGTGGTCAGGATGCAGCAGCAGGGGTGATGGACAGAATTAGAAGGGACGAGACCCCCCCCACCAGGTGAGCAGCCTCTGAACTACCTACAGATGCATCAGCCATTCCAGTGCTGCAACAGAGTAATTCACACGTGGATGCTGGAGAGGGAGACCATACGCATATGCAACAGGCACTTTCCTTTAACCAGCCCAGAGCAAGGAAGTGTGTACCCTGTCCATTTCCCTACGATCCAATCAGTGTGAGAGAGCATGTCATAATTTAAATTCAGGCGTGGGAAACACACACCAAAAAAAAAAAACCAATAAGATTTGAGAAGCCTCCTGGGACCCTCTTCAGTATTACAGCAATTGGTGTGGGATATTTATCATGCTAATCACTTTTCAATAAGGAAATACACATATAGGAAAAATAATTATTAGCAAGGTAGTTGAACAGGGACCTATTTATTCTTCATGTCAATTTCAAGTAATTTACTGCATCTTCCTGTGTATGTGTATATATGCATATACAATTAATGTGGATACATTCTCACAACTCTGTAAGAAGGGACTTGATGGTCTGCTACTCAGTTCCTATATACCAAGTAATCTCTAGCATCCATGAGAAACTGGCTTGACAGTTGTAACTTCTTAGATCACTGAAATCTGAAAACAAATATAACCAGTCTTGAAGGAAATCTTTCCAGAACTCTGTTTTCCTGCCTTCCCGGGCAAAGTTCAATAAACAGAATTTAGCTATTAAATAGTTTGGATCTCTGTAACACCACAGAATTGTAACCCTCGAAGGATCCCTAAAGAAATTTTAGTTGAAAGCCAGATGGCTTTTCCTGATGAGAAAATGAGGAACTCGAACGAGTTCAGTAACTTTTCTGAAGACACGTAGCTGGACTAGAATGCAGGTTTTCTGACATCCAGCAGCATGCAGTTCCCCTGCCCCTGCCTGTCAGTAGATCTCAGCGGGAGAGCAGTGCTGGTATGTGAATGTCCTCGGGGGATACTGATGGATGGAAGTCCTGTGCCCCTTTGTCAAGTGGTCCCATGTGACTCTACTTTTACTGTTCCTTTGCCTTCGCCCTCCATGGTCAGTGGTGTGACGTTTCTTCGTGTTTTTGGTGCCTTTGGCAGAAATCCTTTACTAAACTGCTGCTTCTAATTGTCTGTCCTGGAAAATCAAGAAATCATGCTTGCAACAGCACAGTTTTAAGCTCGTGAGGCCTTTAAATTGTATGATGCCTGAGATGGTGCTGTCGAAAGGCATTTTGGCAGACACCACAGCCAGATGCTGAACTAGGGTTATATAGCATCTCCAAGGCGACCCTTTGATATGGAAGCAGAAGTGGCACAAATAAGATTTAAATATTTTACTAGGACTTCTAAGACAGTGATCCTCAACCGGGGACTATTTTGTTCCGTGGGGGCCAATTGGCAATATCTGGAAACATTTTGGTTGTCACCACTGGGGAAATAAGGGAGCAGTGCTACTGGCATTGAGCAGGTAGAAGCCAGGGATGCTGCTAACTTCCTATAATGCACAGGACGCCCCCACAACTAACGCACAGGACGCCCCCACAACTAACGCACAGGACGCCCCCACAACAAATGCACAGGACAGCCCCCACAACTAACGCACAGGACGCCCCCACAACAAATGCACAGGACGCCCCCACAACAAATGCACAGGACAGCCCCCACAACTAACGCACAGGACAGCCCCCACAACTAACGCACAGGACGCCCCCACAACTAACGCACAGGACAGCCCCTACAACTAACGCACAGGACAGCCCCCACAACTAACGCACAGGACGCCCCCACAACAAATGCACAGGACGCCCCCACAACAAATGCACAGGACAGCCCCCACAACTAACGCACAGGACAGCCCCCACAACAAATGCACAGGACAGCCCCCACAACAAAGAACTCTCCACCCTCAAGGTCAGTAGTGCTGAAGTTGCAAAACCCTGATCTAAGACCATTAGGCCAAAGAACATAGGAGAAGGATTCAGATTACAAATCTAAGACCATGAAAAAAATAAATCCAAGAATTGAAAGAAGAGACAAGAATAGCTGCTGGGATTTTGGGGTCAGGTGGTAAGTGCATGTTTGACTTTATGAGAGACTGCCAGACTGTTCCAAAAAGAGCTGGATCATTTTACATCACAACGAGGTACAAGAGTTCCAGTTGCTCCAGGTCCTCACCAGCACTTGCAATTGTCAGGTTTTTTAGCCATTCTGATAGGTGTAAAGTGGTGTTTCATTGTGGTTTCTAATTCACATTTCACTAACAACTAATGATTTGAGTATCTTTTCGTGTGCTCACTTGCTACCCATATGTATTTATTTTATTTTATTTATTTATTTATCTTGAGATGGAGTTTCGCTCTTGTCGCCCAGGCTGGAGTGCAATGGCACGATCTCGGCTCACTGCAACCTCCACCACCTTCCAGGTTCAAGCGATTCTCCTGCCTCAGCCTCCCGAGTAGCTGGGACTACAGGCACCTGCCACCATGCGCAGCTAATTTTTGTATTTTTAGTAGAGATGGGGTTTCACCATGTTGGCCAGGATGGTCTTGAACTCCTGACCCCAGAAGATCCGCCCACCTCGGCCTCCCAAAGTGCTGGGATTACAGGCATGAGCCACCGCGCCTGGCACCCATATGTATTTTTTAGTGAAGTATTGGGTCAGATCTTTGGCCGTTTATTTAACTGGGTGATTTTTCTTACTACTGAATATCAACAGTTCCTTTTAGATTCTGTATGCAAGTATTTTCTCAAATATGTTGTATTTTGCCCACATTTACTTCCAGCCTGTGGCTTGTCTTTTCTCCTAACAGTGTCTTGTATAGAGCAGAAGTACTTTTTTTTTTTTTTCTTTTTTTGACAGGGTCTTGGTCTGCCTTCCAGGATGGAATGCAGTGGTACAATCATGGCTCAATATAGCCTTGAATTCCTGGGCTCCCACCTCAGCCTCCCAAGTAGCTGGGACAAAAGGCACATACCAACACACTCAGCTAATTTTTTTTTTTTTTAATGGAGTCTCACTCGGTCCCCCAGGCTGGAGTGCAGTGGTGCAATCTCAGCTTACTTGCACCCTGCAGCTCGTGGGTTCGAGCAATCCTCCTGCCTCAGCCTCCCAAGTAACTGGGATTACAGACATGCGCCACCACACTTAGCTCATTTTTGTATTTTTATTAGAGACAGGGTTTCACCATGTTGGCCAGGCTGGCCTTAAACTCCTGACCTCAAGTGATCCGCCTGCTTCGGTTTCCGAAAGTGCCATGATTACTGTTGTGAGCCAACGCACCCGGCTGCTAATTTTTTAATTAGTACTTTGTTTTTGATGAAGTCTGTTTTATCATTTTTTCTTTTAGGGATTATGCTATTAGCAGTATATCCAAGAAATCTTTGCCTAACCCAACATCACATGCTTTAGAAGTTTTACAATTTTAGGTTTTATATTTTGATATATAATCCATTTTGAGTTCATTGTTATATAAGATATAAGGTGTGGGTTAGGTTCACTATTATTATTACTGCTATAATAATAATTATTGCCTATGGATGTCTGATTATTCCAGCACCATTTGTTGAAAAGGCTATCCTTTTTCCACTGAATTGCTTTTGTACCTTTGTGAAAAGTTAGTTGACCACATATACTTGTATGTGGTATTTCTGGATTCTCTGCTGTTTCACCGATCTATTTGTCTGTCCTTCACCAATACTACAGTGTCTTGACGATTGTAGCTTTATAAAAGCCGTGAAATCAGGTAGTGTGAGTCTTCCAACTTTGTCCTTGTTTTTTAAAGTTGTTTGGCCATTCTAGTTCTTTTGCCTTTCTATATAAACCTTAGAATCATCCTACTGATTTCTGTGAAATACCTGCTGAGTTTTTGATTGGGATTGAGTTGAATTCATAGATCAGTGTGGAGAGATAGGACATCTGAACAATATTGAGCATAACATATCTCTCCATTTACTTAGGTCTTCTTTGTTACATTTCCTTAGTGTTTTTAATTTGAGCATACAGATTCACTATATATTTTATATTTATATTCGAATTATTATTATTATTATTATTATTTGAGACAGAGTCTTGCTCTGTCACCTAGACTGGAGTGTAGTGGCGTGATCTTGGCTCACTACAACCTCCGCCTCCCAGGTTCAAGCGTTTCTCTTGCCTCAGCCTCCCAGGTAGCTGGGATTACAGGTGTGTGCCACCACGCCTGACTAATTTTTTTTTTTTTTTTTTTTTTGCTATTTTTAGTAGAGATGGGGTTTCACCATGTTGGCCAAGCTGGTCTGGAACTTCTGACCTCAAATTATCCACCCAACTCAGCCTCCCAAAGTGCTAGGATTATAGGCATGAGCCACTGCTCCCGGCCTTGAATTATATTTATTTCATGTTTTTGGTGCTGTTATGCAACATACTTTTTAAAAAAAATCAATTTCTGCCAGATGCAGTGGCTTACGCCTATAATCCTAGCAACTAAAGAGACTGAGATGGGAGGATCACTTGAGGCCAGGAGTTTGAGACCAGCCTGGGCAACATACTGAAACCCTGTCTCTAAAACAAACAAAAAAAAAATTAAAAATTAGGTTGGGTGCGGTGACTCATACCTGTAATCCCAGCACTTTGGAAGGCTGAGGCAGGCAGACCACTTGAGGTCAGGAGTTCAAGACCAGCCTGGTCAACATGGTGAAACCTCATCTCTACTAAAAATACAAAAATTAGCCAATGTGGTGGTGTGCATCTGTAATCCCAGCTACTTGGGAGGCTGAAGCAGGAGAATTGCTTGAACCCGGGAGGCAGAGGCTGCAGTGAGCCAAGATCGCACCACTACTGCACTCCAGCCTGGGTGACAGAGCAAGACTTCATCTCAAAAAATAAATAAATAAATAAATAATTAGCTGGGTGTGGTGGCATGCACCTGTAATCCCAGCTGCTTGGGAAGCTGAGGTGAGAGAGGATCACTTGAGCCCAGGAGTTCGAGGCTGCAAGTGAGCCATAATTGCACCACTGTGCTTTAGCCTGGGAACAAAGTAAAACCCAACTTGGAAAAGAAAAATTCTAATTGTTCATTGCTAGATTGTAAAAATACATTGATATTTATATATTAATCTTGTACTGCAATCTTGTTAAACTCACTTATTAGTACTCGTATCTTTCTTTGTAGATTCCTTGAGATTTTCTACATAGACATCATATCTACAAATAGAAACGGTCTTATTGCTTCCTTTTCAATCTGTATGCTTTTTATTTTTTAATTGCTTTATTGTGCTAGCCAAGGCCTCCAGTAGGATGTTGAATAGGAATAGTAGAGAGGACATCTTTGCCTTGTTCCCCATTTTAAGGGGAAGGCATTCAATATCTCATCATTAAGTATGATGCTAGCAATAGGGCTGTTTATAGCTGCCCTCATTGGATTAAGAAAGTCTCTTTATACAGACGCAGAAGCTGAGGTTAAAAAGAAAGAAAAGAGGCCAGGCGCGGTGGCTCACGCCTGTAATCCTAGCACTTTGGGAGGCCGAGGCAGGCGGATCACAAGGTCAGGAGATCGAGACCATCCTGGCTAACACAGGGTGAAACCCCATCTCTACTAAAAATACAAAAAATTAGCCAGGCGTGGCAGTGTGCGCCTGTAGTCCCAGCTACTCGGGAGGCTGAGGCAGGAGAATGGCATGAACCCGGTAGGCGGATCTTGCAGTGAGCCGAGATTGCGCCACTGCACTCCAGCCTGGGCGACAGAGCAAGACTCCATCTCAAAAAAAAAAGAAAAGAAAAGAAAAAAAATTTTTTAAGTCTCCTATTCCTAGTATGCCAATCAATTTCATTATGAATAGGTGTTGAATTTTATCAAATGGGTTTCATGTATCAATTGATATGATCATATGGTTTTTCTTCTGTTAGTCTGTTGATATAAATTATATTGCTTGATTTTAAAATATTGCATCAGCTTTGCCTTTTTGGGGTAAGAACCACTTGGTTATTGTATATTTTCCTTTTTATATATTACTGGACTCAATTTGCTGATATTTTGGTGAGGATTTTGGGGTCTGTGTTCATGAAGGATATCGATCTGTGGTTTTCTTGTGATGTCTATCTGGTTTTGTTGACAGCTGTTGTGATACCTCGGTTCTTGTCTTCTTGGCTTTAAAGAATTTAAACATGAGACACACAGCAAAGGAGATGCAGCATAGAGTGATTTATTGCAAAAGGAAAATAATATTTTGAAAGTTAGGTATAGAATAGACAGTACACCCTGAGAGAGAGAGAATTCAGAGTGGGCTGCTTGTAAGGACGAGACAGCAAAGACTGGCACTAGGGAGACTCTTTTAAAGGGAGCCTTACATGATGGTTCCTAAGTAGGTGGGAAGAGGCGTTGCCAGGAAGCATGTTCTGGGTGGTCCTCTGGGTGCACAGCTGTAGTAGCTGTACATGCTTGTTCATTTGTCACTGTCTCATTAGCATCTTACATCTCTACCCAGGGATGTGTTTTTTACTATTACAATGAACAAAGAGTCAGTCGGAGGACAGGTAAAATCAAAATGTGCTTGCTCCCTACAGGGAAAATCCCCTACTGAAGATAGCTGTGCTTGAATGAGCTCAATTACAATGAGAATGCTGAGGCTTATGGTGTTGACTGTATGGTCACCATAGTTGCTGTGTCCAGAGAACCTGGTCATTTTTTTTTTTTTTTTTTTTTTGCTACCTATCCTGCCTCAGTTTTAGTTATCTATTTCTTCTTCTTTTTTTTTTTTTTAAACTTTTCATTGTTACATGGCCTTCCAATGAAATACCTATTTCTTTTTTTTTTTTTTTTTTTTTTTTTTTTTGAGATAGAGAGCGTCTCACTCTGTCGCCCAGGCTGGAGAGCAGTGGTGCAATCTCAGCTCACTGCAACCTCTGCCTCCCAGGTTCAAGCGATTCTCCTGCTCAGCCTCCTGAGTAGCTGGGATTACAGGTGCGTGCCACCACACCCGGCTAATGTTTTTGTATTTTTAGTAGACATGGGCTCTCACCATGTTAGCCAGGCTGGTCTTAAACTTCTGATTTCAGGTGATCTGCCCGCCTCAGCCTCCCAAAGTGCTGGGATACACCACCGCCCCTGGCCTGTTTCTTCTTAAGTAAACTTTAGTAGCTTCTGTCTTTCAAGGAATTTGTAGATTTCATTTTAATACTCAAATTTATTGGCATTAAATATTTCCTGACTATCCTTTTAATGCCTGTAGCATCTATAGTGATGTTCTTTCTTTCATCCCTCATATTGGTATTTTGTATTGTCATCTTCTCATCCTCCTTCTCCTCCTCCTCTCCTCCTCCTTCCCTGTCAGTCTAATTATTAATTTTATTGACCTTATCAAAGAACCAGCTTTTGGTTTCATTGATTTTTCTCTTTTCAATGTTATTGATTTCTGCTGTTATATTAGTCTTGGGTTTAAATTGCTCTTCTTTTTATGGTTTCTTAATGTAGAAGCTCATTTAGAACATTGATTTGAGACTATTCTTTAAGCACTTAATGCTATAAATTTCACTTAATGCTATAAATGGAGCACTGTTTTAGCTTCATTCCACAAATCTTTATATGTTGTATTTTCATTTTTATTCAATACCAATTACTTTTTAATTTCCTTTGCAACTTCCTCTTTGACCCAGGTTATTTAAAAGCTTGTTGTTTAATTTTAAAATGTTTTGGGGCTCTCATATCTTTCTCTTATTGTTTTTTAGTTTGATTTCATTATGATCAAATCAAATAACATATATATATAGATATATAGATATATAGATATATATTTTTTTGAGGTGGAATTTTGCTCTTGTCGCCCAGGCTGGAGTGCAATGGCATGATCTCGGCTCACTGCAACCTCTGCCTCCCGGGTTCAAGTGATTCTCCTGCCTCAGCCCCCCAAGTAGCTGGGATTACAGGCACATGCCACCACACCCAGCTAATTTTTGTATTTTTAGTAGAGACAGGGTTTCACCATGTTGGCCAGGCTGGTCTTGAACTCTTGACCTCAGGTGATCCACATGCCTCAGCCTCCCAAAGTGCTGGGATTACAGGCATGAGCCACCACGCCCGGCCCATATATTTTTTAAGATTTCAGTTTTTAAAAATGTATTATGGCTTGTTTTATGGTCCGGGATGTGGTCTGTGTTGCTGAGTGTTCCGTGTGCACTTGAAAAGGATGTGTATTCTGCTGTTGTTGAGTGGAGTATTCTATAAATGTCAAGTAGGTCAACTTAATTGATAGTATTGTTCAGGTCTTCTCTATTCTTACTGATTTTCTGACCACTTGTTCTACTGGCTACTGAGAAAGGAATGTTAACATCTCCAACTGTAATTGTGGATTTATCTATTTCTCATTCAGTTCTGTCAGCTTTTGTTTCACATTTTTGAAATTATTTTGTTATTTTAAATAGTCACATTTTCTTTTATTTATTTATTTGTTTATTTTCTTTGCAATGGAAGTCTAACTATGTTGCCCAGAGTGCCCTCAAACTCCTGGGCTCAAGTGATCCTCCTCAGCCTCCTAGACTTTAGCTAAGACTAAAATAGTCATATTTTCTTAGTGAACTGAGTCTTCCTTTTATAATTATATAATGCCCATCATTATTCCTGATAATATTCCTTGTTCTGAAGTCTACCTTGTCTAATAAATAGCCAATCCTACTTTCTTTTGATAAGTGTTTGCATACAGTATCTTTTCCCATCCTTTCAATTTAACCTGTCTAAATCTTTATATTTAACATGGGTTTCTTGTTGACAGCATATAGTTGTGCTTTCATTTTTTTTAATCCCATCTGAAAATCTTTGTTTTTTAGTAGAGGTGTTTATGGCATTTATATTTAATTAAATTATTACCTGTTTTGTCTCCTTTGGTTTTTGTTCCTCTCTTCCCTGTTTTTCTACCTCCTTTTGAAGTATTTGAATATTTTTAGTATTATTTTTTAATTCATGAATTAGTTTATATTTTATGTGTGTGTGTGTGTTTGTGTTTAATGGTTGCTCTGGGGCATTATAATATACATACCTATCTCAGCATCTATTTAGAGTTGATATTGTAATTCTTTAAGTAAAATGTACCTTTACAACCATGTAAATTTCTTGATACTTTCTCAATTTTGTTATAATTGTCACGTTTTTGGTTTTGTTTTTTTTTTTTGAGGCAGAGTCTTGCTCTGTCGCCCAGGCTGAAGTGCAATGGTATGATCTTGGCTCACTGCAACCTCTGCCTCCTGGGTTCAAGCAGTTCTCATGCCTAGAGACAGGGTTTCACCATGTTGGCCAGGCTGGTCTTGCCTGGCCTCAAGCAATCCGCCCACCTCAGCCTCCCAAAGTGCTGGCATTACAGGTGTGAGCCACCACACCTGGCCTATCACATGTATTATATCTACATATATTAAAAACCATACCAGACAATGTGACAACTTTTGCTTTAAATGGTCATTGAGATTTTAAAGATCTTAAGGGAAAAAGTGTTGATTATGTTTATCCAGATATTTACCATTTCTGTCACTCTTTCTTTTTTACTGAAGATACAAGTTTTCTTCTCAGCTCACTTCTTTTCAACCTGAAGAACTTCCAATGTAGCCTTTCTTCCTGACCACAAAGTTTCCTACTTTCCTTCATCTGAAAATGTCTTTATTTTACTTTCATTTCTGAAGGATAGTTTCACTAGACATACCTATCTCAGCACTTTTTTTTTTTGAGACAGAGTCTCGCTCTGTCGCCCAGACTGGAGTGCAGTGGTGTGATCTCGGCTCACTGCAACCTGTGCCTCCCGGGTTCAAGCAGTTCTCTGCTTCAGCCTCCTGAGTAGCTGGGATTACAGGCGCCTGTCACCATACCCAGCTAATTTTTTTGTATTTTTAGTAGAGACAGGGTTTCACCATCTTGGCCAGGCTTGTCTTGAATTCCTGACCTCGTGATCCACCCGCCTTAGCCTCCCCAAGTGCTGGGATTACAGGCGTGAGCCACCGCGCCCGGCCCTTCTTTCAGCACTTTAAGGATGATACTCCGGTGGCTTTTGGCCTCCCTAGTGTCTGTTGGGGAATCCATGGTCACTGGAGTCATTATTTTCCTGTGTTAATATGTCACATTTCTCTTAACTACTCTCCTGAATTTTTTTAGTGTTTGGTTTTCAAGTTTTATTATGATATGTATGAGGGTGGTTTTCTTTTAATTTAACCTGTTTGGGTTTCATTGAGCTTTTGATAATTTTCCCATAAGTTCCTGAAACCTTCCTCTTTTTCATCTTTTTTTCTCTCTATCATTCATATTATATAATCTTTATTAATCAGTCTTCAAATGAATGACCCTCCTCTGTGATCACCATTCCACTATTGTTTTATTTTAATTTCAGACATTGTATTGTTTAGTTTTAAATTTTCTAATTTTTTAAAAAATAGTTTTTCTGGGCTGTGAACTTTCATCTTTCCATACTTGAAATATTAAAGGGCTTTACCTCATGGAGTACAGTTATAATAGCTGCTTTAAAGTTTCTTTCTGCCAGTCCCAACATCTGTGTCATCCCGGAGCTGACATCTATTGATTGCCTTTTTCTTTGAAAATTGGTTCTATTTCCTGATTCTTTGTATGTAGAGTAATTTTTTATTGTTTCCTTGGCATTTTATTCTATTTATTTATTTATTTATTTATTTATTTATTTATTTATTCTATTTATTTATTTAGAGACAGGGTCTTGCTCTGTTGCCCAGGATGGAGTGCAGTGGTGCAGTCACAGCTCACTGCAGCCTCAACCTCCTGGGCTAAAGTGATCCTCCCACTTCAGCCTCCTGAGTAGCTGAGACTACAGGTGCACTGGCACCACACCCAGCTAGTTTTTTGTATTAATATTTTCTGTAGAGACGGGTTTTTGCCATGTTGCCCAGGTTGGTCTCGAACTCCTGAGCTCAGGTGATCCACCCAGCCTCCCAAAGTGCTGGGATTACAGGTGTGAGCCACCGTGCCTGGCTATCCCTGACATTTCAGTGTTATGTTCTGTAGACTGTGGGTCCGTATTATAATCTTTTGAAGAATGTAGATGTTTTTTGTTTAACAGGAAACCCTGCAGACCACAGGTTCTGTCTGATCTTCTGTGGGTAGTGGTTTCAGTGTTAGTTTAGTTGGGTCTTTGCTTTTTTTGTTTTTTGCTATACTGCTTGGCACCTGTCTCACTCATACTCAGCTCAGGGGTGAATCTCTGTGTTCACACACACAGTTAGGAATTTCCCTTTTCCTGCGCTCTTCTCTTTGTTTTTGAGACGGAGTCTCGCTCTGTCCCTCAGGCTGGAAGTTCAATGGTATGATCTCGGCTCACTGCAACCTACGCCGCCTGAGTTCAAGTGATTCTCATGCCTCCTTCCCAAGGAGCTGGGATAACTGGCATGTGCCACCACACCCGGCTGATTTTTGTATTTTTAGTAGAGACAGGGTTTCACCATGTTGCCCAAGGCTGGTCTTGAACTCCTGACCTCAAGTGATCCACCTTTCTCGGCCTCCCAAAGTGCTGGGATTACAGGCGTGAGCCACTCCGCCTGGCCTTCTGTGCCCTTCTCTTTGGGATTCATCCCATACTCACTGGACTGCACAGGCCTCTTTTCCTGGTTCTCTGGCCAGAAACACAAGGTTTCTTACAGAGTTTTAGCCAGCTTTTCTACTGCACTACTGGGCAGGTCTGGAATTGGTGCAAAGCCAGGAGAGCAAAAGGGTGAAAAAAAAAATAGGAAACTTATCCCCTGTACCAGTCTTGTCTGCAAGTTTTGACTCCCCTTCGTGCCACCTGCTTTTGTTTGGTTTTCAGAGTCCTCAAGTAGCTGCTTTCATATTTGATGCAGAGTTTTCACTGTAATTATCAGGAGACACAGCCTGTCTTGGCTTACCTCACCATGCCAGAACTCCCTGGAATGCTCTCTTTTTGATCACAGGCGGGCCTTTCCCCCCATCAGATGCTCTTAAGAGCCCTCTGTCAATGCAGGTTTTGGGTTATTAGGCACCTGTGAAGGTGTGGGTTTCTTGGGAAGGAACTGTCTGAGGAACTCTAAGGTCCTTAGAGAGAAGTGTCATGGATCTCTTCTCCCTCCTGTTATAAAAGACAGAAACCCAATCCCAGCTGGCTTAAGAAGGAAAGAACACTTGCTGGCGTCTGACCAGGAGGGCAGGAGTGTTGCCAGGGATTCTTCTTCTCATCTCTGGACATTGCTTCCCTGTGCTGAGTTCATCTCAGGCAGTCCCCTCCAGGGGCTGACAAGGTGACTCACCTTGGCCTTCATCCCTCCAGTTTAACAACCCCAGAGGACAGCAGGTAGCTTTTCTTCAGTAGTTCCAGCAAACGTCCCAAAGCTCACACTGGACCAGTGAGGGTCACGTGCTTATCTCTGAATCAGTTCCTGAGGCTAAGGGCATGGAATATGCTGCTTGGCCAGCCTGGATCAGATGCTCAGCCCAGGGCCAGCGGGGGTAGGGATGTCAGTTCACCTGGACCTCAGGGGCTGACAAGGGGGATACTAAAGTATGCATTCTCGGCCAGGCGCGGTGGCACATGCCTGTAATCCCTGCACTTTGGGAGGCCCAGGCAGGCAGATCACTTGAGGTCAGGAGTTTGAGACCAGCCTGGCCAACATGGTGAAACCCCATCTCTACTAAAAATACAAAAATTAGCCAGGTGTGGTGGTGCACACTTGTAATGCCAGCTACTTGGAAGGCTTAGGCAGGAGAATTGCTTGATTCCATCTCAAAAAAAAAAAAAAAAAAAAGTGCATTTTCAGCCCGGCTAGTGTTACCCTAAAGGAAGCAAAATAACTGAAATATGACAATGGTTTGTCAGATTGACGATATTGTCTGTTGGACTAGTATTTCATGGGGGGAGAGGGATTAGGGAAAAATGTCTAAAAGAACTTCTGTAGGGACTGTAATTTTTTAAAAAGGTTGAGAAACACTTCCCTGCAGGAAACTGAGGTGCTGTTACCAGAAGAGGGGGGTGGATACCAAGCTGCTGAAAACAGCACCTGCCCACTCTGGGGGAGTTGGAAGCTGAAACCAGCGGCAGGCAGGAGTAGGCCAGTGTGGAGCACCTGCTCAGAGGGGCTTGGTGGGGAGCCGCGTAGGGTGCTGGCCGCTGCAAAGCTGAGCCTCTTCTTTGGTTTCTCTGGCCCGGGGGTTCTGCGTTGAAGATTATACTGTAGGAAGCATGGAGAGGACCCTGACCCAGCTACTCTCTGCTGTCTCTGCTGCAGGTGAAGAACGAGGTGGAGAAGCTCCCCCGACAGCAGCGGAAGGAAAGCATGAAGCAGAAGATGGAGGAGCACACGCAGAAAAAGCAGCTTCTTGTGAGTCCCTGGCCTCAGCTGGGGAGCGCAGGGGCTGGTGCGAGACCTGGAATGGTGACCAGGCCCCCTCTCTGCCTTTGCCCAATCCCTGCCCCTCAAATACCCCGTTCTGAATACCTAAATCTGGCCTCATCCTTCATGGCCCCATTATCCCCTCCTCCATGCAGCCTTCCTCGATTGCCCTGCCTCCATCTGGAAGTAAGCTCTTCCATCTCTGGATACCCCAACACTTTACATTGACCACCTCCCAAACCCTTAGCACCTCCTACCTTGTTTTAGGGTTATTTATTTGTAAGTCACATCTCCTTGACCAACCCAGTATATTCCCCTGCCCACTTGGCATCTTTTAAGTCTGAAGGACATCAAACTTGTGATGTCCCAGACCTGGTCCTGTTATGCTCTGAGGGGGTGCCATTTTCCTTCCTTTCTGGCCCATCATTCCTGACGCCTCCTTTCCCTCCAGTCCTTCGTCACCTCCAGAAGCATGGTATGTATATTTCTTATCTCCTGTCTCTGGATCTATGAACTCGTCACCATCTCCATGATCCCCCAGCCACTGTCCAGTGGCCTCCCAGCGAGGCTTCCTGTAGCTGTTTTTCCCCTGCAGTTTCTTCTCTCCTGCCTGCGTGTGATCAATGTGAATTCCAAGTCTGATAATAGCACCCTTCCCCCCACAGCCCTGTGCCTTAAAACCCTTCAGTGGCTCCCACATTGTCCCTAAGATAAGCGCCGCCTCTTTGCTGTGCCCTGGCCGGCCTCCCCAGCCTTCTTTTCATCCTTTGCCGGAATGCTCCTATTTTCCCCCACGAGGGGGTCTTTGTGTGTTCTGCTTCCTCAGCCCCCAAAGCAAAGAATTTTTGAGTCCATATTTAGAAATGCTTTGTATATTACCTGCTTCAGCATTCATAGCTTACTATGGTAGGAGCTGTTCATTTTCCCATTCGCAGAAGAGGAAACAAAGGCTGAGAGAGGTAACATTGCTGAGTTCACATTCAGGGAGGGGGTCGAGGCCTCAAGCTTGTGTTCTCTCCGGGACACCCTATGACCTGTCTGTCCCATTACAGCACGATTAGGAAGAGAACGCAGGACTGGTGAGGGCGGGGCACACAGGCCCTCATCCACGCAGAGGGACAGCAGATTGGCCTGGAGGAGGCAGTTGCATGGAGAGCTTTGAAGATGTACACATCCTTTGGCTTGGATTTTCTGCTTCTAGAAATCCTGAGGGAATCTGAAAATCCTGAAGGAGTTATCACAGAGGTTCACAAATACTTAGCTACCAGAATATGAAGTAGCGCTATTTAAAATAGATAAAACCTAGAGACACCCTGTTGTTTATTGGATAAATAACATCCATAGCATGAAATATTTTCAGCCATTCAAACACATGTGATAGAAGATCACATTATTTATTTATCTGAGACGGAGTTTCAAAACTGGGAGTTTCATCCCAGTTTTTTTTTTTTCTTTTTTGAGATGGAGTCTCACTCTGTTGCCCAGGCTGGAGTGCGGTGGCACGATCTCAGCTCACTGCAACCTCTGCCTCCTGGGTTCAAGCAATTCTCCTGCCTCAGCCTCCCAAGTAGCTGGGACTACAGGTGCCTGCCATCACGCCTAGCTAATTTTTGTATTTTTAATAGAGTTAGGGTTTCACCATGTTGGCCAGGCTGGTCTCGAACTCCTGACCTCAGGTGATCCGCCTGCCTCAGTCTCCCAACGTGCTGGGATTACAGGCATGAGCCACTGCACCTGGCCAGAAGATCACATTATAACATGGAAAGATTTCTTAAAATAATTTTTTAAAATTGTGGTAAAATAGTCATAACATAAAGTTTACCATCTTTACCATTATTAAGTGTACAGTGTAGTGGCGTTAAGCCTATTCACATTGTGCGGCCATCTCCGCCATCTATCTCCAGAACTCTCTTGTCTTGTAAAACTGAAACTCTGCACCCATCAAACCGTAATTCTCCATTTCTTCTCCTCCAACCCTTGGTAACTTTATTCTGCTTTCCCTATGAATTTGACTACTCTAGGTACCTCATGTAAGTGGAATCATAGAATATTTGTCCTTTTGTGACTGGCTTATTTCACTTAGCGTAATGTCCTCAAGGTTCATCCATGTTGTTGCATGTGTCAGAATTTCCTTCCTTTTTAAGGCTGAATAATATTCCATTGTGTGGATATAACACATGATTTATCCATTTATCTATCGACGGACACGTGGGCTGTTTTCATCCCTTGACTGTTGTGAATAATGCTGCTGTGAACTTGGGTGCACACATATCTCTTTGAGCCCTTTTTAATAATTTTTGTAACACAGCAATAACAATAGCTATAGATACACTTGTATAGACATACCTACCGCAGCTGCCAACTCTGGGGGATAAGATGAGTGGAGAGTTTTACTAATTCCGTGGTTTCTAAATTTTTTTATTTTAATTTTTTTTACCCTTTATTATGGAAAATTAAAAACACAGGAATAGGGAGGCCGAGGCGGGTGGATCACTTGAGGCCAGGAGTTGAAGACCAGCCTGGCCAACATGGTGAAACCCCGTCTCTACTAAAAATACAAAAGTTAGCCAGGTGTGGTGGTGTGCACCTGTAGTCCCAGCTACTCAGGAAGCTGAGATGGGAGAATCACTTGAACCTGGGAGGCTGAGGTTGCAGCGAGCTGAGATCACGCCATTGCACTCCAGCCTGGGTGACAGAGCGAGACTCTCTCTCAAAAAAAAAAAAAGAAAAAAGAAAAGTAACATGGGAATAGGTATAATGAACTACCATATACCTGTCACCTAATCTCAGTAATATCACCTCATGTCCACTCATTCACTCCCTGACCCCAAGGTATTCTTTTTAATCAAATCCCAGACATCATATTATTTTACCTGTCAAACATCACAGAAATAACTACCATACCATAAACACACCTAGCAAATTCAACAATAATTGCTGAACAACGTCATGTTGTCAGTATTCCAGTTTCCAATCACTCCTGTAATCCCAGCACTTTGGGAGGACGAGGCAGGCAGATCACAAGGTCAGGAGTTTGAGACCAGCCTGACCAACATGGTGAAACCCCGTCTCTACTAAAAATACAAAAATTAGTCAGGAGTGGTGGTGCTCACCTATAATCCCAGCTACTCAGGAGGCTGAGGCAGGAGAATCACTTGAACGCGGGAGGCAGAGGTTGCAGTGAGCCGAGATCATGCCACTGCACTCCAGCTCTGGTGACAGACCGAGACTGTTCTTTGATCCAGGATCCAGATGAAGCCCACATGTTGAAATTGGTTGATGCGTCTCTAAGTCTCCCTTAAATTTCTCCTCCACCAATTTCTTTTCTGTTCCTGCATTTTCTTCTCTGATCACGCGGGCTTTTCTCCCATAATAGGAAGAGACATGGAGGTGCCCAAGCCGGCTCTGGATAAAGGCCTGTCCTCCTCTCTCCCCACAGGACCGGGACTTTGTAGCCAAGCAGAAGGAGGACCTGGAGCTGGCCATGAAGAGGCTCACCACCGACAACAGGCGGGAGATCTGTGACAAGGAGCGCGAGTGCCTCATGAAGAAGCAGGAGCTCCTTCGAGGTGGGGGTGTGCAAGTGGCAGCGCTGTCTTGGCCCAGAGTCGCTGTGGACATCCCAGCCCTGGGAAGTGGGGTGGGCAACAAGAACCTCCCAGGCCTTCTCCATCCCCAAAACTAAACATCATTCTTCATGGGGAAACCTGGGGAAAAGCCCCACTTGAAGTAAGGAACGAGGTAAGGACACCAGTTGTCACCAAGACTATTTGAGATTATTCCAGAAGTCAAGAGAAGAAAAGAAAGAAACAGGCAGAGTATGTTAATAAGTGAGCTGGATTTACGGGAGGTGGAGAGAGCTTGGCGTGGACTGAGCAACCACTCTGCCAGGCCATGTGCCAGTCCATTTTTCTACCTTTATCTCATCAAATCCTCACCTAACACTGTGAGGCAGGGCCTAGGTTATCCCCATTTCTGTAGATGAGGAAACTGAGGCTTGGAGAGTTACTATTCTTTGGCCAAGTATCTTAGTTCATTCAGGCTGCTGTAACAAAATACCACTGACTGGGTGGCTTATCAACAACAGACATTCATTTCCCACACTTCTGGAGGCTGGGAAATCCACAGTCAGGGTGCCAGCACATTTGTGGTCTGGAGAGGACTTACTCTCTGCTTCATAGATGGCACCTTCTCACTGTATCCTCACATAGTGGAAGGGAGACTAGCTCTGGGGTCTCTGGGTTTTTGGGGTTTTGTGGTTTTTTGGGTTTTGGGGATTTTTGTTTATTTATTTATTTATTGAGACAGGGTCTAGCTCTGTAGCCAAGGCTGGAGTGCAGTGGCACAGTCATGGCTCATTGTGACCTCTGCCTCTGAGGCTCAAGCAGTCCTCTGACTTCAGCCTCCCAAGTAGCTGGGACTACAGGCACGTGCTACCACGCTTGGCTAATTTTTGTGTTTTTTGTGTAAATGGGGTCTTCTGTGTTGTCCAGGCTGGTCTCAAAGTCTTGGGCTCAAGTGGTCTGCCTGTCTCAGCCTCCCAAAGTGCTGGGATTAGAGGCATAAGCCAACGTGCCCAGCCTGGGGTCTCTTTTATTAATAAAAAGGCACTAATTCCATTCACGAGGGCTCCACCCTCATGACCTAATCACCTCCCAAAAAGCCCCATCTCCTAATACCCTCACCTCAGGGGTTAAGATTCCAACATACACATTTGGGGAGGGGACACAAACGTTTAGATCATAGCACTGAGGTTGCACAGTTAATGGGTGATAGAGCTGGGCCTTGGATGACAATATCAGGAAGCCGGGCCTACCCTGGTGCTGTTGGGAGTTCAAGGGATTTCTGGGCTGATTGAGGAAAAATAAATGACCACAAGATGGCAGTAGCATACCAGCAGCTTTGCTTGGGGGGCATTTTGACAAGTTGACACGCTGAGGGGGTCCCTTACAGAATGAGGCTTTCTGGAGATGATGGTGCGGGCCACCATCCAGCAGGGGAAGAGGGCAAAGGAACTCTTGGGCAAGAAGGGGACTGAGAGGGGGCTCACATGTCTAGATGATGTCGTCCAGCGTGGGGAGCTCAGACGGGGCGTCTCTGGGTCAGAGAACTGCAAAGGGCAACGGTGGCTTGGGGTCTTTATGGAGCCCTTGGGTCTTCCATCTCTATGGCTGGCAGATGTTAGGTGCAGTTTCATGGGGTATGCAAAGTAGGCAGGCTCCAAATGGCTAAATATCTGCTTGGTTTGAGCTTTTTTTTTTTTTTTTTTTTTTGAGATGGAGAGTCTCGCTGTCTCACTGTGTCATCCAGGCTGGAGTGCAGTGGCACAATCTTAGCTCACTGCAACCTCCACCTCCCAGGTTCAAGCAGTTCTTCTGCCTTAGCCTCCTTCATAGCTGGGATGATTACAGCTTTGCGCCACCATGTCCAGCTAATTTTTTATATTTTTAGGAGAGATGGGATTTCACCATGTTGGCCAGGCCGGTCTTGAACTCCTGACCTTAAGCAATCCACCTGCCTTGGCCTCCCAAAGTGCTGGGATTACAGGTGTGAGCCACTGCGCCATTCTCCTGCCTCAGCCTCCTGAGTAGCTGGGACTACAGGCGCCCGCCACCATGCCCAGCTAATTTTTTTTTTTTTGTATTTTTAGTAGAGACGGGGTCTCACCGTGTTAGCCAGGATGGTCTCAATCTCCTGACCTTGTGATCTGCCTGCGTCGGCCTCCCAAAGTGCTAGGATTACAGGCATGAGCCACCGCGCCTGGCCCTGTTTGAGCTTTTTTATGTAACTATATACATTTTTTTTGTTTTTGTTTTTTGAGACCAAGTCTTACTCTGTCACTCAGGCTGGAGTGCAGTGGCACGATATTGGCTCACTGCAGCCTCTGCCTCCCCTGTTCAAGCAATTCTCATGCCTTAGGCCCCTGAGCAGCTGTGATTACAGGTGCACACCACCACACCCAGCTGATTTTTATATTTTTAGTAGAGACTGGGTTTCGCCATTTTGCCCAGGCTGGTCTCAGGTTTCTAGGCTCAAGCGATCTGCCCACCTCAGCCTCCCAAAATGCTGGGACTACGGTGTGAGCCACTGTGCCTGGCCGTACATATTATGTTTTAAAAATAACAAGAGGATGGGTACAAATTTGAGTTTGGTGCCTGTGGACTTTTGACGGTCCAAGCCTGCTGTGAGGAAGTAAACAACACGAGGCCAATATCCCAGGGCAATTTTTGGCTCATTTATAAAACAGGCCTCATCCAGGCCTTTGATGACCAGTGCAGTTAAGCAAGATAAACCTCTTATTATTTGATGTGGATCAGCAAAACAGGGTTCTTGAGTTTTCAATATTCTGAATAGAGCACAGTTGTTTTGAGAAAAGCCCTCACTTCCTTTTCCTATCCCATGATGTTGGTAAGAACCGTCCTATTTACAGAACTGTGGTTCTGATTTTGGGGTGGAAGCCAGAATCACTATTCTGATATACCAAAAGCAGATACCATTTTGCACGGAACAGGAATGCAGTGAAATAAACAACATTCGCACTGAGCCAAGCATAATCTCCTGTCTCGAAGGGCGTGAGATTCTCCCTTTGACCCCAGGTCCCCACCCGGGTGCTGTGCACAGGGGTGGATTAATAGACCTCCAGTGTTAAGATGCCAGTATCTTCATTGTCTTCATAACGCATGCCTGGGACGTGCAGGAGACAAGGAGGATCTCACCCATTTTTCAAAGGAGGAAATAGTGACAAGAGGCCATTCTGTCTTCTTCATGGGGTCTCCATCTGAGCTCTTCCCAGGTGCCCATCAGGAAGGTAGAGATGCAGTGTGGAAACTTTGCACTTCAAAGTTTCTCCCAAGGACGTCCCCTCCCTCCATGGTATAGCTGTGTCCATCTGGCAGACATGGCAGCTGATGCCTAGAGAACCTCTCCATTCCTAATCCCACCGATGGAGCTGGGTTCCAGCCTATAGCTGCAGTTTCTGTGGCTCCTGACTTTGAATACTTCCTGCTATACCATGCTCCTGGGAGCTCTCATTCCTTAGGCTTAAAGGAAGTTTCTAGGCCTCAGCTCAGATCAGCCAACATGGTCTAATGAGGTAGAACATGTGGCAATTCCTGAGCCCAGCAGGTTGGTTATCATCTCCAGCATGAGGAGGCCAGGCAGAGGTGGGGGGCAGGGGGCCTGTCGAGTCTCTGGTTGTCAGCACCTCACCAGCTCGGTGGCATGTCCTCTGCAGACCGGGAAGCAGCCCTGTGGGAGATGGAAGAGCACCAGCTGCAGGAGAGGCACCAGCTGGTGAAGCAGCAGCTCAAAGACCAGTACTTCCTCCAGCGGCACGAGCTGCTGCGCAAGCATGAGAAGGTGAGGCTGCCGGTGGCACGGGGCTCGGATCTGCTGCCGGGCCGACCTGGGAGAGCCATGAGGCTGTATGTGATGGGGCACCTCTTGGGTGCACACTTTGGATGACAAGTGCCCCCAAGAGGAGCCAGGGCTGGCTGCAGTGAGGCCCCAGGAGGTTCTCCAGGGGCGTCCTGCTTCAGCTCAAGGGGCTAGGAATAGGGGAAACGATGCAGGGAAGCCAATGGCCCAAGTGGCTCCCTCACTGACTGTTACTTGCTGTGTATGTCTCTTTCTTTTCTTTTTTTTCCCTTTCTTCTTTTCTTTCTTTCTTTCTTTCTTTCTTTCTTTCTTTCTTTCTTTCTTTCCTTCTTTCTCTTTCTTTCTTTCTTTCTTTCTTTCTTTCTTTCTTTCTTTCCTTCTTTCTTTCTTTCTTTTCTTTCCTTCCTTCCTTCTTTCTTTCTTTCTTTCTCTTCTTTCTTTTCTTTCTTTCTTTCTTTCGAGATGGAGTCGCTCTCTCACTCAGGCTGGAGTGCAGTGGCGCCATCTAGGCTCACTGCAACCTCCACCTCCTGGGTTCAAGTGATTCTCCTGCCTCAGCCTCCCGAGTAGCTGGGATTACAGGTGCTTGCCACCATGCCTGGCTAATTTTTGTATTTTTTTTTTTAGCAGAGTTGGGCTTTCACCCTGTTGGCCAGGCTGGTCTCAAACCCCTGACCTCAAGTGATCTGCCCGCCTTGGCCTCCCAAAGTGCCAGGATTACAGGCGTGAGCCACTGTGCCTGCCCGGTGTGTGTCTTTCTTTTGCTCTTTTTTCTCTTTTCCCTCTTTTTGTCCTCCCTTTCCATTTTGTCTTTATTTCTCTCTTTCTTGTGCATTCCCTCAATACTTTTAGGTCTCCACTTAAACACCACCTCTGCTGGGAAGCCTTCCCTGAACTCCCCAGAGCTGGTGAGGGCCCCTACTCTGTGTGGCCAAAGCACCCTCTCCTGCGGGAATTGTCTGTCTCAGTTCAGCCTCCATAGTGGGACAGTGACAGACAGACCAAGGTCTGGATGCACAGCAGCTGTGTATAATTCCAGTTTCTTATCTAAATGCAGTGATGGAAGTCAGTATAGGGCCATGGGAGTTCAGAATAAGGCTACCCAACCAAGTGAAGAAATCGGGGAAGGCTTCTTGGAGGAGGTGATGCCCATGCTGAGCTTTGAAATACAAATAGGTGTTAGGGGAAGGAAAAAATTCAAATCTATCAGGATTTTTTAAAATATAAGTTCATATCTGCCATCACTAATGGTAAACCATCCCCTTTCGTGTACATTTTGCTTTGAGATATTAGCTAATGATGGCATGCCATCATTGATTAGATGAAAAGGCATTTAGAAGGTAAGAATCCAAGATATTATTAACAAGAATTTTTAAAGTGAGAACAAATAATGTTATTAGTGTAGAAGCAAAATAACACCAGCCTTGATCTGCTGAACATTGTGGGCTGCGTTGGTCCTGGGCCCCTGAGTGGAGTGTGGGGACCTTTAGCCTGTGACCACGCTCTGAGTCCAGAGTGCAGCTGCCCTCAGCCCCTCTGGATATTCCTCTCCAGGAGCGGGAGCAGATGCAGCGCTACAACCAGCGCATGATAGAGCAGCTGAAGGTGCGGCAGCAACAGGAAAAGGCGCGGCTGCCCAAGATCCAGAGGAGTGAGGGCAAGACGCGCATGGCCATGTACAAGAAGAGCCTCCACATCAACGGCGGGGGCAGCGCAGCTGAGCAGCGTGAGAAGATCAAGCAGGTGGGGGCCGGGCCTGCGGGGTCTGCAAGTGTGCTGGGGTGTAGGCAGGGCCAGGTTTGGCGGGACCTGGGCCTTATACAGTTTTGGAGAATATGAAACAAGATGCAGGCTGGCTCACGTCTGTAATCCCAACACTTTGAGAGGCCGAGGCGGGCGGGTCACTTGAGCCCAGGAGTTTGAGACCAGCCTGGGCAACACAGCAAAACCCCATCTCTACAAAAAAATAATTTTTTAAAAATATTAGCCAGGTGTGGTGGCTATTTGGAAGGCCGAGGTGGGAGGATCGCTTGAGCCCGGGAGGCAGAGGTTGCGGTGAGCCAAGATTGAACCACTGCACTCCAGCCTGGGCAACAGAGCGAGACTCCATCTTAAAAAAACAAAAAAGAAAGATGCACTCCGACCCACCCGCCATAAGGTCTTGGGAGGGGGTGTGCGAGTCACCATGCGTGCCCTGGAAGCTTCATCAGCCTCATGGTGAATTCACCTCTGTGTGTGGACAGAGGTAGAGCTTGGTGCTATGTTGCCAATTCTCCTGCACCCTTCCCTTCCGCACTCCCACACTTTTATTTGGCCAGCTTCCCCACATCCTGTGTTGCCCTTGTGGCTCGGGCACACGGGCCCTTGTGATTCCTGCCTGCTACACACACTTTCCTGGCGTGTGTCACATTGCAGTGTCATGTCCCCACCAGCCTGGGGGCTCCTCGAGGGCTGGGGCTGGGTCTCAGCTCAGGGTGAGGACTTAACACGGGCACAGCCTGAGGTGGTGCTGGGTACTGGGGCTGTGCACAGACCAGTCCCCCTGAGGGGTCTCCCTGGGCCAGGGCTGAGTGGGGCTCCCTACCCAACCAGCCAGGCCCTGGTCCCCTGAGGCACCCACCCTCTCTCTGGTGCAGTTCTCCCAGCAGGAGGAGAAGAGGCAGAAGTCGGAGCGGCTGCAGCAACAGCAGAAACACGAGAACCAGATGCGGGACATGCTGGCGCAGTGTGAGAGCAACATGAGCGAGCTGCAGCAGCTGCAGGTACCGCCCTGCCTGCCCCTGCCCCTGCCCCCAGGCTGCCTCAGTTTCCCCAAGGCCATCAGATCTCAGGGGGCCAGAAACTCCACAGCAGGGAAGGATCTTCATCAGACACGCCCGGGATGGATGGTTTCCAGCCCTGCCATGCTGCTCTAGGGCTCTGTGAGGTTGGGCAAATCATATCACCCTCCTAAGCCATAGCTCTCACACCCCTAAAATGGGCATGGGGATGACCATTCCTGCTGTGCAGGATTGGGGCAAGGACTTGTGAATGAAGTGACGGAGCTGGCAGTGGGCTGCTGCAGGGTTTCTGAGTCATCACTGTGTTTTGGGCAAAGGTGGTTGGGGTGTGGCCGAGCCCCTTGTGGGCTGCTTTTGCTGTGGTAATTCCTGACCTCTTCAAGCTTCCTGGCCCCTGGGTTTGCCCCATGCCTGAGGGTCCTGGCCCCAGGAGCTGGTACTTGAAGCCCCCTTGTGGGGACGGGGCTGATTCGAACCTCAGGAACTGCTCAGGCTGTTGGACCCATCGGGCAATTTCTGGAGAGGTGGGGAGGCATGGAGGAAACATTCCAGGTGTTGAGGCCTGCCCGGCACGGCTCTGCTGATTACCACTGTGTGACTTTTGGCCAAGCCATTCACCTTCCGCATCCGTTTTCCTATCCCTGCCTCGGGTGATCCCTGCCTCAGTGTGAGCACTGAGAGAGCCCGTATGAAGTGCCGAGCACAGCTCCTGGCAGGCCACAGGCATGCAGCGCTGCTGCGAGTATTACTTCTCACTCAGCCAAGTTCTAAACTCCCAGAAGCCTCTAGCATGAAACCCAAAATGAAAATCTCCCAAAGGATTCTACTTTTCCAACCCAGTAGGGTCGTGGTATCTGGATAAAGGCACTTCCCCCTGCTTTATAAGCTCCTCATGACAAGACTGATTCCCTGCAAGAAATCAACAGGGACTTGTCACTGCTGCCTATGAGAGAGATTTACATTTTGTAAAGCAGATAACTTACCTCAGAGAAAGAACAGCGAGGTTAGAAGAGTCTCACCCATGTCAGTGACCCTCATTCCTTGCCACAGATCTCCCTGAGGAAATTATATGTGAGACATACAGAGTATCTTAGCTCGGGCTGCCATAACAAACCATGATGCTTTAATTAACAGAAACTTCTTTCTCACAGTTCTGAAGGCTGGAAGTCTGAGATCAGGGTGCCAGCAGGGTGGGGTTCTGGTGAGGGCTCCCTTCCTGGCTTGCGGACAGCTGCCTTCTTGCTGTATCCTCACAGAAAGTTGCAAATTTACTATACCTCCCCACCACAGAGTTAATAAGAACTATTAACATATTCTGGACTATTCCTCCAGGCACTTCTTGGTGCATGTGATTTACGTATAGAGTTTGAATAAATGGGATTTATAGTCAAGAAGAAATAATAAATGAACGATGCTGGTGCCCTCGTAGCCACAGCGTGAGGTGTGTCTCAGTCTTCAGGGCCTGCGTCTTCTGATTTCTCACCTGTTCTGCCTGGAATCTGTTCCAGAATGAAAAGTGCCACCTCCTGGTAGAGCACGAAACCCAGAAACTGAAGGCCCTGGATGAGAGCCATAACCAGAACCTGAAGGAATGGCGGGACAAGCTTCGGCCGCGCAAGAAGGTAACTTTATCCGAGCTGGTGGGCTCAGTCTCGGGCTCTGCTCTGTGCCATGCACAGGCCTCTGGCCAGGACATGTTAGGTCTCCTTATTTTGGTGGACTCTTGCTTTGTGGCACCATCAAATGGATCTCCAGCCTGAGAGAGAGGGGAACTTTCTAACCCTTTGTGGCTGAACGCCCTGCAGCTTCCACCTCTGGAAGGGCAGCCTCTTGTTTAGCTCCCTCTCATGGACCGAAGGACTCCTGCCATGTGTCCACAGAGGACGCTGCAGTGAGTCAAACCAGCCACGCTGCTGGGCCAGAAGCCCAGCCTGTGGGGATTTTCTCTTAGAGGAAGTTATTCTGAGGAGTCAGAACGCAGCACAAGATAAACTGCTTGCCAATTTAGTTTTCTGTTGCTGTGTGATGAACTGCCACACACTTAGCAGCTTAAACCAACGCCCGTTTACTCTCTCCTAGTGATGGAGTTCAAGAGTCTGGGTGGGCTCTCTGGGTTCTCTGCTCAGGGTCTCACCAGGCTGCAATCAACGTTGTCAGCGTGGCTGGGCTCTTAGCTGAAGTTTCTGGGGAAGAATCACTTCCAAACCCATTCAGCTTTCGACAGAATCCAGTTCCTTATGGCTGTAGGTCTGAGGTCCCTGTTTCCTTGCTGACCTCAGACGGGTTATTTTCTAGAAGCCACCGGCACTCCTTATCACGTGGCCTCCTCCACCTCAAATAGCCAGCATGCATTCAGACCTCCTCGTGCTTTGAATGTCTCTGATATCCCTTTCTGCCACCAGCTAGAGAAAACCCTTTTGTGCTCATGTGATTAAATCAGGGTCACGGGATAGCCTCCCTGCTTGCAGGAATGATACCACATTCAGAGGTTCCACCCACACGCAGAGGAGCGGGGAGAGTTATATGAGAGAGAGTCACAGGGGTCATTTTTGAATGGTGCCTGCCATACTTTCACCTTCAAACCCCATGCCCTCGCTCAGTCCCACATCTTTCTTTACTGCCCTGTCTCTCTCTTTCTCTGCGAAGCCCTGTCACAATTTCTTCCTCCACCCACTGAGAAATTCCTTTCTCAGCCCACTGCAGCCGCTGCTGGCATGGTCAATACCAACATCCTGGTGGCTGACTCGCATGGATACGGCTGGCTGGACTTGACCTCCTGGTGGCAGCCAGTGCTGCCAGTCACTCTCTTCCTCGCCTGCCTTGTCCTCCTAGGCCCACCTTCTGCTGGGTTTCTTCTCTGTCACTAGCCCCTTTGCAACGTCCCTCGTGACCCATCTGTTGATTTCTTTATTTTATTTTTTATTTTAGAGACAGTTTCACTCTTTCGCCCAAGGCTGGAGTGCGGTGGTGCCATCTCAGCTCACTGCAACCTCTGCCTCCTGGGTTCAAATGATTTTCCTGCCTCAACCTCCTGAATAGCTGGGATTACAGGCACATGCCACTATGCCTGGCTAGTTTTTCTATTTTTAGTAGAGACGGGGTTTCACCATGTTGTCCAGGCTGGTCTTGAACTCCTGACCTCAAGTGATCCGCCCCCCTCGGCCTCCCAAAGTGCTGGGATTACAGGCGTGGGAACGTGGCTCTCTGCAACCTCTGCCTCCTGGGTTCAAGTGATTCTCCTGCCTTAGCTTCCCGACTAGCTGGGACTACAGGTGTGCACCACTGTGCCTGGTGGAGATATAATTTTTTTTAAATATTGTATAATGAAATGTGTCAACTTTTGGAAGATCTGCATAACTCAGTAAACCAATATTTTCTAAGTGACCAATGCATGATGTTACAGGATCATGGCTGGAGCAAAGTTACATCCAAGTGCGAGAAAGACCAGCGGATTTTTTTTTTTTTCCTGAGACGGAGTGGCGCTATCTCGGTTCACTGCAACCTCCACCTCCCAGGTTCAAGCGATTCTCCTGCCTCAACCTTCCTGAGCAGCTGGGATTACAGGCACCCGCCACCACTCCTAAAGTGCTGGGATTATAGGTGTGAACCCAGGAGTTCGAGACCAGCCTGGGCAACACAGTGAAACCTCATCTCTACAAAAAATACAAAAATTAGCCGGGCACAGTGGCACATGCCTGTAGTCCCAGATACTCTGGAGCCTGAGATGGGAGGATCGCTTGAGGCCAGGAAGTCAAGGCTGCAGTGAGCCATGATTGCACTACTGCACTCCCGCCTGGGTGACAGATTGAGACCCTCGCAAAAAGAAAAAAAAAAAAAATTGAGAAGCTGTCAAGTTCAGGCTGGTGGACACAGGTTTTCCAAAGTTCTCATTTTTGCTTGAATGCTCAAATTTTGTCATTGGCAGTAAATATCCTTAGTTTGTTTCCCTTGACGTGATCAGCTCAGTTTGTTCATTTTCAAGAGAGTGTTTGCTAAATACCCATATTTGTCAGTAATTTTTTTTTGAAATGGGGTCTTGCTATGTTGCCCAGGCTCATTTCGACTACCTGGGCTCAAGCAGTTCTCCTGTCTCAGCCTCCCAAGTAGCTGGAACTATAACACATGCCACCATGCCCAGTTGTGAGTTGTTTTTTAATCAAAATGATATTCTGCAGAATCAAGTGGCGAGTTCAGCCCACAACTCAAGATGATTGCACAAGAACAATACCAGGCACAAGAACAGGATCTCTAGACAGCCATCATGCTTTGACCGGCAGCAGGCGGGCCTTATGCATAGTTCTCATTTCCTCACACAGGACGTTAAAGGGCTGTGACCTTGAAGGTCAGGATTTAATAAAATGAACCATTTGTGTTGCACCATCAAGGTGATCTTAAGTGCAATTGGCTTTATTGTTTTAATTGAAAAACTTTCTAAAATACTATGAGTGGGCCTGGCATGGTGGCTCACACCTGTAATCCCAGCACTTTGGGAGGCCAAGGCGGGTGGATCACCTGAGGTTAAGAGTTCGAGACCAGCCTGGCCAACATGGCGAAACCCAGTCTCTACTAAAAATACAAAAATTAGCCAGACATGGTGGTGCATGCCTGTAATCCCAGATACTTGGGCGGCTGAGGCAGGAGAATCACTTGAACCCGGCGGGCAGAGTTTGCAGTGAGCCAAGATCTCACCACTTCACTCCAGCCTGGGCGAAAGAGTGAAACTCCATCTCAAAAAATAAAAATAAAAATAAACACATGTGAGTGCACGGTGGTGAAGAATACCCATTCAGTTAGGAGGGGCCATTGTCTTAATCCTCCAGAAGCTCCAGAAGTTTTACCCATCATTGCTTTTGTACCATTAGCACCAATATCAAAACAATGAAAAAGCAAACTGTGTCTTAGCAGGAAACTAGAGCTTGCTGCCCCTCCCCCACCCCCAGAAAGCGTTTTGGGCCCCCTAGGGGTTCGTGGACCACACTTCGAGAACTACTGTTCTTGCCTTATCTCCCGTGAGTCTCATCCCCGACTTGTGCTCTGAGCAGATTTCAGTACCCAAATAGATCTCCATGCCATATGCGCTTCCCTCGTTCCCTGCTGGGCTTTTGCCCAGCCTGTTCCCCTTGCCAGGAATTCTCTACCCACCAGCCTTTGCTTGGCCAACTTCTGTTTGTCTGCATTATTCAGGCCTCCCCCACGGAGGCTGTATGGTGTCTTCTGGGCTCCCCGTCCTTGCCCCTGTCATGGTGTTTATCACATGGGATTGCATTTGTGTGTCATCGTTAGCTTGATGGTTCATTCGTTTGTGTATTAATGCAACACATATTTCTTGAACACCTGCTAAGTGCCCCACGCTGTTTCAGACTCTAGAGACACTGCATTGAACAAAAGGGACAAGTCCATGCCCTCCGGAAGAACCGACCTTCTAGTAAGGGGCCAAGAAGCAGGGAGGGAAACAGCATGGGGGGGTCACAAAGTGAGGCTGCTTCAGACGGTGTGGCAGGAAGATGTCGTCTAAGAAGATGACATCTGAGCCAAGATCTGAAGGACCTGAGGGAGGGAGGCGTGCAGCCGTGGGGGTTTTCAGGGGGACATTCCCAGCACAGGGAAGAGCAACTGCAAAGGCCCGGACACCTTGCTCGTGAAACAAGGAGACCCCTGCGGCCGGAGAGAGTGGTGGTGACGGTGGGAGGTGATAGGAGGTAAAGTCAGAGGGGTGGGGGGCCTGCGTAAAGTCTGGCTTTTACTCTGTGTGAGATGGAAGCCACTGGAGGGTTCTGAGCAGAGGACAAGGTGGTCTGACTCATGTTTTGAAAAGGATCCCGCTGGCTGCCCTCAGGGGTCAAGAGTGGAGGCAGAGAGACCAGTCAGGAAACCATTGTGATAGCCTTGGTGACTAATGATGGCAGCTTGGACTAGGGTGGTATCTTGAACTAGGATGGTATCAGAGGTTGGGGGAATTTGTCCATTTCCTCTCTAGCTGGCACTCTAGACGTTCTTGCTGGTCACCAGCTTTGGGATCTTGGGCAAGCCATCTTCCCCGCTCTGGGCCGTATTAGTCTGGATTCTCTAGAGAAACAGAACCAAGATAGAGAGAGGATGTGTGTGTGTGTGTGTGTGTGTGTGTGTGTGTGTGTGTAGGGAGAGGGAGAGGGAAATTGATTTAGTTATTTTAAGGAATTGGCTTACACGATTGTGGGGGCTGGTAAGTCTGAAATCTGCAGGACAGGTCAGCAGGCTGGAGACCCAGTTGTTGTTGCTGTCTAGAGGCAGAATTCCTTCTCTCTTGTTTTCTCTGAAGGCCTTCAACTGATTGAGGCCCACCCACATGATGAAGGGTAATTTGCATTACTCAGAGTTTACTGATTGAAATGCTAATCACATCTAGAAAATACCTTCATAGTGACATCTAGCTGGTGTTTGACCAAACAGGTGGATACCGTGGCCTTGCCAAGCTGACACATAAAATTAACCATCACAGAAATCAGTCGGGCACAGTGGCGCATGCCTGTAATCCCAGCTACATGGGGGGCTGAGGCAGGAGAATGGCTTGAACCCGGGAGGCGGAGGTTGCAGTGAGCCAAGATCGCATCACTGCACCCCAGCCTGGGTGACAGAGCAAGACTCCGTCTCAAAAAAAAAAAAAAAAAAAAACCCAAAAAACATGGGACCTCAGTGTGGTTATTTGTACAGTGAAGCTATCAATACTGCAAGGTTATGTCAGAAGTTGCCAGCACATAGTACAGGCCAAGGACATACTCATTCCCCTAAACTCTCTGAGGAGAGAACTGCCCAAGTTACTCTTAATCTCATGCCCACGGGTCCTGAAGTCCTGAGGTTTGTTCTGCCATCGTACATCAGTTCTGCTTACTGTAACTGTGGTCTGGACAGGAGGCAACTGCCCATCTCAGCTGTGTGATGGCCTTGGGAGTCCTTGAATTGAGGCCTCCCTCCCTGCGCTCATGGAGCTTTCTGGCTGGAAGCTGGCCAAGATCCCAGACTTCCTGTTAGGCCCACGCTCATCAGTTTCTGTAACCATGGTCTGCTGGGACTTTCCATACTTGACAGTCAAGTCAATAATGTTCCTGCTGACATAGGTTGGTTCTGCAATCAGGAAATGAACGTCCACCTGGTTCTCTTACCTGGGGGTTCTATACCCTTGGCCTATCCTGAGAGAGTTTGAAAATGAATGATCGCGTTTCCTCTAGCTATTGCCTTATGTCTCAGATCGCTTCAAAGAGGGGCCTGGGCTCAGGGGAGGCACCACGAGTGTGCAGTTGGGAAGCCAGCATTGGACTTTGCCTGTGGGGGCTGCCTCTTTGCAGAATTCTTTATAGAATTCTTCTGTCATTAGCTGCTTGGGTTTCTGCTGGAACAATGACCCGGAGGTGATGATTTTCATTCGAGAATAAATGGTCTTTTACATTCTTGCATTACGGTCAGCAGCCTGTGAACCCCCTGCCTTGTATGGAGGCAGGGAGATGATTGTACATTGTGGAGTATTTTTAGAAAAATTCAGATGTATTTCGAGTAAGTACGGAATATCTGGTAGAGTCAATGAAGTGTTGCTTGGGTCAGTGTTCACACAGAATGTGGCCTCAAACAAGTCAAATCTTCCCTCCTGAACCCTGGCTTTTCGGGCTGTAAAATGTAGATAATATTTATTTCCTTAAAGTAGGTGTTAGCAAACCACTGCCAATGTCCTAATCTGGCCCACCACCTATATTTGTAAATAAAGTTTTATTGGAACACAGCCATGCTCGTTCATTTACAGATTGTCTGTGGCTGATTTTGTACTACAGTGGCAGTTGAGTAGTCACAATAGAGACCAAATATGTCCTGCAAAGCCAAAAATGTTTACTATCTGTCACATAACAGAAAAAAGATCGCTGACTCTGGCGTAAGAAGGTTGTATTGAGAAATATATGTGGTGGGTAGAACAGAATAATGCTTAAACAGCCCAGGCTTTGGAGTCACACAGGTGGGATGAAGTCCTAACTCCTCCATTACTAGTTGTGAAACCTTGGGCAAGTTACTAAACCATTCTGTGCTCAAAAAGTAGTAGCTATTATTATTAAATTGTTGGTATTCCTAGAGCAGAGGTCCCAAACTGATAGCCTATGTGCTGGAATTGGCTTACAGGCATGGTATGTTTGGCCAACATAGTGATGTAAAAAAAATTTTTTTTTTTTTTTTTGAGACAGAGTCTTGCTCTGTCACCCAGGCTAGAGTGCAGTGGCACGATCTCGGCTCACTGCAACTTCCACCTCGCCTCAAGTGATTCTCCTGCCTCAGCCTCCCAAGTAGCTGGGATTACAGGCACACACTACCAGACCTGGCTAATTTTTGTGTTTTTAGTAGAGATGGGGTTTCGCCTTGTTGGCCAGGCTGGTCTTGAACTCCTGACCTCAGGTGATCCGCCCGCCTTGGCCTCCCAAAGTGCTGGGATTACAAGGCTGAGACACCGCACCTGGCCTGTAAATTGTTTAAAAGATGTCCACTTTTAAGTATATAAGGAGATTTTACATTAAAATCTTGATTTCCAGTTTCTTTAGAAAATCCTAGGCCAGGCGCGGTGGCTCACGCCTGTAATCCAAGCACTTTGGGAGGCCAAGGTGGGTGGATCACATGAAGTCAGGAGTTTGAGACCAGTCTGGCCAACACGATGAAACCCCTTCTCTATTAAAAATACAAAAATTAGCCAGTCATGGTGGCAGGTGCCTGTAATCCCAGCTACTGGGGAGGCTGAGTCAGGAGAATCACTTGAACCTGTGAGGCTGAATTTGCAGTGAGCCAAGATAGTGCCACTGCACTCCAGCCTGGGCGACAGAGCAAAACTCTGTCTCAAAAAAAAGAAAAATATTTCTGGTAGGATCCAATTTACCTAGATAAACTTGCTTGTGCCCAAGGGAACCTCCCGCAGTGCTTTTCAACTAGAGCTCTCCTCTGAGTTACCTGAAGAGTTTGTACAGTACAGAAGGCCTTGGTCCCACCACAGATCTTCAAAATCCGAACCTCTGGGTTTAGGCAAAGGCACGTGTATTTTGTTTTTGTTTTTGTTTTTGTTTTTGAGATGGAGTCTCGCACCGTCGCCCAAGTTGGAGTGCAGTGGCGCAATCTCAACTCAGGCATGTGTATTTTGAAAAAAAAAACTTCTGACATCTCTGCTTCCTTTGCTGCTCAGTCTCTCTCCATCTTCTCCCTCGGGTTTTTCTCCAGTCATTTGGCTGTTTTCCTGCCAGGGGATTTGCATCTGCTTTTTTTTCCTCCCTGCCCCGTCTAGATTGACATTTCCCCCAACTGTACCCTTCAGTCCACAGGGAGCTTCTGAGTGGCGGTGGCAGGAGGTGGTACTTACCTCCTGTGGGAGGAGCTCTAGGGTAGGAAATAGGGAAGCCGTAGTTTCTCAAGCACTGAGGCCTGGAAGGGAATGTTCCAGAGAAGGCCATGTCAGTGGGGGTCCTGTGAGTGGGAGACCCACGTGTGGCCTGCAGATCTCACCAAGTGCCATCCATCCTCTCTCTTCCCTAGGCTCTGGAAGAGGATCTGAACCAGAAGAAGCGGGAGCAGGAGATGTTCTTCAAGCTGAGCGAGGAGGCGGAGTGCCCAAACCCCTCCACCCCAAGCAAGGCCGCCAAGTTCTTCCCCTACAGTTCTGCGGATGCTTCTTAACAACCGCCCGGGGCTGTGGCTGGCAGCTTGGTGGGCCCCAGGGCCTTCTCCTTCATTCTCTGTGAACATGTAACTCAGGACCCCTTTTCCCTCTTGCGTCTGTGCCAGCTCAAATCCAGCCCCTCGCCCTGTGCCACCCCAACTGTGCCTGATAGACCTGCCCCAGCGTTCCTGACTTCTTGCTGGCCTGTGGAGGGTGAGGTGTAATTATTTGTCACCTGAACCTAATGTATATTCTCCTTGAGCCCCAGATCCCTTCAAGCTGGAAGGGATGGGGCTGTTGGTGGGGTCAGGGTCCAAGAGGAATGGGTGTTCTGTGGCCTCGAGTCCTCTCCTGTTTGCGAAAATACCAGTTTTGCTCTCTGTGGGACAAAGCACTGCTGATGAAGTCCCCGTGGGCTCATCCGGGCTGGAATTCTTGGTTTTTCAGCCATTCCCTGCAGAGTCACTCAATCATCAAGTCCCTCACAGCCATTTCTGTTCCCAGAGGAGCCAGGCCTGCAGCTGGCTGCTCAGGAGATGGCCTCATTCCTCCTGTTCTCCCAGTTTGCTTTCCACTTAAGACAAAGCCTTGTCTATGTGGGGGGCGGGGACCGGGGAAAGAGGGAGGCTGAAATGTTTATTCTGCTTCTCCCGTGTTTCATGCCATCTCGCGTCCCCCTTCCTGCACATGGGTGTGAATGCACACACATACGCGTACACACAGGACTTGGTCTGCTGGCCTGGCCTCTTCTGCCCAGGTGGGTTGGAACACGTTTGCTGCCTGAGCCTGTGCCACTGAGCATGTTAGGTGGAGCAGTTGGTGTGGCACGTGCGGGGTGTTGGCACCGGAGGCATGGAAAAGCACAGGCTGTACTGCCAGGCTGCGATGCGTGCTGGCCCCCGCACAGGCTCCTGTGTGCAGGGACTGATTCCTCAGCACACGAGGCTTCCACAACCCAGTCTGCTCCATAGCACTCTGGCCCACCCTGTCTGCAGGTGAAACAGGAGGGCTGTTTGCCTCTGCCCCATCCCCCCGACTGTGTTCAGGAGTCCCACCTTGCATTTCAGACCTGGGCTGGCAGTCTGTTGGACTTCTCTTCAGGAAGAAAAAGCATCAGGGGGAAATGGAATGCCCCTGCCCCAGGAACATGGCAGAAGCACAGGTTCTGTACCTCAGATGGACTCCTGCTGGGCCTTCGGGGTCTCAGTTGGCTTCCCCCAGATTCTGATTCTACAGCTGCAGAATGTATATAACGCAATAAAAGCAAATGTTTGAACCAGTATGCGGGTTTACTTACAAGGAAACCTTTTTTCACCCTGATTTCTAATTATTTTATTGAAACAACTATAAAATGTATGGTTTCTCCAGGAAGATATCTGCTTTTTAAAACAACAAACAAGAACAACAACACAAAACTGGTAATGATTTGGAGTAATCATGCGGGCATATTGAGTCTGGGTAGTGTTTCGCTGGTGGTAGAGTGGTTGAGACTTCCTGGGAGGACTTTTTCCGCCTTCACTCCTACAGATTTAAGATTCTTTATTTTTAGGCCGGGC
The DNA here is from genome assembly GCF_000001405.40 of Homo sapiens. Lineage (NCBI taxonomy): Eukaryota > Metazoa > Chordata > Mammalia > Primates > Hominidae > Homo > Homo sapiens. The sequence goes on along the minus strand of NC_000005.10, from coordinate 172,043,342 downwards.
ATGGTGACTCACCTGAGGTGAGGAGTTCGAGACTAGCCTGGCCAACATGGCAAAACCCTGTCTCTACTAAAAGTACAAAAATTAGCCAGGCGTGGTGGTGCATGCCTATAATCCCAGCTACTCGGGAGGCTGAGGCAGGAGAATCGCTTGAACCCAGGAGGCAGAGGTTGCAGTAAGCCAAGGTCACACCACTGCACTCCAGCCTAGGTGACAGGGCGAGACTCTGTCTCTCAAAAAAAAAAAAAAAAAAAATTCTTTGAGACAGGGTCTCTAATATGTTGCCCAAGCTGATCTCAAACTCGTGGCTCAACTGATTCTCCCGCTTCAACCTTGAGTAGCTGGGACGACAGATACATGCTACTGCACCCAGCTAGGTTAAGGTTCTGTATACTCTGTCTTTCTAAAGCAATTCCCTGGAAATTTTCTCAACATTGGTTATAACTGAATGCTTGGGAAGGGAGGGGCAGCCCTTCAACAGGAAAAGGGGACTGCCCAAATCTTAAATGCACAGTCAAGATTCTCTTGGAGCTAGCAATGGTTCTCAGGTTAGTGAGCATTTAGCTTGCCTGCTGCAGAATTTGACCCAGATGGGGGTGTTTTTTAGGTCTCTCACAAATGAGACAAGCGAAACAATTGTCTCCTTTTATTCTCTTTGGTGCATTGGTGCTGGGGAAACATGAACTAGCGGCAGTGTAACTGCAGAACATAGACCCAGTTCTACCAGGCCAGGCCAGCGTTGGGAACCACCAGACAGGGCTGCTTTGGGCTTTGCTTACAGTATTTCCATGTGTAGCCTGGCGTGTGAGAAAGTATTAGGTGAAATGCCAGTTTCATGGTTCAGGTGAAAGTCTGTGATCATTCCCCTCGTGGCTCGTCCTTCACATCACTTTTGCCCTTCAAGGAGTTGCCGCGTCCCCGCTCAGTGCCGCCTGAGCCCTCAGAGCTCCCCTGTGCTTTTCTGGATGGGGACTGGCGGGGTCACCTAGCCTCACCGTGGAGCCACCGTGCAATGCCCATCTCTGAGAGGCCCACGCGGTATTCCTCGTGCCCTGTGTTAGTGCTTTCTGTATAAGGGACAGACAGAACTGGGTTTTTTTCCTCTGTCTGGTTTTAGAGTAAATGTAACTAACTTTTATTTTCCCTTTATGAAAGATAGAAATTATTTTTATGTAGTTTCCAGACTTTATACAAAATTTTTGTAAAATGTTCTCTGGAAAGTTAACTACAAGAATGTAAATATGCTTCTAATAAAATAACAAGGTTATTTGCCGTTCAGGTTGTTCTTTTGGATTGGGGTGGAAAGCAGGGCACACTTAACCATACTCACCCGGCAAGAAAGGGCTTATCTTCCAAGTACGCAGGTGCCTCCCAGGTCATACGGCAGCTCAGACTTCGGGTTTCTCTTTGGAAAGACATTATGCTTGGCTGAGAGAGAGCATGTCATGGGGCATGTTCTCTACAGACATTTAATATCATTCTCATTTAACAACAAACATTCATTGACCCCAAAAAGTTTTCACCTGTTAATGTACTGAATCCTTTCAACAATCGGAGGAAGACACCATCATTCCCATTTTATGTATTTATTATTTTTTTAGAGACAGGGTCTCCCTATCACCCAGGCTGGAGTGCAGTGGCATGATCATGGTTCACCGTAACCTCAAACTCTTGGGCTCAGATGATCCTCCCACTTTATCCTCCTGAGTAGCTAGGATTATAGGCATGAGCCACGGTGCCTGGCTTTTTTTTGTGGAGACAGGCGACAGGGCAGGGGGGATCACTATGTTGCCCAGGCTGGTCTCAAACTCCCGGCTTCAAGCAATCCTCCTGTCTCAGCCTCCCAAACAGCTGGAATTACAGGTGTGAGCCACCCCCCACCACACCAGGCTCATTCTCATTTTCTAGATGAGGAAATGGGCACTAGGCAAAGGGAAGGGTCAAGCCAGTTCTCAAAACACTGTAAGTGACGCCTATAAGGTTCAAACCTGGACCTTCTGCCAGAGGTGTTTCTGGCATACCTCCCGTGTCTCACTCAACTGCCACTTGAACTAATCAAGGGTCGTACAGATGCCTAGCCACTAGCCATCCCTGCCGTATTTAAAAGAATCTGTCTGCCATGCCTCTGAAACACGATTCAGGCTTTCTTAACTTTGGGTCCATAGACTCTTCCCACAATGGATCCATATGTAGAATTCAGGGTGTCTTGGTATCTGGATGGCAAAAGATTTGGTCTTTAGTTTTACTACAAACTGTAGTAGTATTAGCAGTAGCTGTGACTGTCACCAGTAGAAATCCCAGATATTTCATATCACATTGCAGCTGTGGTAGAGATCTCAAAATATTTTTATCACTTTGAAATTACAGTAGCTATTAGACCTATTACTAGATCTTGTTATTTAACGTGCATATGTGTATATACATCCATATATCACATTACATGGGCATATATATCACATACAAAATATATACAGGTTTTCCAGTATTTTGTTACCTGTATTCCATATGATTGGTTTCATTTGTAATCTATGTGCTTTATATTACACACTTGAAAATATTATTCTGAGAAGCCACCAGGCGCAGTGGCTCAAGCCTGTAATCCTAGCACTTTGGGAGGCCGAGTCGGGTGGATCACTTGAGGTCAGGAGTTTGAGACCAGCCTGACCAACATGGTGAAACCCCGTCTCTACTAAAAATACAAAAATTAGCCAGGCGTGGTGGCACACCTGTATTCCCAGCTACTCGGGAGGCTGAGGCATAAGAATGGCTGGAACCAGGAGGCAGAGGTTGCAGTGAGCCGAGATCGTGCCACTGCACTGAAGCCTGGGCGACAGAGCGAGACTGTCTCAAAAAATATGCATTATTCTGAGAAGGGATTCATATTCTTTGTGGAATGCCAAAGGAGTCCACGGCGCAAAAAATGATTTAGAACCCCTGTTTCTTCAGCCTTGAGTTGTCTCTGTCCCAGAAACCTTCTGACCAGCAGGGGGCAGGCCGCAGCCACAAGGTCAGTGCGGAGTTCACATTGATTACTGTCTGGGGGATACAAACAAATAAGCAGCCGGCCTGCCTGCCATTAAGGGCTAGAAAAATGATTGAGGTTCTAGTGAAAAATAATTCATGAAACTGACAAAACAACAGTGCATTAGAGGATTCTTAGGACTCGGGAAATGAGATCATTCCTCATTCGACACCTCTTAAGCACCATGTGCTGGAGATGCCGAGATGAGTAAGACACTGACACTGTCTCCTTGTCCTTGTAGGGAAACAGACCTGGAAAAGCAGAGTGTAAGTTCAGACTGACGTTGCCTGGGAGAATCAGGGAAGACTTCCCAGAGAAGGTGATGCTGAGTCTTGGAAGACAAACTAGTATGTGCCAGAACGTGTGCATTCAGAGACTGCGATATCGTTTAGGGTAAATGCTTTATGGGTCATGAGGCTGAAGAGATGGACAGGTCCAGACTAACATGCCAGGCTAAAACACTTATCTATCCCAAGGGCAGTCAGAAGAAGGGGAGTTTACTCAGGGGAAGGACAGTTGAAATCATGGCCTTAGCAATTCAAGAGACCAGCTGAAAAAGACTGAGATGAGGTTAAAAGAGTTTTTTGGCCACAGAGGTTTGAGGCTTTCAGAAGGAAAGGGAAGACTGCAGGCTCCATGAGGGGAGGAAGTAAGACTTTTTTTTTTTTTAATGGAATCAAGCTCTGTCGCCCAGGCTGGAGTGCAGTGGCGTGATCTTGGCTCACTACAACCTCCACCCCCCGGGTTCAAGCGATTCTCCTGTCTCAGCCTCCTGAGTAGCTGGAATTACAGGCATGCACCACCACCACGCCAGACTAATTTTTATATTTTTAGTAGAGACGGGGTTTCACCATGTTAGTCAGGCTGGTCTCGAACTCCTGACCTCATGATCCGCCTGCCTTGGCCTCCCAAAGTGCTGGGATTATAGGCGTGAGCTACTGTACCCGGCCGGAAGTAGGACTTTTTAGCTGACGCCTTGCTATGGTGTAAATGTCCCCTCCAAAACTCATTGAAATTTAATTGCCACTATAAGGATATTGAGAGGTGGAATCTTTAAGAGGTGATTAGGTCATGAGGGCTCTGCCCTCATGAATGGACTAATACCATTATTGCAGAAGTGAGTTAGTTATCATGGGAATGGATTCCTGATAAAAAGGATGAGTTGGCCCGACATGGTGTCTCACGTCTGTAATCCCAGCATTTTGGGAGGCTGAGGTGGGTGGATCGCCTGAAGTCAGGAGTTCAAGACCAGCCTGGCCAACATGGTGAAAACTCCATCTCTACTAAAAATACAAAAATTAGCCAGATGTGGTGGCGGACACCTGTAATCCCAGTTACTCAGGAGGCTAAGGCAGGAGAATCGCTTGAACCCAGGAGGCGAAGGTTGCAGTGAGCCAAGATTGCACCACTGCACTCCTGCCTGGGTGACAGAGCAAGATTCCGTTCCCCCCTCCCCACCCCAAAAAAAGGATGAGTTTGCCCAATTCCCTCTCTCTGTCTCATGTGCTCACTTCTGTCTTCTATTTTGTGCCATGGGATTACCCTTGCCAGACACTGGCATTATGCTCTTGGACATCCCAGCCTCCAGAACAGTGAGTCAAATAAACTTCTGTTCTTTATCAATTTACCTAGTCTATGGTATTCTGTTATAGCAGCAGAAAACTGACTAAGAGAGAAAATTGGTACTGAGTAGTGGTCTGTTGCTATAACAAACACCTGTGAAAAATGTAGAGGCCACTCTGGAACTGGGTAATGGGTAGAGGCTGGAAAAATGGGAAGAAGCAGGCTAGAAAAAGCCTACACTGCCGTGAATGGAGCATTAAGGGTGATTGTGGTGAGGGCTCAGGAGAGAAGAGCCGTGGGGAAAGTCTGAATCTTCTAAGACATTACTTAAATGCTCATGACCCGGATGTTGATAGAAATATGGACAGTAAATGCCATTCTGTGTGAGGTCTCAAATGGAAATGAGGAACAAGGTATTAGAGACTGGAGTAAAGGCCATTCTTGTTACATAGTTGAAAATAACTTGGTGGAATTCTGTTTGTGTCCTAGGACTTTATGGAATTTAGGAGCAATGAACTAGGGTATCTGGCAAAAAAAAAAAAAAAAAAAAGCAGCTAAGCAACAAAGCATTCAGGCTGCTGCATGGCTGCTTTCAATGACATACAGTGAGATGCAAGAGCAAAGAAATGACTTAAAGACAGAATTTATAATTAAAAGAGAAGCAGAATAGATCTAGAAAGTTCTCAGCTTGGCCATGTAAAGAGTGAAAAAGTAAGCTTGGGAGAGAATACTAAGGGTGTGGCTAAGTGACAATTTCCTAAAGAGATTAAATGACTAGAAGGGAGCCAGGTACTATTCATCAAGATAATGGGAGAAAGACCCTGAAGAGCAAAACTTCATCTCACAAAATAAAATAAGTAAAATAATAAATTTGATGCCTATGAGACATCCACAGAGAGATGTCATTTGTGTACACACATCTGGTGCTCAGAGGAAATATCTCGGCTGGGAGGTTATAAGTTTGAGACTAGAGCATAAGATGGGTAGTTGACAAAAATAAAGTTGGAGAGGAGGCTTGACTAGGGAGAGATATATGCAAACCATGAAGAGGAATTTGGATTTTATCCTGCAAACAAGGTATGGCCTCTGCTTGATATTGTAGGCAGATGATTGGCTGCACTGTAAAAAAACAAATTGGAGGGACAGGGGCTGGAGGGTGGCTGACAATCAGGGTGCTTACAGTAATCTAGGTAAAAGATGGGAAGGGATTTTCATATACAGCTTTATATACTGAGTTTTTTCACTTACATTACATTATGAACATTTAACAATGTTACTAAAAGTTCTCTGGAAACTTTATTTATTTATTTATTTATTTATTTATTTATGAGATGGAGTTTTGCTCTTGTTGCCCAGGCTGGAGGGCAGTGGTGTGATCTCGGCTCACCACAACCTCCACCTCCCGCGTTCAAGCCATTCTCCTGCCTCAGCCTCCCGAGTAGCTGGGATTACAGGCATGCGCCACCATGCCCAGCTAATTTTGTATTTTTAGTAGAGACAGGGTTTCTCCATATTGGTCAGGCTGATCTCGAACTCCCGACCTCAGCTGATCTCCCCACCTCGGCCTCCCAAAGTGCTGGGATTACAGGTGTGAGCCACAGCGCCTGGCCAGAAACATCGTTTTAAGTGGCTAATTAACCCACCACCCTATGAATGTTTATTATCTACTTAATCAGTACTATACAGTTAGGGATTCTGGCTATTTTCTGGTTTTTCATTAGGAATCTTATTCTTTCATGTGACTACATATCTTCTGTGCTAGGTAAAACCATTTCCCTCTACCTTGATGATTAAAAAAAAAATTATCTGGCAAATCTCATACCTTTTCCAAAATCACTTTGTAAAGTCTAGTTACCACGTTTTACTTTCACATTGATGTAAAACTTTTTCTCGGCTGGGTGCGGAAGCTCACGCCTGTAATCCCAGCACTTTGGGAGGCCAAGGCAGGCAGATCACCTGAGGTCAGGAGTTCGAGACCAGCCTGACTAATGTGGTGAAACCCTGTCTCTACTAAAAATACAATAATTAGCTGGGTGTGGTGGTGGGCGCCTGTAGTCCCAGCTACTTGGGAGGTGGAGACAGGAGAACTGCTGGAACTTGGGCAGCGGAGGTTGCAGTGAGCCGAGATCGTGCCATTGCACTCCAGCCTGGGTGACAAAAGCTAGACTCCATCTCAAAAATAAATAAATAAATAAATAAATAAAATAAAATAAAATAAAACTTTTTCTCAGGCTAGGCATGGTGGCTCATGCCAATAATCCCAGCACATTGGAAGGCCAAGGCGAGTGGGTCCCTTGAGCTCAGGAGTTTGAGACCAGCCTGGGCAACATGATGAAACTCTGTTTCTACAAGAAATGCAAAAAATTAGCTGGGCGTGGTGGCACACACTTGTTGTCTTAGCTACTCAGGAGGCTGAGGTGGGAGGATAGCTTGAGCCAGGGTGGTGGAGGTTGCAGTGAGCCAAGATCACTCCATTGCACTCCAACCTGGGTGACAGAACGAGACCCTGTCTCAAAAAAATAACCTCCTTCTCACCCAGCTCAAGCTTAAACTAAACTTAGAAGCTCATAGTGACAAAGACCGGTGTGGTTGGGACAATTCTCACCAAATGCACCATTTGGATCCTCTACATTTCTGGCCTCCCTGCAGTCAGGCAAGTCCTGGTGACCCATTCTGCCTAATGACATGATTGTCACACCTATGGTGAAGCACACTAAAAAGCCAAGTGCAGGCCGGGTGCTGTGGCTCACGCCTGTAATCCCAGCACTTTGGGAGGCCGAGGCGGGTGGATCACGAGGTCAGGAGATCGAGACCATCCTGGCTAACACGGTGAAACCCCGTCTCTACTAAAAATACAAAAAAAAAAAATTAGCTGGGCGTGGTGGTGGGCGCCTGTAGTCCCAGCTACTCGGGAGGCTGAGGCAGGAGAATGGCATGAACCTGGGAGGCGGAGCTTGCAGTGAGCCGAGATCGCGCCACTGCACTCCAGCCTGGGCGGCAGAGCTAGACTCCATCTCAAAAAAAAAAAAAAAAAAAAAAAAAGAAAAGCCAAGCGCGACCCTCTGGTCTCTCTCTTCCTATTAAAGCACACGAGGAGGCTGTGGATTTTAGATGGTGCAGAACAAGACAGCAGAACCTCCAACAACTTTACCCCTGGTGACCATGGAGAGCAGGGCCCCTCACAATCCACACAGGACACAAGGCATAAGCAAAAGGTAAACTGAATGGGGGTAAGCTGCTGAGATTTTAGGGTTGTTACCACAGCTGTAACTTAACCTAGCCTATTCTAATGTAGTTTGTGTCTTCACCGTTTCTGCCACTTTGCTCTTCTCCTCCAGGGTCAGAGGAGTGAAAAGAGAGTTGGGGAGGAAAAATAACAAGCACATAGTGGATACTGTTTGGGCTCCACCCAGATCCCCTTTTATGGTTTCTGTTTGCCTCGCCCCAGTTCCTGAGGCTTTTGCTTCTAACCGTCCACACCTGAGGCTCTCTTTAAAGGCCTGCTCTTGGCTACTGGAGTCAGAGTCAGAAGTGCCTGAGAATTTACATCCACCCACCCTGAGATGGGTGGGTCTCAGCCAGTGACTGGCTGGTGTGGGAGTATGAAAGCCCAGCTCCCTTGCAACAAGTCAGGACAAACTCTGAGGCATAATTTATATTCTGAAATTCCCCTGTGGGATCAGGCTGAAACTACCCACCCACAGGACTTTGCTTGAGACTGCACCCTTGCTTTGCATTTTCCCTCCATTATCCTCCTTCACCTATTCATTTTCCAATTTCTCCCGGGAGCATTTCCTTAATAGATCACTTGCACACAAGTTCTCATTTCATATTCTGCTTCTGAATAACCCTACTTAAGACATTTGGAACTGGTAATTGTCCTAGGAAATGGACTCTAAGGATGAGATTTGGAATTCAATCACTTGCTGGCCAGATGGCAATAAGGACCCTATTACTGATCATAAGGGAAGTGTTGTTAGTGCCTGGTATGCTATATCGTTGCCATTAGTGAAATATGTACCTGTGGAAAATTAGAATTGAATACAGCTGGAAGGGGTCGCATTGGCTTGTACAATTCAGAGGAAGCAATAATTTAAGGGACTGCAGAATTCGTTTATTGTTGCTGGATGCTGTTGATGCATGAGAGAAAATGACAGGCTCAGGTGAGACAGTTACCAGTTTAAGGCAAGATGTGAAGTCAGAAGTCCTCTTCAGCAGCATTTAAAAAGATTGTTGGCTGGGCGTAGTGGCTCACGCCTGTAATCCCAACACTTTGGGAGGCTAAGGCAGGCAGATCACCTGAGGTCAGGAGTTTGAGACCAGCCTGGCCAACATGGTAAAACCCCATCTCTACTAAAGATACAAAAATTAGCTGGGCATGGTTGCAGGCACCTGTAATCCCAGCTACTCGGGAGGTTGAGGTAGAAGAATCGCTTGGACCTGGGAGACGGAGATTGCAGTGAGCTGAGATGGCGCCACTGCACTCCAGCCTGGGTGACGGAGCAAGACTCCATCTCAAAAAAAAAAAAAAAAAAAAAAAAAAAGACTGCCATATACTGTAGCTGGAAAGCGAACTGTGCTGAAGACCGGGCATAGGACTGTATTGTATTGTAAGAGTAGCAGAACTTCAGCAATGGCTAACTCTGTAGTCCCAGTGAGTTTTCTCCATGAAAATCAGGCCCCTGATAGGGGAGAAATGGAACCCTGAGACTTCGATGGGGATACCTGGGAAGATGCACTTGAGAACATTTAACTCTTAGATTCCCTTGAACATTCTGGGCAAATGTTTGCCCTTGTTAGAGGACAACAGCAGCCCCCTCCTTGCAGAAACTGTGCAGGGGCCTGAACTGAGGCAGATAACCTGCAAAACAATATCTGCCTTCCTCAAGATCTTTCCCCACACCCCTCCTGGACAGTAGGCAAACAACTAGGGCTAAGTCTCAGCATGACCCACCTGGGGAAGTGCTGGTTCTGCTAAGGGTAGAAAAGGATTATTCACCAAAGGATCTGTAGGAACAGACTAGTATGTACTAGCAAGAATACGGGGTGCTTGCTTACAAATGTACCTTGAGGATGCTGAAACAGAAATTGGGGTGGTAGAATATTTATCTGGCTAAAGGAGTGTTTGCTGATATGAGGATTCTCTTCCACAACGCAATATTTAACAGCCTGACAAGGGGCCTTGAAGTTATAATTAACAGAGGAAGAGTGTTTAGGTACTTGGAAAAAATAATGGCCTGTGTTATATGAGGTAATATGCTGAAACTACCATGACAGAGTGCTGAAAAGGAGATCAAAAGTTCCAAAACTAAAGCACCATCAAAGACTCATCATTAGAGTAGGGATTCTACAGGTCAGGCATGAATGTAGTCCTGACCCAGGTCTTTCTTACAATGGGTCTGTAAGACTTCACAGATAATACTTGTTAATCATTTTCTTGATGATACGGTTTGGCTGTGTCCTCACCCAAATCTCATCTTGAATTGTAGTTCCCATAATCCCCACGTGTCATGGGAGGGACCTGGTGGGAGGTAATTGAATGATGGGGACAGTTACTCCCCTGTTGTTCTCATGATAGTGAGTTCTTAAGAGATCCGATGGTTTTATAAGGGGCTTTGCCCCCTTTGCTTGGCACTCCTCCTTGTGAAGAAGGACGTGTGCCATGTGAAGTCCAGGCATAGGACTGTATTGTATTGTAAGAGTAGCAGAACTTCAGCAGTGGGTAACTTTGTAGTCCCAGTAAGTTTTCTCCATGAAAATCAGGCCCCTGATAGGGAAGAAATGGAACCCTGAGACTTGGATGGGGATTCCTGCGAAGATGCACTTGAGAACCAAGTGAAGCCATGTGAAGAAGAACGTATTTGCTTCCCCTTCTGCCATGATTCTAAGTTTCCTGAGGCTTCCCTAGCCCCGTGGAACTGTGAGGCAATTAAATTTCTTTCTGTTATAACTTACCCAGTCTCAGGCAATTCTTTGTAGGAGTGTGAGAACAGATAAATACAGTGAATTGGTACAACAGAGACTGAGGTACTGCTATAAAGATACCCAAAAATGTGGAAGTGACTTTGGAACTGGGTAACAGGCAGAGGTTGGAACAGTTTAGAGGGCTCAGAAGAAGACAGGAAAATGTGGGAAAGTTTGGAACTTCCTAGAGATTTAGAGGGCCTCAGAAGACAAGAAGATGGGGGAAAGTTTGGAACTTCCTAGAGACCTGTTGAATGGTTTTGACCAAAATGCTGATAATGATATGGACAATGGAGTCCAAGCTGAGGTGGTCTCCGATGAAGATGAGAAATGTGTTGGGAACGGGAATAAAGGTGACTCTTGCTATGCTTTAGTAAAAAGACTGATGGCCTATTGCCCTCACCCTAGAGATCTGTGGAACTGTGAACTTGAGAGATATGATTTAGGGTATCTGGTGAAAGAAATTTCTAAGCAGCAAAGTGTTCAAGAGGAAGCAGAGCAAAAAAGCTTGGAAAATGTGCAGCCTGATGATGCAATAGAAAAAAAGTACCCATTTTCTGGGAAGAAATTTAAACCCATTGTAGAAATTTGCATGAGTAATGAGGAGCTGAATGTTAATCACCAAAACAATGAAGAAAATGTCTCCAGGGCTTGTCTGAGATCTTTACAGCAGCCCCTCCCATCACAGTACTGGAGGCCTAGGAGAAAAAAACGGTTTCGTGGGCCGGGCCCAGGGCCCCTTGCTCTGTGCAGCCTTGGGACATGGTGCCCTGTGTCCCAAGCTGCTTTGGCTTCAGTTGTGGCTAAAAGGGGCCAATGTACAGCTCAGGCCATTACTTCAGAGGGTTCAAGTTCCAGTCCTTGGTGGCTTACATGTGGTGTTGGCCCATGGGTGCATAGAAGTCAGGAATTGAGGTTTGGAAACCTCTGCCTAGATTTCAAAGGATTTATGGAAATGCCTGGATGTCCAGGCAGAAGTTTACTACAGGGGTAGAGCCCTCATGGAGAACCTCTGCTGGGGCATTGCAGAAGGGAAATGTGGAGTCAGAGTCCCCAAACAGAATCTCCACTGGGGCACTGCTAGTGGAGCTGTGAGAAGAGGGCCACCGTCCTCCAGACCCCAGAATGGTAGATCCACTGACAGCTTGCACCATGTGCCTGGAAAAGCTGCAGACACTCAATGCCAGCTCATGAAAGCAGCCAGGAGGGGGGCTGTACCCTGCAAAGCCACAGGGGCAGAGCTGCCCAAGGCTGTGGGAGCCCACCTCTTGCATCAGCATGACTTGGATGTGAGACATGGAGTTAAAGGAGATGATCTTGGAACTTTAAGATTTAATGACTGCCCAATTGGATTTTAGACTCGTATGGGGCCTGTAGCCCCTTTGTTTTGGCCAATTTCTCCCATTTGGAATGGATGTATTTACCCAATGCCTATATCCCCTGTACCAACTTTCTTTCCATTTTATAGGCTCATAGGTGGAAGGGCTTGACTTGTCTCAGATGAGACTTTGGACTTGGACTTTTCAGTTAATGCTGGAATGAGATAAGATTTTGGAGGACTGTTGAAAAGGCATGACTGTGTTTGGAAATGTGAGGACGTGAGATTTGGGAGGGACCGGGGTGGAATGATATGGTTTGGCTGTGTCTCCACCCAAATCTCATCTTGAATTGTGGTTCCCATAATCCCCACGTGTTGTGGGAGGGACCTGGTGGGAGGTAATTGAATCATGGGGGTGATTACTCTCATGCTGTTCTCATGATAGTGAGTTCTCATGAGATCCAGTGGTTTTATAAGGGGCTTTGCTCCCTTTGCTTGGCACTTCTACTTCCTGCTGCCATGTGAAGGAGGATGTGTTTGCTTCCACTTCTGCCATGATTGTAAGTTTCTTAAGGCTTCCCCAGCCCTGCAGAACTGTGAGTCAATTAAACCTCTTTCCTTTAGAACTTACCCAGTCTTGGGCAGTTCTTTAGAGCAGTGTGAGAATGGACTCATTCTCACACTTGGTACCCAAATGTATAATCAGGTTGTATATACCTAGCATCTAGGAGAACTTTGCATTAGTTCCATAACCCTATGGAATAAAGACTATTGTAGTAAGAAAGGCCAAGTGAAAGCCCCTGAATTACTCTTCCCTACCCCACTCCATTATCCATAAATCTGGCTAAGATAGTAAATCACAAACAACACTGTCTCTTGGGTAGAATGGTATGCTAAACCTAAAAGACTGAAAGGAAGCGAGGGTGGTAGTACTCATTATATTCCATTTTAATCTCCCACTCTAGACCCTGCAAAATCAGCTAGATCATGGCAGATGACAGTAAACTACATTGCAAACTTAACTAAGTGGTAGCCACACTGTAATTGCTGTGCTGGGTATGCTATCTATACAGGTTGGTTATTGCTTATCCAAAATGCCAGGGAATAGAAGTGTTTTGTAGTTTTTATTATTTGGGGTTTTGGAATATTTGCATTATGCTTACCATTTGAGCATCACAAATCCAAAAATCCAAAATCTGAATTGCACCAATGAGCATTCCCTTTGAGTGTTATAGCAGTGCAGTTTCAGATTTTGGAGTGTTTTGAATTTTATATTTTTCAATTTGTAATGTTCAACCTGTACTAGAATGAAGCAAATAACCTCTCTTACACATTATGTGTCTATTGATCTAATAAATGTGCACCTTACAATATCCACCAGAAAGGAAGGTCAGAAACAGTTTGCATTTACCTGGGATGGACAACAGTATACATTTACATCTTGCTTCAGGACTGTCCTGTTAACTCTCCTGTTCTCTGTCAAAATATAGTTCAAATAAGACTTGATTTCCTGGACCCTCAATGTAACATTACATTGGTTCACTATATTGATACATTACATTAACTGGACCTGCTGCACAAGAGGTGGCAATTACTGCAGATGTCCCAATAAGATTATGTGCTCCAGAGGTAGGGAGATAAAAACCTTGCTATATCAGTGTAGGTTTTTTAAATTTTGTTTTGTTCTGTTTTTTTTTTTTTTTTTTTTTTTTTTTTTTTTTTTTTTGAGACAGAGTCTTGCTGTGTCACTGAGGCTGGAGTGCAATGGAGCAGTCTTGGCTCACTACAACCTCTGCCTCTCAGGCTCAAGTGATCCTCCCATCTTGGCCTCCTGAGTAGCTGGGATTACAGGCATGCACCACACACCTGGCTAATTTTTGTATTTTTAGTAGAGACAGGGTTTTGCGATGTTGGCCAGGCTGGTCTTGAACTCCTGGCCTCAAGTGATCCACCCGCCTCAGCCTCTCAAAATGTGGGAACCACCATGCCCAGCTGACCAGTGTAGTTTTGAAGTGCCTAACAGTTGGGTGTGGTTGCTCACGCCAGCACTTTGGGAGGCTGAGGTAGGAGGATCGCTTGAGCTCAGGACTTCAAGACCAGCCTAGGCAACATGGGGGGACCCCCATCTATTAAAAAAAAATTAGCTGGGCATGGTGCCACATTCCTGTAGTCCCAGCTACTTGGGAGGCTGAAGTAGGAGGATTACTTATGCCCAGGAGTTTGAGGCTGCAGTGAGTCATGATCACACCATTGCACTCCAGCCTGGGTGACAGGGTGAAACCCTGTATCTAAATAGATAAATAAATATTAATAATAATAAAAATAAAGAAGTGCTTAATGATCTGGGGCATGCCATGCCAGGACATCCCCTTTAGGGTATAGTAATTATTGCAGAGTGAAGCTTCTAACATTAAGAAGCACAGTGTTGGCAGGCCTCTTCTGGCTTCAGAGACAGCACATTCTACGCTTGGGAATATTGCTCCAACCCATTTACTGGCTAACTTAGTAGGCTGCCAGCTTTGAGCCCTACTAATGCCTCTCTTCCGCTGATGTCTATGGCCTCATTGAAGGAGGGGGGCCCTCTACATCCAACTCATGAGTGAGGAAGAAACTCGAGCATATTCCAGTGTAGCTAAGTAATGGGTAAATTTGACATATAGTTGTCCCATAAACAACAGTAAACTCTGGATCAAATGCAACAAGAAAACACAAACAACAACAAAACTACCTGAAGACACTGGAGAGTGAACAAATGAGCATATCCCAGAGGGCAGTTAAAATTGAAAGGGAGAACAGCACAATATGATTTTCCCGTTTTCGTGACTTTTAGCCTAAGGGTAGGATGCAGTTGGTGCTGCGCAAGGCAGCTAAAACTATGACAGAAAATTCTGAGTCTTCCTGGCCTGAAAAACCAGAGAACAAACTTAAGGAACAACTATGCTAATGCAAAGTGGGGAGGGATACCCCAAAAAGAAAGGAGTCAGAGAGGAGAAGCCCCAAACCACGTGTATAAACTTTGCACAAACTCTAGTTGACCCCTGAACTATGCATTTACAGGGCCAACTGCAAGTAGCTTGGCTAAGGGTAAAATAACTGAACTGAGATTTGACCTGATTCCCAGGAGACGGACTTTGCAATTTGAATCCAACCATGTTAACTGCCTGTTCAAACGAAACAAAACAAAAACCAAGAAAGCCAACGAACACTCTTCAGAGAAACAACAGAATCCAGTCTCTACAACATGAATTTGAGAATATGCAGGACACAGTCTGAAATTACTTACAATACAAGGAAAAAATGTGACCCATTCTCTAGAGAAAAGATAGTCCATGGAGACTAATTCTGAGATGACCCAGATTTTGAAATTTGCAAACAGGATTTTCGAGAGGTTATTTTAATTATGCTCACCGACATAAAGAAAAACAGGTTTGCGATAAATGAAAAGTGACGAGATCACAGCAGAAAAATAGAGACTATAGAAAACAACCAAATAGAAATTCTAGAATTGGGCCAGGCACAGTGGCTCACACCTGTAATCCCGGCACTTTCAGAGGCTGAGGCGGGTGGATCACATGAGGTCAGGAGTTTGTGACCGGCCTGATCGACATGATGAAACCCCGTCTCTACTAAAAATACAAAACTAGCTGGGTGTGGTGGCACATGCCTGTAATCTCAGCTACTTGGGAGGCCAAGGCAGGAGAATCGCTTGAACTCAGGAGGCAGTCGTTGCAGTGAGCTGAGATCATGCCACTGCACTCCAGCCTGGGCAACAAGAGCGAGACTCCACCTCGGAAAAAAAAAAAAAAAAAAGAAAGAAATTCTAGAATTGAAAAAACACAATATCTAAAATTTAAAAATTCACTGGATAAGGTTAATAGCACAAAGGAGGTGACAGAGGAGTCAATAAAAGAAACTATCTTATCTACATGAGAGAGGGAAAAAAGATGGGAAAAGGACCTATGAGACAACATCCAGAAGGAGAAGAGAGAGAGAGGATAGGGACGAAAAATTTTTGAAGAAATAACTGACATTGCCCCAAATTTGTGAAGACATCAAGTTACAGAATCAAGGTTAACAACTGTTAAGCTGGACAAATGTGAAGAAAACCATGCCTAGGCACATTATAGTCAAATTGCTGAAAGCAAAAATAAAAAGAAAATCTTGAAGGCATCCATAGAAAAATGACAGATAGAGGAGAACACCAACTCTAACGACTACTGACTTCTCATGGGAAAGAATGAAGGCCAGCCAGACACTGTGGCTCATGCCTGTCTGTCATCCCAGCACTTTGGGAGGCTGAGGCAGGAGGATTGCTTGAGTCCAGGAGTTTGAGAGCAGTCTGGTCAACATGGCAAACCCCATCTCTACAAAAAATACAAAAATTAGCCAGGTGTGCTGGTGTGCCCTATAGTTCCAGCTTGGGAGGCTGAGATAGGAGGATCCATTGAGCCTGGGAGGTCGAGGCTGCAGTAAGCTGTGATTATGTCACTGCACTACAGCCTAGGTGACAGAGCGAGACCCTGTCAGGCAGGGCATGGTGGCCATGCCTGTAATCCTGGCACTTTGGGAGGTCAGGCTGGGCAGATCTCTTGAGCTCAGGCGTTCGAGACCAGCCTGGGCAACACAGTGAAACCCTGTCTCTACAAAAAATGCAAAAATTAGCCGGGGTAGTGGTGTGTGCCTGTAGTCCCAGCTACTCGGGAGGCTGATGTGGGAGGATCACTTGAACCCGGGAGGCGGAGGTTGCAGTGAGCTGAGATCATGCCACTGTACTCCAGCCTGGGCCACAGAGCCAGACCCCATCTCAAAAAAGAAAAAAAAGGCTGGGCGTGGTGGCTCACGCCTGTAATCCAGCACTTTTGGAAGGCCAAGGCAGGCAGATCACGAGGTCAGGAGTTCAAGACCAGCCTGGCCAACATAGTGAAACTCCATCTGTACTGAAAATACAAAAAATTAGCTGAGTGTGGTGGCGGGCACCTGTAATCCTAGCTACTCAGGAGGCTGAGGCAGGAGAATCGCTTTAATCCAGGAGGTGGAGGTTGCAGCGAGCCGAGATGGTGCCACTGCACTCCAGACCCAGCGACAATGCGAGACTCCATCTGAAAAAAAAAAAAAAAAAAGGGAATACAGGCCAGAAGACATGCAATAGGTCGAATAGCGACCCCCCAAAAGATACAATGAAATCATAACCCTGGTAGCTGTGAATATGACTTTATTTGGAAAAAGGTTCTTTGCAGGTTTGATTGAGTTAAAGATCTTGAGATGAAAGCATTCTGGATGAACCAGTCAGGCCCTAGCTCACATGACAAGTATACTTATAAGTAAGAGGAGAAACACCAAGGCTTAGGGGAGAAGACACAGACACAAAACAGAAGGCTGTGTGAAGGAGGCAGAGGTTAGAGCTATGAAGCCAAAAACCAGGGAACGCCTGGAGCCACCAGAGGCTGAAAGAGGCAAGAAAGGGTTCTTCCCTAGAGCTTCTGGACAGAGTGTGGCCTTACCTACTCTTTTTTATTTTTTTTTTTCAAGATGGGGGTCCCAATCTGTCACCCAGGCTGGAGTGCAGTGGTGCAATATTGGCTCACTGCAACCTCTGCCTCCCCGGCTCAAGTGATCCTCCCACCTCAGCCTCTTGAGTAGCTGGAAACACAGGCACATGTTGTTACACCCGGCTAACTTTTTGTATTTTTGGTAGAGCCAGGGTTTCGCCATGTTGGCCAGGGTGGTCTCAAACTCCTGGGAGCAAGTGATCCGCCTGCCTCGGCCTGGAATTACAAGGCCTTGGTGCTGGGATTACAAGCATGAGTCACTGCACCCGGCCTAGTTTTTAAACTTCTGGTCTCTAGAACTGAGAGAATAAATTTATGTTTTTCTAAGTCACCAAGTTTGTGGTAATTTCTTTTTTTATTTGAGATGGAGTCTCGCTCTGTCACCCAGGCTGGAGTGCAGTGGCACGATCTTGGCTCACTGCAACCTCTGCCTCCCAGGTTCAAGCAATTCTCTGCCTCAGCCTCCCGAGTAACTGGGATTACAGGCGCCTGCCACCAGGCCGGGCTAATTTTTTGTATTTTTGGTAGAGATGGGGTTTCACCAGGCTGGTCTTGAACTCCTGACCTCGTGATCCACACGCCTTGGTCTCCCAAATTGCTGGGATTACAGGCGTGAGCCACCACGCCCGGCCTGTGGTAATTTCTTATGGTAGCCCAGGAAATGCATACAACAGAAGACCATCATCTATAAAGTGTTGAAAGAAAAACTTCTAAATCCAGCTAAAGTATCCTTCAAGAAGGATAACAAAATAAAGACTGTTTCATATAAAAGAAAAACAAAATAATACACTGCCAGCAGTAATGCATTGCAAAAAATGCTACAGGAAGTTCTTCAGGATGAAAGGAAATGATACCAGATGGAAAATCGGATATTCAGGAAAGAATAGAGCATTGAAAATGGTAAACAACTGGGTAAATATAAAAGACAATTTTTTCTTTTCAATACAGTTTAAAGCAAAAAGTATAACTTTGTCTTCTGAGGTTTACAATGTATGTAAACATAATACATATGACATCTATGGCATAAAAGATGGGAAAGGATAAATGGATACATACAGTTGCAGGGTGTCTATGTTTTAGGTGAAATGTTACAATGTTAATTCTTTTTTTTTTTGAGAGGGAGTCTTGCTCTGTTGCCCTGGTTGGAGTGCAGTGGCACGATCTCAGCTCACAGCAACCTGCACTTCCTGGGTTGAAGTGATTCTCTTGGAAGTAGGGATTCAAAGAGATGTTTGTACACCCATGTTCATAGCAGCATTATTCACAATAGCCAAAAGGGGGAAGCAACCCAAGTGTCCATTGATGGATAACAGATAGACAAAATGTGGCAGGTCAATCCAATGAAATCCTGTTCAGTCTTTAAGAAGAAAGGAAATTCTGGCGAGGTGTGGTGTCTCACACCTGTAATCCCAGCACTTTTGGAGGCTGAGGTGGGTGGATTGCTTGAGCCTGGGAGTTCAAGAACAGCCTGGGCAACATGGTGAAATCCCATCTCTACAAAAATTGGCTGGGCATGGTGGGGTGTGATGGTAGCCCCAGCTACTTGGGAGGCTAAAGTGGGAGGATCGCTTGAGCCCAGGAGGTGGAGGTTGCAGTGTGCTGAGATCACACCACTGCACTCCAGCCTGGGCAACAGAGTGAGACCCTGTCTCAAACATGCTACAACATGAATGGACCGTGAGGATATTATGCTAAGTGACATAAGCCAGTCACCAAAGGACAAATGATGTATGATTCCACTTAATGAGATACCTAGACTAGTCAAATTCATAGAGACAGAATGGTACTTGCCAGAATTTGGGAGTGCGTAGGGGATGGAGACGGAAATGGGGAGTTATTGTTTGATGGGCACAAAGTTTCTGTTTGGGAAAATGAAGAAAGTGTTGGAGATGGGTGGTGGTGATGGTTGCACAACAATGTGAATATACTTAATGCCAGTGAGCTGTACACTTGAAAATGGTTACAATGATAAATGTGATATGTATTTTATCACAATTTAAAAAAAGAAAAGAAGGGCGGGAGTGGTGGCTCATGCCTGTAATCCCAGCACTTTTGGAGGCTGAGGCAGGTGGATCATCTGAGGCCAGGAGTTTGAGACCATTCTGGCCAACATGGCGAAACTCCCATCTCTACTAAAAATACAAAAATTAGCCGGGTGTGGTGATGCATACATGTAGTTCTAGCTACTCGGGAGGCTGAGACAGGAGAATTGTCTGAACCTAGAAGTTGGAGGTTGCAGTGAGCCGAAATCGCACCACTGCATGGCCAGCCTGGGTGACAGAGTGAGACTCGGTCTCAAAAAAGAAAAAAAAAAAAGAAAAAAAAAAGATGCAAGGACTTTCCCTTAGAACCCTTGGAGGGAGTATGGCCCTGCCCACACCTTAATTTCAGACTTCTGGTCTCCAGACGGTACATTTCTGCTGTTGTTTTTTGAAATGGGGTCTCACTGTGTCACCCAGGCTTGAGTGCAGTGGTGAGATCTTGGCTCACTGCATCCTCTGCCTCCTGGGTTCAAGCGATTCTCCTGCCTCAGCTTCCCGAGTAGCTGGGACTACAGGCATGCGCCACCACATCTAGTTAATTTTTGTATTTTTTTTTTGAGACGGAGTCTCACTCTGTTGCCCAGGCTGGAGTGCAGTGGTGCAATCTCGACTTACTGCAAGCTCCACCTCCTGGGTTTATGCCATTCTCCTGCCTCAGCCTCCAAAGTAGCTGGGATTACAGGCGCCCGCCACCACGCCTGGCTAATTTTTTGTATTTTTAGTACAGACGGGGTTTCACCGTGTTAGCCAGGATGGTCTTGGTCTCCTGACTTCATGATCCGCCCGCCTCGGCCTCCCAAAGTGCTGGGATTACAGGCGTGAGCCACCGCGCCCGGCTTAATTTTTGTATTTTTAGTGGAGATGGGTTTTCACTATGTTGGCCAGGCTGGTCTCGATCTCCTGACCTAGTGATCTGCCCGCCTTGGCCTCCCAAAGTGCTGGGATTACAGACATGAGCCACTGCACCTGGCCAATTTCTGTTGTTTTAAGCCACCAAGTTCTAGGTAATTTGTTGCAGTAGTGATAGGAAATCAATACATACATGGAGACTGCTGAAGGGAAATGAGGCAGAAATGGAACAGAAGGTTCTCATAGAGAAGCCCAGGTGGATGAGATACATCGTTATAAAAGCTGAAGTGGGGCTATGAGTGAAGTTGGGACTGAGGTAAAGGTATGTTCCCTTAGTGGTACTAGCCTTCATGAGCCTAGTACTCCCATGGCGGTTTTGTCTGTTTTTTATTTTTATTTTTATTATTTTATTTTATTATTATTATTATTTTTGAGACAGAGTCTCGCTTTGTCGCCCAGGCTGGAGTGCAGTGGCGCCATCTCGGCTCACTGCAAGCTCCGCCTCCCGGGTTCATGCCATTCTCCTGCCTCAGCCTCCCGAGTAGCTGGGACTACAGGTGCCCGCCACCACACCCGGCTAATTTTTTGTATTTTTAGTACAGACGGGGTTTCATCGTGTTAGCCAGGATGGTCTTGATCTCCCAACCTCGTGATCCACCCTCCTCGGACTCCCAAAGTCCTGGGATTATAGGCGTGAGCCACCGCACCCGGCCTTGTCTGTTTTTTAAGAGACAGGGTCTCACTCTGTTGCCCAGGCTGGAGTGCAATTGTGCAATCATAACTCACTGCAGCCTCAAACTCCTGGGCTCAAGCGATCCTCCCACTTCACTCTCCCAAGTAGCTAGGACTATAGGCACATGCCCAGCTAATTTTAAAATTTTTTTGTAGGGAGCAGGTCTCACCATATTGCCTAGGCTGGTCTCAAACTTCTGGGTTCAAGTAATCCTCCCACCTCGGTCCCCAAAAGCAGTAGGATTGTAGGTGTGAGCCATTGCACCTGGCTCCCATGATGGTTGTAATGGTGAATGGCCAATTACAGCAATCCCAGCTGGATAAGGGCATGAGGATCCCGAGCCTCACATCCCTCAGGATGAAGGTGTGGGACATCCTACAAGACAAGCCATCGAGAATAGCAAAAGTGTTAAGTCAAGGGTGTGAGGAACCTAGAACACTCAGAGAGGAAGATGATGGATATGATTATGTATAGCCTTGAGACCACTGCAGCAACGGGGGCTGAAGCTCATCCCTCTACCCTCCTCCTCTAAGTTTTGTGCTAGAAATTGTGACAGAATGAAGTTAATGTAAGATGTGAGGAGACCTGATGTGAGAAGACCTGAGCAGTGCATGGCATGATCTGTAACAGACACCGTTAATGCTCCACCCAGATCCCTGTTTATAAATTTCTCCTTCCCTGGCTTTCAGGTGCCCTCCTTTCTTTCTTTTTTTTTTTTTTTTGAGACGGAATCTCACTCTGTCACCCAGGTTGGAGTGCAGTAGCGCGATCTCTGCTCACTGCAAGCTCCGCCTCCCGGGTTCACGCCATTCTCCTGCCTCAGCCTCCCGAGTAGCTGGGACAACAGGCGCCTGCCACCACACCTGGCTAATTTTTTTGGTATTTTTAGAAGAGATGGGGTTTCACCGTGTTAGCCAGGATGGTCTCGATCTCCTGACCTCGGGATCCGCCCGCCTCGGCCTCCCAAAGTGTTGGGATTACAGGTGTGAGCCACCAAGCCCGGCCTCAGATGCTCTCCTTTCTAATGGCCCATACCAACTACAGTCAGCCCTCTGCACCCACAGGATCTGCCTCCACCCACAGATAAAAAATACTGAAAAGACAGCAACAATACAACAATAAAAAATACAAATTAAAAAATACACCTCCTGGCCCGGTGCGGTGGCTCACAACTGTAATCCCAGCACTTTGGGAGGCTGAGGTGGGTGGATCACCTGAGGTGGGGAATTCGAAACCAGCCTGACCAACATGGAGAAACCCTGTCTCTACTAAAAACACAAAAAATTAGCCGGCATGGTGGCGCATGCCTGTAATCCCAGCTACTTGGGAGGCTGAGGTAGGAGAATGGCTTAAACCCGGGAGGTGGAGGTTGTGGCGAGCAGAGATCGTGCCATTGCACTCCAGCCTGGGCAACCAGAGCGAAATTCTGTCTCAAAAAACAAAACAAAACAAAACACACAACACCTCCTTTCTCCAGCTGTGGCCAAGGTGCTCAGTCTTTCTGAGGAAGCTAAGGCTGTGTTGGGTTGAGGCCCTCACTTCATCTGGTGACCAGCAATGTGCCAGCAGGGCCCACTCCACACTTGTGGCATTATGGCTTCTGTCTCCAATGGTGTGAACCCGGGAGGCGGTGCTTGCAGTGAGCCGAGATTGTGCCACTGCACTCCAGCCTGGGCGACAGAGTAAGACTCCGTCTCAAAAATAAATAAATAAATAAATAAATAAATAAATAAACAAACAAACACATGGTATGGCTGTACAAAAACATTTTCTTTCTTTATATCCTTATTCTATAAGCTTTGTTCTATTTAAAAAATTTTTTGTCTTTGTTTCTACTTTTCACACATTTTTTGTTAAAAAGTAAAACACAAACACACACATTAGCCGAGGCCCACATAGGGTCAGGATCGTCAATATCACTGTTTTCCAATTTCTGTATCTTGTACCACTGGAAGGTCTTCAGGAGCAATCACATGCATGGAGCTGCCATCTCCTATGATAACAATGCCCTCTTCTGGAATACGTCCTGAAGGACCTGCCTGAGACTGTTTTACAGTTAACTTTTTTTTGTTAATAAGTAGTACAGTCTAAAATAATGATAAAAGACTGGGTGCAGGGGCTCACGCTTGTAATCCTAGCACTTTGGGAGGCCAAGTTGGGCAGATCACTTGAGGTCAGGGGTTCGAGACCAGCCTGGCCAACATGGTGAAACCCCAACTCTACCAAAAA
The DNA here is from genome assembly GCF_000001405.40 of Homo sapiens. Lineage (NCBI taxonomy): Eukaryota > Metazoa > Chordata > Mammalia > Primates > Hominidae > Homo > Homo sapiens. The sequence continues at coordinate 172,020,076 of NC_000005.10, read as the reverse complement.
TACAAAAATTAGCTGGTGTGGTGGCATGCACCTGTAATCCCAGCTACTTGAGAGGCTGAGGCAGGAGAATCGCTTGAACCTGGGAGGCGGAGGCTGAAGTGAGCCAAGATGGTATCACTGCACTCCAACCTGGGCAACAGAGCAAGACTCTGTCTTAAAAAGAAAAGAAAAAATATATATGTATATATACATATATATATTCAATACATAAACCAGTAAGAGTCATTTGTTATCACTATCAAATATTATGTACTATATAAAATTGTATGTGCAATGCTTTTATGCGACTGGCAGGGCAGTATGTCTGTTTATACCAGCATCGCCACAAACATGTGACTAATGGATTGCAATATGACATTATAATGTCACTAGGTGATAGGAATTTTTCAGTTCCGTTATAATCTTATGGGACCACTGTTGTATAGGCGGTCCATTGTTGACTGAAATGCTATTATGCAGCGCATGACTGTCCTTGGAGTTCTCCACGCTGTTTAGAGCCTCTAGAAAGGCTTGGGATAGGCTCTGGCCCAAAGAGTTCGCACCATGATTGCTGAATTCTGCACTGACTGAGAGAGTGACAAGCAAGCATGAACGCATGAGCTGTGAGGGACAATGATCTGTTTAGAAAAATATGAGGAGCCAGAACATGAAGTGGGAGAAAGTAGCAGAAAATGAGATTAGAAAGGTATATTGAGGCAGGGTGCGGTGGCTCACATCTGTAATCCCAGCAGTTTAGGAGGCCGAGGCGGGCGGATCACCTGAGGTCAGTACTTTGAGACCACCTTGGCCAATGTGGTGAAACCCATCTTTACTAAAAACACAAAAATTAGCCGGGCATGGTGGTGTGTGCCTGTAATCCCACCTACTTGGGAGGCTGAAGCAGGAGAATTGCTTGAACCTGGGAGGCTGAAGTTGCAGTGAGCCGAGATCATGCCACTTCACTCCAGCATGGGCCACAGGTTGAGATTGTCTCAAAAAAAAAAAAACAAAAAAAAAAACCCCCCACAAAAAACAAACAAACAAATAAAACAAGAAAGGTGTATTGAAGTCAGATTGTTAAAAGCCCTTTAGTAGCATGGAGCTACCTGAGTAGAGAGTGGGACAAACAGATTGGCTATCTGATGGTTATTTTAACTGGTATGTCTTTGGTCAGTATTGAGGGGAGATTTTTGTTTTTTGAGACGGAGTTTTGCTCTCGTCGCCCAGGCTGGAGTGCAATGGCGCGATCGGTTCACTGCAACCTCCGCCTCCTGAGTTCAAGTGATTCTCTTGCCTCAGCCCCCCAAGTAGCTGGGATTAAAAGCATGCGCCACCACGCCCGGCTAATTTTTTGTATTTTTAGTAGAGATGGGGTTTCTCCATGTTGGTCAGGCTGGTCTCAAACTCCTGACCTCAGGTGATCCACCCGCCTCGGCCTCCCAAAGTGCTGGGGTTATAGGCATGAGCCACCGCACCCAGCTGAGGGGATATATTTTTCAAGTCCAATTCTTTCGCATCTATGACCAGGAATTCTTGGCAGATGTTTAGTCTTGTTTGACATGGCAAACTTGAGATTCTGGCCCTTAGGGTACCAGGCCCTTTCTGTAGTCACCACAGTGCTCTAGAGTAGTGATCTTTAACCTTTTGTGTTTATGTAGCCCCAGAAGAAATTTGAAAATTATGTAATTACTCATTTCTTAAATTGACATCTAAAATGTTTCAGCATAAATTTAAATCATTGAAAATAATATAACTTTCTGCGTATTTATAAGTATTGACATTTAAAAATAAAATTGTTCCATTATCTTCACAATGAAATCTAAATGTAATAGCAATTTTATGTCATTGTCCTTTTAAAATTATATAAAAAGTTATTTTCTAATAGGTGGAAATCTTTTTTTTTTTTTTTGTTAGTTTTAGTAGAGGTGGGGTTTCAACATGTTGGCCAGGCTGGTCTCGAACTCCTGACTTCAGGTGATCCGCCCACCTTGGCCTCCCAAAGTGCTGGGATTACAGGCGTCAGCCACTGCGCCCGGCCAGGTGGAAATCTTATACCATTCTTTTTTTGTCCCTGAACTTGTATTTCCATTCCATTTTCCCCAAAGATTTTTATCCTGTTTTTAAATATCCTATTATTTGTGTTTGAAACTTTTTTTTTTTTTTTGAGCTAGAGTCTTGCTCTTTCACCTAGGCTGAAGTGCGGTGGCATGATCTTGACGCACTGCAATCTCTGCATCCTGGGTTCAAGTGATTCTCCTGCCTCAACCTCTGGAGTAGCTGGAACTACAGGCGTCTGCCACCACATCCAGCTAATTTTTGTATTTTTAGTAGAGACAGGGTTTCGCCATGTTGGCCAGGCTGGTCTCGAACTTCTGGTCTCAAGTAATCCGCCTGCCACTGTGCCTGGCCACAATTTTCTTTTGTGTTGTAATTCTCATTTTCTGTGATCATAGCCTCTAAATGTTAGCCAAAAAGTCCTCCTGGATCAAGTTATTATAATCATTATTAAACACTACACATCAAGCAATAAAATTAAAATTTTGGCAATGATTAAACATAGACATAAAATTATATTAGAGCTACATCTTTTACATTGATAAATAATTTTCTTCTTTTTTCTTTTTTTTTTTTGAGACAGAGTCTCGCTCTGTCACCAAGGCTGCTGTGCAGTGGTGGCAGAGTCTCGGCTCACTGCAACCTCCATCTCCCAGGCTCAAGCAATTCTTCTGCCTCAGTCTCGTGAGTAGCTGGGATTACAGGCATACGCCACCACACCTGCCTAATTTTTGTATATTTAGTAGAGACGGGGTTTCACCATGTTGGCCAGGCTGGTCTCAAACTCCTGACCTCAGGTAATCTGCCCGCCTCAGCCTCCCAAAGTGCTGGGATTACAGGCGTGAGCCACCGCGCCCGGCCAATAAATCATTTTTAGAAGTTTACATATCTGTGTATAAATATTACTTGTTGCTGGAATGAGACAGAAGGAATTCTGCATCAACTTTATTTTTGGGTTTTATTTTTATAGATGTTAGCACTTGTATTAGTCTGTTCTCACACTGCTATAAAAAATACCTGAAACTGGGTAATTTATAAAGAAAAGAGGTTTAATGGGCTCATCTGTTCTGCAGGCTGTACGGGAAGCATGATGCTGGCATTTGCTCAGCTTCCAGGAAGGTCTCAGGAAACTTACAGTCATGGCAGAAGACTAAGGGAGAGGAGGTGTCTTACACTGCCAGAGCAGGAGGAAGAGAGAGGGGAGCTGCCACACACTTAACCAGATCTCAGGAAAACTCTATATCACCGAAGGGTTAGTGCTAAACCATTCATGAAGAATCCACCCCCATGATCCAATACCTCCCACCAGGCCCTACCTCCAACATTTGGGATTACAATTGAGCATGACATTTGGGTGAGGACACAGATCCAAACCATATCAATACTTAGAAGACTTGTTCATATATGAATGAAAGTTGTCTTATAGCGATGCTACTCAACTTTTTTGGATGCTTTCCAAGTTATTATGTCAAAAATTACATAGTAATCTCTCAGCAAAATTATTTTTTTATCATAAAACGCAATTCAATCCTCCTCCAATTTTGTTGGGAGCAAAGTACTGGAAACCACTTGACTAGTAGAAGGATTTTTATTTATTTATTTATTTTGAGACAGAGTTTCACTCTTGTTGCCCAGGCTGGAGTGCAATGGCGCAGTCTTGGCTCACTGCAACCTCCGTCTCCCAGGTTCAAGTGATTCTCCTGCCTTAGCCTCCCGAGTAGCTAGGATTACAGGCACCCACCATCACGCCCAGCTAATTTTCTGTATTTTTAGTAGAGATAGGTTTCACCATGTTGGCTAGGCTGGTGTCAAACTCCTGACCTCAGGTAATCCACCCACCTCAGCCTCCCAAAGTGCTGGGATTACAGACATGAACCACCGCGCCCAGCCAATGTTTTTTTTTTTTTTTTATATTGTCACTGGAGAAATTCATTTTCTCAATTTCTGGGGAGCATACCAAAATGGCTTTACTAATATATACTAAATGAAGATTAAGTATACCTGTGTAGTAGAGACAACCCTATATGCTTACCAAATTCTACTTCATTTCCCTTTTTTTGGGTATATAGTTTTGAAAAGTACATCGTGCAGGCTCCCCTGCAGCTTCTAGGGCCATGTGCGTAAGAACTGACCAATGAACAATGAGCAGGAAGAATGTACTTCTGAGATTCGGCAGTCACTCACTGACGAGCCTCCCCTGTATGCCTGCTCTTCCCCAGCAATGCTGGACACCATAAATTCTAGATGGTATAACTATAACATGGAGGGCTCATGGACTCAGATTGGACTTCCCAAGAAAAAGATGTTTTAAGCCACCATGTTTCTAGGGAGCGGACACATAGTGTCAGTTTGCCCAAGCTGAGCTACATTTCCCTGAATTATTTTCCTCTGTGTTTCTGTTTAAAGCCACTGAGAGACTGTCGTGCAGGATTTGGAGCATTGAGGTGAAGCATTAGTCATTCTGTGGCCCATATACATTGCTGGTGATCGGCTGACTCCCTGCTTGGTATGAGGTAGTGGCTTGGTCTGTAGTTGCTCTATCTTCCCTTCGAGCCTCCTTCAGTTCCTCTGATTCCTGGGCCCTATGTGTGTTTCACTCTGTGACAATGGGCTCCAGCCTCTGCATGACACCCATATCACCCAGGTCAGAGGGGACAAGCACTCACATAAGTTTCAGTCCCCCTGTCCTCATGGGCTTCCATTTGTGCCAATGCCTGCTCCCTTCCACTTCATATCCATCTTCTCTGACTAACTGACTCTTAAGATCCAGCAGTGGCTGTGAAGACAATAGCCTTACAGAGATGGCTAAACTAGATTTACAATTATAGAAGGTCAACTCCCTGGAAAAAAATCCCGTAATATACTCTTGTTGGTTCTAATTCTTTGGCTGAATTTTGACTGACATGCAGGGTTAATCTGCTACTGTGGCACAGTATATTCTTTTTTTGAGAGGGTCTTGTTCTGTTGCCCAGGCTGGAGTATGGTGGGTGTGATCTCAGCTCACTGTGGCCTCGACCTCCCAGGCTCAAGTGATCCTCGCACCTCAGCTTCCCCAGTAGCTGGGACTACAGGCACACACTACCAGTCCTGGATAGTTTTGTATTTTTTTGTAGAGACGGGGTTTTGCCATGTTGCCCAGGCTGGTCTTGTAGTCTTGGGCTCAAGCAATCCTCCTGCCTCGGCCTCCCAAAGTGCTGGGATTACATGCGTGAGGCACTGTGCCTGGCCAGCATATTCTATTCTAATACAACTTGTCTCTACTCTTTAACTTGGAGGTATCTTATTTAACCTGATAAACTCAAAAAGGGTTGGAAAAATACAAATATTAATTTTAATACATGTTTGCAAACAAATTAACTGATGAAATGTTTTTAGGCGCTTTAAATATATCTTCCTTAAAGTCACGGAACTAAAGATTTAACTCACCTAAAATCAATTATTGGTAAAGCCAGTCCTTAATAACAAACAGCAAAATTAGACTCTGTAAGAAAAAGTTGAATAAATGTGCTAATAATGTATTTCATAATTATCCTTTTTTCTGGGTTCTACAGATAGAGGGATAAGGTATGGAGCCTTGTCATGTGGTTAAAATAGGGTGCTACCACCTCTAATATTTCTTTTCTTTTTTTTTTGAGACAGGGTTTCACTTTGTCACGTGGGCTGGAGTGCAGTGGAGTGATCTCAGCTCGCTGCAACCTCTGCCTCCCAGGTTCAAGTGATTCTCCTGCCTCAGCCTCCGGAGTAGCTGGGACTACAGGCATGCGCCACCATGCCTGGTTAATTTTTGTGTTTTTTTTGGTAGAGACGGGGTTTCATCATATTGGCCAGGCTGGTCTTGAACTCCTGGCCTCAAGTGATCCGCCTGCCTCCATCTCCCAAAGTGTGGGGATTCAGGCGTGAGCCACCGTGCCCAGACAAATTTCTTACCAATACTATGTTTCACAATATTCCCCCTCAAGAAAATTCATTCTTGGATATTAGCTGGAAATGAGTTAAGTCAAAATTTCACTACACCATCCCTCTTTATAATGTATCTAAATTCAGAAAACTCTTCAAAGGTTAAAATATACCATTTAAAAATGTCACTCTTGGCCAGGCATGATGGCTCATGCCTGTAATCCCAGCAGTTTGGGAGGCCGAGGCAGGCAGATCACTTGAGGTCAGGCATTTGAGACCAGCCTGACCAACATGCCAAACCCTGTCTCTACTAAAAATACAAAATGGGCTGGGCGTGGTGGTGTGCACCTGTAATACTAGCTACTCGGGAGGCCGAGGCAGGAGAATCACTTGAACCTGGGAGGCAGAGATTGCAGTGAGCTGACATCATGCCACTGCACTCCAGCCTGGGTGACAGAGTGAGACTCTGTCTCAAAGAAAAAAAAAAAAAAGTCACTCTTTACCTTCAATAGCATTCGTAAAAAAGGGAGACACCGATATGGTTTGGATATCTGTCTCCTCCAAATCTCATGTTGAAATGTGATTCTTAGTGTGGGACCTGGTGGGAGGTGACTGGATCATGGGGGCCGATCCCTCAAGAATGTTTAGCATCAGCACCTTGGTGATAAGTGAATTCCTGCTCGGCTAGTTCACGTGAGATATGGCTGTTCACTGGGACCTACCCGCCTTGCTCTCTTGCACACACTCTTGTGATGTGGTGCACCTGTTCCCCCTTCTGCCATGATAGTAAGTTTCCTGAGGCCCTTACCAGAAGCAGATGCCAGCAACATGCTTTTTGTATACCCTGCAAACCGTGAGCCAACCAAACCTATTTTCTTTTTTTTTTTTCTTTTTTGAGACGGAGTTTCGCTCTTGTTGCCCAGACTGGAGTGCAGTGGCGCAACCTTGGCTCACTGCAACCTCTGCCTCAGCCTCCCGAGTAGCTGAGATTACAGGCATGCGCCACCATGCCTGGCTAATTTTGTATTTTTAGTAGGGATGGGGTTTCTCCATGTTGGTCAGGCTGGTCTCGAACCCCCAACCTCAGGTGATCTGCCCGCCTAGGCCTCCCAAAGTGCTGGGATTACAGGCGTGAGCCGCTGCACCTGGCCCAAACCGCTTTTCTTTATAAAATATCAAGTCTCAGGTATTCCTTTATAGTAATGCAAATAGACTAATACGGACATAAAGCCCTGCGCAAAGGTTTATGATGCCTTCATTAAAAGTGGTCTCCCTGAGTCTAGTATTTTGAAGTAGCTCTTGTTTTGGTGTCTCTATTAGTTATCTATTGTTGTGTAACAGATTATCTCAACACTTAGTAGTTTAAAATAAGACTATTTAGCCAGGAGAGGTGGCTCAATCTATAATCCCAGCACTTTGGGAGGCTGAGGCAGGTGGATCACCTAAGGTCAGGAGTTCGAGACCAGCCATGCCCAACATGGTGAAACCCCATCTCTACTAAAAATACAAAAAATCAGCCGGGTGTGGTGGTAGGGGCCTGTAATCCCAGCTACTGGGGAGGCTAAGGGAGGAGAATCACTTGAACCCGGAAGGCAGAGGTTGCAGTGAGCCGAGATCATGCCACTGCACTCCAGCCTGGACAATAAGAGCAAAACTCCCTCTCAAAAATGTACAGGCATTAAGTACAAAGGGGCAAAGACAACTGTAAAGAAACAGGGCAGGGCACAGTGGCTCATGCCTGTAATCCCAGCACTTTGAGAGACTGAGGCGGGAGGATCACTTGAGGTCAGGAGTTCAGGACCAGCTTGGCAACCTGGCAAGATTCCGTGTCTACAAAAACTAAAAAAAAAAAAATAATTAGGTGTGTGTGGAGGCATGCGCCTGTGGTCCCAGCTACTCAGGAGGCTGTGGTGAGAGGACTGCTTGAGCTCAGGAGTTCATGGCTGCAGTGAGCTATCATTGTGCCACTGCACTCCCGCCTGGGTGACATTGCAAGACCCTGTGTTTTTTTTTTTTAAGACCCTGTCTTTAAAAAAAAAAAAAAAGAATACAGAATTAGCAGTTACAGGGAATAGCCAATAACTTTAGGGCTGAGCAAGTGCCCAAGGAAGGATCACCCCACACCCCCTAGGCTGAGATTCAGACCTCACAGGAGAGAGGGTGGTTGTGGCCCGCCGCACAAAGTTTGCTTAATAGTTACAGGAGGTCCAGCAGGGCGTGGTGGCTCACACCTGTAATCCCAGCACTTTGGGGGGCTGAGGTGGGTGGATCACGAGGTCAGCAGTTCAAGACCAGCCTGGCCAACATGGTGTAAACCCCGTCTCTACTCAAAATACAAAAATTAGCTGGGCGTGGTGGCATGCACCTGTAATCCCAGCTACTTGGGAGGCTGAGGCAGGAGAGTGGCTTGAACCCAGGAGGCGGAGGTTGTGGTGAGCCGAGATTGCACTATTGCACTCCAGCCTGGGTGACAGAGCAAGACTCAGTCTTAAAAAAAAAAAAAAAAAAGAGTTACAGGAGGTTGCCACCCAGCAAGGTGGCTCACGCCTGTAATCCCAGCACTTTGGGAGGCCAAGGCGGGTGGATCACCTGAGGTCAAGAGTACAAGACCAGCCTGACCAACATGGTGAAACCCTGTCTCTACTAAAAATACAAAAAATTACCCAGGTGTGGTCGTGGGCGCCTGTAATCCCAGCTACTTGGGAGGCTGAGGCAGGTGAATTGCTTGAACCCAGGAGGTGGAGGTTGCAGTGAGCCGAGATTGTGCCATTGCACTCCAGCCTGGGCAACAAGAGCAAAACTCTGTCTCAACAAACAAACAACCCCCAAAATTAGCTGGGTGTGGTGGCACGCACCTGTAATCCCAGCTACTTATGGGCAGCTGAGGCAGGAGAATCTCTTGAACCTGGGAGACGGAGGTTGCAGTAAGCCAAGATTGCGCCACTGCACTCCAGCCTGAGCAACAGAGTTAGACTCTGTCTCAGAAAAAGAAACAAAAAAAAGCCTGGGCACGGTGGCTCAGGCCTGTATTCCCAGCACTTTGGGAGGCCGAGGCAGGTAGGTCACGAGGTCAGGAGTTCAAGACCAGCCTGGCCAACATGGTGAAACCTTGTCTCTACTAAAGATACAAAAAATTATCCAGACTTGATGGAGCACGCCTGTAATCCCAGCTACTCAGGAGGCTGAGGCAGGAGAATTGCTTGAACCCGGGAGGCGGAGGTTGCAGTGAGCTCAGGTCACGGCCACTGCACTCCCGCCTGGGTGACAGGGCGAGACTCCATATATAAATATAAATATAATATATAAAATATAAATATATAAAAATATATAAATATAAATATATATAAATATATAAATATAAATATATAAATATATAAAAATATAAATATATATACACATACATATATATATGTATATATTATATATATGTATGTGTGTATATATATATATATATATATATATATATATATATATATATATATATAGTTACAGGAAATTGCCTACTGAGGTGCCACTAAACTCACCGGGAAGCCACCACCCTCTGAATGTCCCAGCCCCCTTTGTGTGTGGGGAGGAAGGGATGGTTCTATAAGCCATTTGCTGCCATGTGCCACAAAGCAAGAAGGAAAAGAAAGTACACTGGAACCAGGATGAGAAGCCCCTTCATTCTGCTGTGTTCCTCTAGTGCTCTCTACTGACAAAGTTAAACACTGTGCCAGCTGGCAGAGAAGTATTTACAGGATCCTGCTCCAGTATTTCAAAGCATAGAAAAGAAGGTTAGATTTGGAGCTATGAGGTTATAAATTGATGGCAGGCACATACATGTTCTGCTGCAGAAGAAGGTATTTGATTACGGAGTGCTGTCCTGAGACCCCAGAAGGAGTGTTACATTGTACAGTTTATGTAATGCACCATTGTGCCTTTGTACAATCTAAGCAATTCTGGGTTCTGAACTGGACCTCAGGGGAATCACGACCTGTACCACTTTGTTATGATCATGTCTTGCAAACCTCAGTGAAGAGCTATCTGAAACACGGTGGGAAAATATGCCTCAGGGTGTTCTGCCTTTGTCTATGACCAAATCTAATCAACAGCTGCCATCAAGCCTGAAGCAATAAGAGCACCTGAGTTCTTGTTTGAGAAGAGGTGAGAGCAAGGTGATAAAGCCTTGGCTCAGCTTGCCTCTTACGTAGCTTGGATAAGACTTCTTTTATCATATATATAGTGTTTATTTATTTATTTATTGTTGTTGTTTTGAGACAGGGTCTTGTTCTGTCACCCAAGCTGGTCTGGTACCCAAGCTGGTCATTCTGTCACCCAGGCTGGAATACAGTGGTGCAATCATGGCTCACTGCACCCTTGACCTCTCAGGCTCAAGTGATCCTCCCACCTCAGCCTCCTGAGTAGTTGCAGCCACAAGCGTGAGCCATCATACTTGGCTAATTCCTATGTATGAGCTTTTAACCCCACTGAGCTCCTGGAATTTGACCTAATAATATTAGTACTTTTTTCCTTTTAAGGCAGCATACAATTTTCTTTTTTTTTTTTTGTAGATCATGGTGCAGCCACAGAGATGGTAGCCCCTCCCTATGCTCCCAGGTATACGATTTTAATAAAAGGACAGAAACCTTGATTTATCTCCACTACAGTTCCAATGCCAGGGGATGCAAACTCAAATATCTATACAGGTTAGGGATGCAACTTAAATGAGTGAAGCATGCAGATACAAGGCAAAAAGGAGTGATGGCAACTGTGGAAAACCATAGAATATATGCTTAAATAAAGGTAGTTGCTATTTAACCCCTGCATATTGTTGCCATGTAGATCTAATTGTCAGATATTCTAATTTTTCAAGAAAAGCTGGAAATTCAGATTTTGAAAACCTGAACATCAAATTTTAAAAACAGTAAAAAAGACGGTATAGGACAAACATATGTATGTGCCGGGTCGGCGGGGGGAGGGTCACATCCAGCTTGTGACTCCTACCCCATGCCTGTTTTTATGCCCCTGTACAATCCTTTCCCACACTGACTATGGGTGTGGCCATACTACTAGTTTTGGCCAACGGGACATTACCAAGTGTGGTGCATACCAGAGGTTTGATAAGCATTTGTTCACTGGGGCTTGTCCTTTCTCAAGTCACTATGCAGACGTTTGAATGATAAAAAGCCACAGGGAGGAGAGGCCCTAGAAGATGAAAAGTCATTTTGAATGAGTTCCCAGCTGATTGCATGTGGGCCCCGGCTGAGCCCGGGTCAGCCCACACAATTGTAAAATCATAATAAACCATTGTTATTCTAAGCTACTAAGTCTTCGGAGGTTTGTTGTGTTGCAACAGGTAACTGAAATAGAGGTCATATCTAATCCCTTTGTTTTACTAATGAATGTCCTAAGGGCCATAGTGGAACGGACCTGGTGAAATTCAGATAGCATGACAGTGGTAAGAACTTTCCAATTCTGTGCTCTTCCTATTGCTTTTCTTTCAATTCCCTTGGTGAAAAGCACCAGGTAAGGACTATGAAACTTCAAAGTCTACCTGCAGGGAACTTATACTGTGTCCTGAATGCATGCAAATTACTGTAACTTGGTCCTTGGTAATGGAAAGATTTCTAGGTCATCCAGCCTCTTTGACTTTATAGGTGCAGAGAATGCAAAAACACTTTGAGAAAGTGAAAAGCAGCCTCTGATATCTGGAAGCTGGCCTGGTACAATCAGCCATGCCATGATGTTACTAGACCACAGCCTGGCCCTTATAGCTAGGCTTTGTGTTTTCCTGTAGAACAAAAACAATTCCAAAGAACATCAACATCAGACGAGGTCATTCTGTGACCATGATAGATCCAGACAAATACAAGACCACTCTATAATCAGGTCTAAACACGATAAAAAGATAAAACCTGATGATTGTCCAAACCACAAAAAATGACTCAACATCCCCACTTGGCTAATATGAGGGAGCTGCTGCTGCACTTTTTTTTTTTTTTTTCGTTTTTGAGACAAGGTCTGGCTCTATCACTCAGGGTACAGTGGAGTGGTGCGATCTCCATTCACTGAAACCTCCACTTCCTGGGCTCAAGCGATCGTCCCACCTCTGCCTCCCAAGTAACTGAGATGACAGGCGCGCACCACCAGGCCCGGTTCATTTTTGTATTTTTTGTAGAGAAGAGTTTCGCCATGTTGCCCAGGCTGGTCTGGAACTCCTGCGCTCAAGCAATTCGCCTGCCTCGGTTTACCAAAGTGCTGGGATTACAGGCGTGAGCCACTGCGCCCGGCCAGGCTGCTGTTTCTTTATCTGCACAGCTTTAGCCTCAATCTAGAATTCCCTTCCTCTAGATAAGATGAACTGAGATGCTCAATCATGGAACGACCCTCTCTTCCTGACAGTATCTAATCCAGTGAAGCTCTCACTTCCTTAAACCCTCTCCCAAATCACTAACAACTCTTACCGAGAGGCCCTATCGTTCCTCAATGTGTGTTCTCAGTCACTGCAACTAGTAATAAACCCAGCTTGTTCAACGATCCGTGTCTTCCTGGTGGGATTTGGTTAGAGGGCACGGACAGACCTAAGTTACACAGAGTTGGAGGCTGAGTTCACTAGAAGGAGTCTCCGCTTGTGTGTTCCTTCTTAGCCACTCTTTTGGTTAGTGTCTGTCGTCCCTCCACCAGAATTAAGCTCCATGAGAACAGGAGCCTTGTCTGTCATGTTCAGAGCTGATTCTCAGCGCCTAGAACGGTACGCAGCGGAAGCTGGATGCTTAAAAAATAACCATTTTCTGAACGAATGAATGAGGGGCTCGATATACGCACGTCCCCTTTAATCTCGCAGCTCCTCGCAGATCGTGTGACATACAGACAGCACCACAGCACATTTCCCAAAACCCCGTCTTTCCCGAAGAAATCTCGAAACTCTCACTCCTGGGATGCCCATCCTCTCAGAGCCTCTTCCCCAGGCCGAGCTTCTCTCACTCGCTGGCCCCTTCCCACACCTGAGCCCCAGGTCTATACACCTTCCTAACGCACCTAGAACCCACCTGTCTCCACCATCTGCCCCTACCATCAGACACTGCCGGACGGGCCGCGCAGCTACCTAGGCGTCTAGGGAGCACTGCGGCATGGACCGCGCATGTGCGGAAATGGGTCGCATACGCAGGACCTCCGACAAGTGAGGAGTTGCCTCGGAGTTTCCGTCCCGGTCTGGGCAGCCTTGGGCTGCCAGGAAGTCAAGAGAAGCTAGCCGGAAGGACAACCCGGGCGCACGGCTTTCTGGGACACGTAGTCGTGGCGCTCTCGAGGCCCTGCCATGAGCAAGCTCTTAACTCTTCAGGTCTGCACGTCCTACGCCCACCGTCCAGTGCTACTCTCAGCTCGGAGTTCAGCTTCGGGCTGCCAAGAGCCAGCAACCTGGTGTCAGAGGCTCGGTCCCACAACGCTCTGCGGGCCGCGGCGCCTGCTGGGAGGTGTAGTCCCCGATCTGCGTACTGCGTTCGCCGAGGGGGAGGGCGGAGCTGCCGGCGGCCCGGGCGGGCTGGCAGCTAGAGTGGGTGCGATAGCCGCCTCCGCCTCTGCCGCCTCCGCCGTCGCCTCCTCCGCCCGGGCCGTTCGCTGCTGCGCGGGGAGAGCGAGGCGGGGCCGCCGGGGCCGCCATGGAGCCCGACTCGGTGATTGAGGACAAGACCATCGAGCTCATGGTGAGTGCGGCCCGCTGGACCGTCTGTGCTTCCGTCCGTCCGGCCCCGGGCGGGCCTGCCCACCTCAACGTCCGGTGCGAGGCCGGCTCTGGCCCTTCCCAGACGCCTCGACCCAGACCCGGGCCCCCAGCCTTCCCTGGCCTCGGACCTGGCGCGGGCTCCTCTGATCCCTCGACATCTCCGGCCGGTCCTGGCCCGGCCCCCTCCATGCCCCTCGCTTCTCCCCCTCCCCCTGGTCCCGTCTCCGGTCCCAGCTCTCGGACGACCCTCGCTCGTTTATGCTGTAGACTTAGGTCGCACTCGCTCTAGCACCCCATTCTCCTTCTTTTAGAAAGGGATTTTTTTTTCTTTCCTCTGTTTCGGCCCAGGCCCGCACCGCGCTTGCAAGCCCCACTCAGGCCGAGTGAGATGGTGGGAAGGAGTACGGAGATGGGTTGGGGCCGCCTGGGCCTCCGCGTCCTAGGAGAGGTCTCAGCACCCACTCCCCAGCCTAGGTCTGTGTGGATGCCAGGATAGGCCCTACAGAGCTGGGGGGGCAGGGAGCTTTCGGGTTTGAGGCTGTGGCGGATAAGGAGGCCTCTTTCCCGGGCCCTTGTGGTGTCCGGCTTCTCGGACAAAGGGTTTCCTACCCGGCGGAGAGGGATGTTTGCATAGCAAGGGCCCAGGTACTCTGGATTCCATCCTCCAGGAAAGAGAAGGCGCAACTTCACGTTTTCCAGAGCTGCTTTGGGAAATTGGAGATGACTGGGGAGGGAGCCATCCTCATCACTGCCGCGAGGTCTTTCTTCTCAGAAAGAAAAAAAAAAGAGGGGAATCCTTGGCCCCCGGGGGAAGCGACCACTCTTCTGTTAGAAACCACTGGCAGCCAGGCCAGACTCCCGGTCCGTGGACACCCTCCACCCTCCTCCGAAGCTTTAGGATTTGAAACCAGAAGGGGTTTTTAGGAACAGGACAGTGAGAGAGTGGCTAGAAGTGAAGAATTTGCTAATTGATGGATGATTTGGTGGAAGAAATAAAATATGGCAGATATTACCTGCCAACGTGAACATGAGGGAAATCAAATTGGGCTCTGGAGAGCTGGGAAGAGGAAGTCTGCATCAGCAAATGGACATGTCCAGGATTTCTTCCTATGGAAGCCTTGACAGTTTCTTTGTATCTTTCCTAACACGGTAACAACTTCTTCCCCAGGGTTGAGAGGAGAGGTGGAAGAATCTACTTAACCCAGCAAAATGTTTTCCTAGCCAGATTTTCTTCAGTGTGAAAATGTTTATTGAGTCAGTGATTCCACTGGGTAGGGTTGGTGACATCAGAGCCACTTCCCCCATTTAACGCTATAAATAATAAATGGTGACACTGAAAGTCTGTTGGATAGCTGCATGGTTTCTGTGGATGATGGTGTCTGGGGAGTTGAGATGCTTGTTTTAAAAATGGAAGTACAGTAGCATAAATATGGAGGCAGCTTAATGTTTGCTGTCCTTTGCATAATTCACAGAACTGGACTTCTCTAGCATTCTTGAAAACTAGGAGGGAAAAAAAGAAACTGATAGTTTTTGATTTTTGCATGCGTGTGTGTGTGTGTGTGTGTGTGTGCACGTGGGGTTGTTTTCAAAGGGATGTCACATACTGAGTGATTTTTCCTTTTCAGCATAATTTATCATACTTGTAGTCAAGTGTTTGGTATTCTGTAACTTTTGTAGTGGGTTATTTTGGTAACTATCTTAAATCGACTAAGTATATTACATATTCTTAAGAATGTACACACAGTGCATGTACTTACAACAGAAGTACTTCATATCGAAAAATTGTAACTTGGTGCCTCTTTGAAATTGGCTGTTCCCAGCTCCTTCCATTTCTATTCCTTTAAAAAATAACGAAAATGTATTTATTTTCAAAAGAATTATAAGAAATACGTTGTAACCCAAGTCAGTGTATGGTTACAAAATAAAAAAATAAAAACCTTTGGCCTAAATTCACTGGCTTCCTATGCTTATAACTTAAAAAGTTTTGATTTTACATGATAGCACTTGGTTTTGATCAGAAAAGAGATTTCAGCCTGTTAAGGACATTATAAACTGGGATTTAAACTGGAATTCTTTGAAAATTTAACAGAGTTTAGTTATATTACGATTAATTTTAAAATGGCCTTTTATTTAAGGATTTTGATATTTCCTGAAAGGGATATCAGTTAAGACTCTTAGACAACCCTTATCATAAATTAAATATGTGTATTTATTTTAGTAAAGTAGCACAGGTGCTTAACAACTGATTGAGTAAATCCAGGATCAAATGTAGGAAATAATGCCTTAGAATCTAATTGCATGTGGCTTTCTGTTTTCACTGCATTTCAATTACAGTTTCCAGAACTGGGTTAAAAATATTTTTTACATTGGTTTCAAGATAATACGATTGATGGAGGAAAAGGGGTTAAACTGATGGTGTTTTGAAAGCCTAAAGCATGAAATATTTTTAGATTTTTATGAGTCAGCTTCAGTACTCAAATATTTGTGATTGTGCTGCTTGTACCAGTTTGGCACTTAATGCTTAACAAGATAACTTTCATTTGCTGTTCCAAAGTGTGCTGTATTAAAAAGAGGAAACAGACTTCTTGGTTATCTCCATTTTCTAATCTTCATCCCTGTACTTTCCTTAATATTGATTCTTCTGTTTTTCCTTGCATTTTTGATAAGTATATTAGGAAATAAAGCTGGTGATAGCAGAATAGTTAAATTTCTAAAATATAACCCCCACTTTGACTCCTACCGCTGCCTGAGGCCTGGGTCCACCCAGGTTGCTTCTCCTCCTGACCCACTCTATAGGATTCAGCTTTGAATATTAGTAAAGTCTATAAGCTCTTAATTTAGACCCTGAATTTACAGTTACTAATGGTAAATAATTTAACCGCCAGATGACTTTTAGGGCCTTATATTGGCCCAGGGCTATACCTGTTAGTGGGCCTATTTTTCCAAACTTCTGAGTTTGGTAAAATTCGCCTTATGAATGAGGCAGAAAACTAGTAATTCATTTTGGAAATATGTAAAGTTTATCCGGCTATGTTCAATGGACTTCATTGGGAAGAATGAGAACTGTACAATATGTATCACGTGGTATTTATTAACCTTTGAGTTAGGAATATGACTTGATTTTCAGGCACTCATCACTAGAAAGCACTCACAAGAGCTTCTGATTGGAAGAGAAAGATGATTAGATTACCCTGTAAGAAGCCAGCAGAAATTGATGCTATCACTTTAGGAAAGGCGATCCTGCCTCCTCCACGGGTGTGAGTGAATCCCCTCTTCCCTTTACACAATTAATGGATGGTTTATAATTAATTGTTAAATGACTTCCCTTTTTGCTAAGTGACCTTAAGTGAGTCATTTCCCTTCTGTCTTATCTCTTAAGTGGCTGTATTACTTGTTCAATGAAGTAATGTAGGTTAAAATACACTGATCCTTATTAAGAAGGTGTGGGCAGGTGCGGTGGCTCTAGCCTGTAATCCCAGCACTTTAGGAGGTGGGAGGATTGCTTGAGCCCAGGAGTTAGAGACCAGCCTAGGCAACATAACAAAACCCTGTCTCTACAAAAAATAAAAAAATTAGCCAGGCATAGTGGTTCACTCCTATAGTCCCTGCTACTCAGGAGCCTGAGGTGGGGAGGATTGCTTGAGCCCAGGAGTTTGAGGTTGCAGTGACCTGTGATTGTGCCACTGCACTCCAGCCTGGGTAACAGAGCAAGACACTCTCAAAAAAAAAAAAAAAAAAAAAGAAAAGAAAAAAGAAAGAAACGAATAAATGAAGTTACTGGAAATGTTGTCTTTTTTTCTTTTTGGATCTTTTTTTTTTCTTCCTGTCATTGACTTTCTCGGGGTGAGTGGGGTTGTTTAGTGACTTCATCAAGAAATTGGATATTACTTTGTCACCACCTTTCTCCTCATGTAGCACACCACTAGGGGTGCTAACTTACTGAATGCAGACTCAGTGGACACAGGTTTCAATAGGGTCCAAATGAATAAACCACACACACACACACACACACACACACACACATTTATATAAAATATATGGACCTCACTGACCTGCCTAAAGAGGCATTGGCTCAAATATATCAATTTTTGCCCCTGATTTTGCAGTAGGTTAGATATCCTTTCAGATTTGACATGGATAAACATGTTCCTGCACACAAGTCTTGGCATTCTGGGCTCTTGACTGCTATAGTCTGTCTCCTGCAAATAGGGAGCTAGCCCAGGAGAATCACTCAGCCATTACATAGATTCACAACAGCACATATATGCCTCTTACTAGTGTTGTTTGAGCCTGTGAATTCTAGAAACAAAATTATCTGCCCTGTAAGATCTGTGGGATCCTGGGTTCTACCTTGTGATATTTGTTCTTCATAGAAAACAAAGCATTTTAAGTCCTAGTGATTCCAATTCCAGTCTTCCTTTGTATTCCATTCTCCCTTATGGCTTTTCTGCCTACTTTCCTTGCTTACTGTATATTCTAGCACATGGAGGACCATGGTCCTCCAGATTCTGCTCACACGTTTCCTTTGTCAGCACTGATAGGAATGGACCTAAGCCCATTTATTGAAGGCTACTGATATTTATCAAAAGGATCTAATAGGTGGTTCTCTGGCCAAATTGGCTTAGGTTATATCTCAGCAATCTTCTCTTTCATTTATGCTAATGAAGTCCTATCCACCCATAAAACACAATAGGTGCCACCTCTTTTGATGTCAGTTTATATTATGGTAGCAGAGACTGTCTGGTTTTTGTGTCTGTATAGCACTGCCTATATGACACTCAAATGAAATGAATGAATTCTGGCACTTTGTATTTATCCTGTAGCACTTAACATATTTCAGGCTTGTAATATAGTTACCTGTTTGTGTCCTCTGTTGAATGATAAACTCCTCATGGGAAGGGCTGGGACCTTAATTATCTTCCAGTGACACACAGTTCCTTCATACACACGGTGTCTTCTTTGTGGTAGGCTTTCAGGAAATGTTGGGTTGAATTTTCCTGGTGATCATTTTCAGACATTATTGCCTTTTGCCTGTGTCTTAACTATCCTCTTTTCTAAACATTTTCACCCACATTACTAATTCTCACAATAATCAGTTCCAAATTTTTATGGGACTTATCATATCATCCTATTATATTATAAAAACTTGTGGTTGTGCCTAAACTCTTCTTCTAGAGGCTGTGTTTGATTGCCCTGTTACTCCTCAGCACATGGGTGCTCAATATGGATTTAAATTAATGTTAGATTTTCTTTCTTTCATGCAGTGAAACCTTTTAAGATTTCCTTTTGAATATCTTAAGACAAAGGTAGAGATGAATAGAGAAGAAAGATGGGGAGGGGGAAGAGGTGGGTGGTGTGTTGTTTATAGGACATCCATAGACATATTAACCATTATTTACAGACTTTCCACACATACAGATTGATTTACATAGAACTCAGAGACTGGTTGTTAGCAAAGAACTGAGGAAACTGAATACTTTTTGCATCAGTTGGTGCAGGTTTGCCAAATAGTTGATAAGCTCCAAGGGCTCCATGACCTTAGAAAAGCATGGTTTAGCAGAAAGGGCATGGGCTTTGAAGTGAAACACCTGAGTTTGTATCCAAGCTCTGTCGCTTGCTAGCTGTGTGACATAAAGAAAGGTAACCTTTCTGCAGTATGATTTGATTATATGTAAAAATAAATAAGAAAACTTAGGTATTGGTCTGAGTTGTTGGGAGGATTATATGAGAGATGTGTGTGAAAGGACTTTGCAGAGGCTTGCTTTTCTTCAAATGCTGACCATACTAACTTTCCCCACAAGTACAGGGACCCTAAAGCGAAGTCAAGACCGATGGTGTGGAAAAGGTCTTTCTCCTGAGTTGCGCATGTATTTATTTGTGAGGCTTTACAGAAGACTAACATTTAGTTGCTTTTAGCCATACATTTAATGAGCCATCTTTGGGAAAAACAATGAAATCATGCAGAGTCAATACTGTCTTGGAAAATCTGGGAGGTACTATTTCAATGACTACCAATTTGGCGTAATTAGATCTATGCTGTAACTACAGAGAGAACCCACCCAGTCCTATTTTTATGCCTGGTATCCTGACAGAAAGAGACTGGTGATTAGTTTATATTGACATTGAGCATTGGGATTTATGTTTGATCGGTTTAGTTTAGACTGACCAAATTGTGGTTTTTGAATTCTTATTCTTACCATCATCAAAGCTGATGGTTTTAACCTTAACAGAATAAGCAGTGAGAATTCATACAAGATTTTCTTCTGAGTTGTATTGTTCATTGAATTAGATGACAATGGGGGAAGAAACGTGTTGGTTAAGAATGTGCTCGTTACCCTTGGTTAGTTTCTGCTGATCGCAATTGCTTAAGAGGAAGTTTGTCTTTGTAGGCAAATGAGAGACAGACCAGGAAGACCTGACAATCCAGTAGGGTATCTCTTACCTGGTTCTTAGTGTTTTAATGAAACTAAAAGATGGAAGAGTTCTGTGATGTCAGCGGGAAGCGTTTTTAGGAAATTCCCTCTCAGGTTGAGTTAACAATGAAGAGCTTCACAAAATGGAAAGCTGTGAAGTATAAACACTGGGACATTAATAGGAAAAATAAAAAAAAAAGCTTTGGCTCTTTGGCTTGTGATAGAGAGGTGTGTAAATATAAGCATATTGAATGTAGGAAACCATTGTATAGTAAAAAGCCTCTGATCCACAGAAGAAAAAGAAAGACTGAGGTTCTACTATTGTGAAAAAGGAACTTGAGTAATTTTTAATGTTTATTTTTTTAGGAGTTAACTGGAGAACATTGAACCAGTTTTGGTAACTAACAATAAAATATATTTTGGCCCTCTGAAATGACTACATGATAGATTCAAAGAGAAAGGGGGCAGAGGGGCAGGAAGAACTCAGTCCTGACACTACTCACCTGGCATCTGTTAATCTTTGTATTACTAGCATAAGGCCTGCCAGCAATTAGGGATTGAAGAAATATATATATACAATTAGGGATTGAAGAAATATATATGTGTGTGTATATATATATATATTTTTTTTTTTTGAAGGGAAGGGAGAAAAATTAACTCACTAGTACAGGGGAAAAGCCTGAGGATTCAAGAGGTCCAGAAATGAGTCTGTTAGTCAAATTGCTGTGGTTGTGTTTTGCTATAACTTGTTTTGCATTTTGGATAGTCGTACCTTGAAAAGCATAGTATACTGTTTTAGCAGTTCGCTACTAGCCATAGTTCCCTAGCTACTTCTGTCAAAATTGGGTTTCCAGTTTATTCTTAGGCTTAGGAGTAATACCACTTAATGGGAAAAACTTGAGAACTCATTATTTGCTTGGGATTTTACTTTTGTGATCTCCTTAAAGTTGTGAGTCTTAAGGTATTTTCATCTGATTGTTATGGCGAGGTTAATCATAGACCGGTATTTCAGTCACTTTAATTGCCTTACCTACAATATGAACAATCAGAACATCTTTAAGAGTCATTGCCTGTGGACTGTCAACAAATCTTAGAATTTAAAAATTACTTGGGTTCAGCTGGATTTGAGATTCTTTGTCACAGTTACAATCTTTGCTGCTAAACACAAAGACTACTTGAGTACCATTATAGTATGTCTTGCCACAGTCTTTTTTTTTTTTTTTTTTTTGAGACGGAGTCTTGCTCTGTTAACCAGGCTGGAGTACAGTGGCACGATCTCAGCTCACTGCAGCCTCTGTCTCCCGGGTTCAAGTGATTCTCCTTCCTCAGCCTCCCGAGTAGCTGGGATTGTAGGCATGTGCCACCAGGCCCGGTTAATTTTTGTACTTTTAGTAGAGATGGGGTTTCACCATGTTGGTCAGGCTGGCCTCACACTCCTGACCTCAAGTGATCTGCCCGCCTCGGCCTCCCAAAATGTTGGGACTACAGGTGTGAGCCATCGAGCCCAGCCTATAATGTGTTTTGTTTTAGCATTAATATTGTGGGCTTTAGGCTGGGCATGGGGGCTCACACCTGTAATCCCAGCCCTTTGGGAGGCCAAGGTAGGCAGATCGCTTGAGCTTAGGAGTTCGAGGCCAGCCTGGGCAACATGGTGAAACCCTGTCTCTACTTAAAAAAAAAAAAAAAAAGACAAGAAAAAAATATCATGGGCTGTAGAATTGCATGGCTCTTTGTTAATTAAATGCTTTTTTAAGTGGCAAGATCTAGGGAATTACCCTTTCAGGATGGCCCAACTGATTCATGTAGGCTGAAATATTTACTCTTCTGTATTTTCATTGTTCTCCATTTTGATGTTAATTAATTTAGGACCTTTGAGAGTAAAGCTTGATTTCTTCTCCTCTCTCAGAAATCATGGGCTTTCTGACCCTTGAACTGTGGAGTCCATAGTGCTCCATGAAAAGGGCATGGGCTCTACTACCTAGTAGATGTGGGACTTTGGATAGGTTACTTCTTTCTGCTCATCTTTTTTTGAGAATTAAATATGGGTAATTAATGTAAAGGGCTTGGCCAGTTAGTAGCTTTTCAATAAGGTAGGTATTACTATAATTACTGCAGGAGCATTTTGGCTATAATGTAGCAATTGTGGAAGTAGCAAATTTATGTTCGAGTAAGTTCAGTCTTTTTGTTTTTATCTTTGTTGTTCTGCTGAATGCTTTTTCTCTTTCCCTTTTAGTTTGTTTAGAATTTGCAGTCTAATTTGATATGGTAGAAAAAGAATATTGATATAATATGGACAGGACTTAATATTTAATGGTGTCACCTAGTAAATTGTATATTAGCGTTCTTTATGATTTTTCCCAGTTTACGTGATCATTGGCCATTGTACGGGACTGGCCTTTACTGAGTCAGAAGTTCAGTCTTCAGTTATATGTTTTGAAGCACACTATATTTTAGCTAAGGGTAGAGGATTTGGGTAATATGTAGATATGATGTCTTATATGTAGCAAACCAAAACATTTTGTTAGGTACGTAAATAAATATCTTTATGGTAGATATTTGAGCCCTCTCGTATCATTCTTTTTGGCTGACAAACTATTTTTCTAATGGTGGAGGAGCTGTCTTAGAAAATGGATAAGGAAGTTCAGTGTAGCTGAATGGTCTAGGACAATTTATATGGATGATAGGGTAGGTATTTTTTAGCTGCTCTCATTTGGAAGTTGCATGCTGTTTATCATGAGTAAATATTAACATTAGGGATGTTCCATTATTTGTTACGAGTTTTGTATCCTTTCAACACAGAGGTGAGGAATGCTGCTGCAGGCATTTTATGCCAAATAGCTGACTCAGGGGTTATAACTTTTTTCCTGTGCCTCAGATCCACCATTCCATTGACCCTTCCTTCCATTTCTTGGAGGCTGTCCTTTGCCGCTGGTGCCATGGTGGGTGTATGGATTGCTTTCTGTCTTTCAACAGTTACCGAAGTGCATGTTTGGGATTTTGTTGAAGAAAGCTGGATACAGTAAACGGAAAGAATCTTGGAAGATGCTTGACTGCTGTCTTTTCTCAGACTAGTCTGAAAGGGAAAACCCCCATTCATTCTGGATTGGTGGATCTGAAGTACAAAATATTTTCCAGGTAAGCAATTACCCTGTATTGTTTTGTTTTGTGGAACTCAACTCGCTGAAAGAAATTTTGAAAAATATTTTCCCTTATTTATTTTGTCCATTAATAGGGAAAGGGAGAAATATTAGACGTTTGTGCGTAGTGTCATGTTTGGCCATGTTTGAGTGTGGATCAGTGAAGGTCTATGTGTCTGAATTCCTGGTAAAAACTTTGTTTTACTGTAAGAAGTGCAGTTATTATTATCTTTGAGACATCAGGTCGCCCAGGCTGGACTGCAGTGGCACAAACATGGCTTACTGCAGCCTTGACCTCTTGGCCTCACACGATCTTCCTGCCTTAGCCTCTCAGGTAGCTGGGACCACAGGCACATGTCACTATGCTCAGCTAATTTCTTTTTTGTAGAGACAGGGTCTCACCATGTTGCCCAGACTGGTCTTGAACTCCTGGGCTCGAATGATTTGCCTGCCTTGGCCTCCCAGAGTGTTGGGATTACAGACATGAGCCACCACGCCTAACTCAGTTATTTTTATTGTAAGCCCAAATAGTTTTTATTCATAGTCTAATAGGAAATACAGTAAACAGAGACATATGTTGTTTAGGGAATAGCTTGTAAAATATGGAAAACAAATGGTAACTTTGAGGCATTCTCACATGATTTATATAATAGTTAATACCTGGTCAAAATATTTTTTGCGGTTTCATGTAAAGTGGTGATATTTTATTCTGAGGTCTCTTGGCAGGTCGTCTTGGGGAGGTTTACTAACTGTAGCAACTGCTTATTGAGAGCGAGTGCTACATGCCAGTTACCCTTGTATGCACTTTACATATATTACTTAATTGGCACAATGCTTCACCTGCATTTTACAGCTAGTGAAATGGAGCTCGTAAGCATAAACTGCCAGTTACTCAGGTCATACAGCTAGTAAATGGTAGAACCAAGCTTTAAGCTTGGGTTTAGGTGTCCTCAAAGCTCTGACTCTTTCTGTCTTACTACACTTGCTGAAGTTTGTACTTTAACCTTTAGATTTTCAAATTGCCTGTCTGCAAGAGCAAGGTGTGATTTTCTACAACACGTTTCCACTCAAAGAACACATGGTGGGTCATTGTTTGGCATGGTATTTTAATAATTTAATATGATTTTTTTTTTTTGAGGCGGAGTCTCGCTCTGTCGCCCAGGCTGGAGTGCAGTGGCGCGATCTCCACTCATTGCAAGCTCCGCCCCCTGGTTCATGCCATTCTCCTGCCTCAGCTTCCCAAGTAGCTGGGACTACAGGCGCCCACCACCACGCCCAGCTAATTTTTTTGTATTTTTAGTAGAGATGGGGTTTCACCGTGTTAGCCAGGATGGTCTCGATCTCCTGACCTTGTGATCCGCCCACCTCAGCCTCCCAAAGTGCTGGGATTACAGGCGTGAGCCATCACGCCTGGCCCATTTAATGTGATTAAATGCCACCGCGCCCAGCCCATTTAATATGATTAAATGCTTGCTTACTGAAAAATCAGATCTTCAGTCAGTTCATCAAGTGAATGTAAAGGTAATTTAGGGAGTATAGGAGAGACAATGCATTTAAATATCAAGATGTGCTTTATACAGGGAAGTATCATTTGGTCCAGTGAACTCAAACCTATATCTTCTCAGTTCCTCCTCAGTATTTATTATTTAAATAGCTCAGTAGTTCATTATGTAGACTTCTTTTGGCCTGTGGTTTGTCATCCTTACAAGTAAGGCATTGTCAGGCAACATTCTTGAAAACATGACTTTTTTCGGTATTTAATATTCTTTCTGGAGAACATCCTACTCCCTTTCATCTTAAAAAAATTTTCTTTTTATTGTAGACGGACATTCTGACTTCGTGATCCTTGTTTTAATTTAATACTTTCACATTTGCTAATATTTCTCCTCTGGTGAGATTGTGGCTCACTGCAACCTTTGCCTCCCAGGTTCAAGTGATTCTGGTATCTCAGCTGCCTAAGTAGCTGGGATTACAGGTGCGTGCCACCATGCCCAGCTAATTTTTGTATTTTTAGTAGGGATGGGGTTTCGCCATGTTGGCCAGGCTGGTCTCAAACTCCGGGCCTCAAGTAATCTGCCTGACTCGGCCTCCTGAAGTGTTGGGATTACAGGTGTGAGCCATTTTTCACTTTGTCTTCTGAAGGATAGTCAGGACAGTCTGGTGGTGGTGGTGGTGGTGGTGGTAGTAATGGTACTAGTAGTAGAAGTAATAGTTAATACTGGGTACTTATTCTTTATTGAGCATGATTCTAGATATTTTATACATATAAACTTTTTTTTATCCTTATACAGGTTGAGTATCCCTTGTCTAAAATGCTTGGGATCAGAAGTGTTGAGAATTTTGAATTTTTTTCAGATTTTCAAATATTTGCTGTATACTGATTCAGCATTCCTAATCTAAAATCTGAAATCTGAAAAGTTTCAATGAGCATTTCTTTTGAGCATCACGTTGGCACTCAAAACGTTTTGGATTTTGGAGCACTTTGGATTTTGTATTTTTGGATTAGGGATATTCAACCTGTAGTAACCTAATGAGGTAGGTACCATTATTTCCCCCCTACTGGTGAGGAAACTAAAGGGTAGAGTGGTTAAATAACATGCTTTAGGTCACACATCTTGTAAGGGACAAAGGTGAGATATGAACCCAGGCAGTCTGGCTTCAGAGAATGTGCTTCTTACCTCTGTTCTATATTACCTGTAGATTAGAGTATCATCCAGTGATAAAGGGGCAGAAATCCTAAAGACTAAAACTATATATTCTGATTTCAAGAAATCATTGCAAAAGGAAACAGTTTTATATATTTCTTACCTTCTGTAGAAAACAGTCTAGCTCTCAGGTTCTGCATTAGCCATCTCGGGCTGTCAGGCTGTTTCCTAAGGCAACTTGGAATAGGTTAGTTTGAGGTTACCTTTTAGTACAGTGCTGTCCCATAGAACTTTCTGCAATGATTGAAATGTTCAGTGTCTGCACTGTTCAATATGGTAGAGGTTTGAAGTGTGGCTCAAAGTAACTGAATTTTTAATTTTAATTAAATTGACATTTAAATAGCTACATGTGGAGATTTATAATTTACCATCATCCTAGATCTGGTCCTTGGTTTAACACTCACAGAAATTTGATCTGCTCAGCATGCCTAGACATCCCCTTATCCCAGGGTTGGACCAACATTAACCAACTTTACAAGACTGATGTGTAAAACCTAAATTTTAATTTATTAATTTACAGTGATATGTGTGTTGGCATGATTAGTATATTCTTTTCTTTTCTTTTTTTTTGAGACAGAGTCTTCGCTCTGTCACCAGGCTGGAGTGCAGTGGCGCGATCGTGGCTCACTGCAACCTCCGCCTCTCAGGTTCAATCGATTCTCCTGCCTCAGCCTTCTGAGTAGTTGGGACTACAGGCACGCATCACCACACCCAGCTGATTTTTGTATTTTTAGTAGAGAGGGGGTTTTACCATTGTTGGCCAGGATGGTCTCGATCTCTTGACCTTGTGATCCACCCGCCTGGGCCTTCCATAGTGCTGGGATTACAGGTGTGAGCCACCACACCCAGAGTATATTGTTTTTTGATAGGCAGATTTACTTACTAGGTCCTAATTAATATGCTAGTTTAATTTTTTCAAACAAGTCAGAGAGACCTGAAGACTCAAGCCAAATGACTGGAATATTCTCTTCATATAGGAAGACTCCATCAGGGAAGTAAGACGTCTGTTGGCCTGGGACTGAGACACCCTCATTCAGCTTACTTTTAGGGATGGTGGTTTTTCCCTGTGGTAAAGCCTCTTCGTTCACCTCTTCTGCTTGCTTTTGCTTCCCAGATCCTTTTATGATTAAGGCATTTGTTTTTAGACAGATTAGTACATTCAGCTTGAATGCACACTTGACTTACAGGTTTGGGAAGCCCTTTGTTTTCCTTAAGGTTCCTTTATCACTGCTGTAATCCATTTTGTGTTCATTTTCAACTCTGAGAAAACAGTTGAATTTTCCTTGCTTCCTTGTGGCCTCTTTATATTAAAGTGAGTTCAGTTTGGGTTATGGTGAATTTGAGTTGCCTATGGATGGATTGTCTAAGAAGAGAAGTATCTAGTAGGAATATTGGCCTGGAGTTCATTAGAGAGGGCAGGGTTAGAGAGAAATATTGGGGAGTTTTTAGGTGCAGTGGTAGCTGACTAGACTTTAGTACAGTTACATGATTACTCAGAGTATAGACTGAAGAATGTATGTATTGGTGTATGGGAATGGCAACATAAAGGAATGGGCTACAGCTAAGGTCAGAACCTGAGATCATATGTCATGTTGACCAAGAGGTGTTATTACTACCCTCTCCTCTCTTCCTTTCCTTTCCTTTCCTTCTTTTTCTTTTTCTCTTTCTCTTTCTTTCTCTCTCTTTTCTTTCTTCCTTTCTTTCCTTTCTTTCGTTCTTCCTCTCTCTCTCTCTCTCCCCCTTTCTCTCTTTTTCTTTCACAGAGTCTCACTCTGTCACCTAGGCTGGAGTGTCATGGCATGGCCTCGGCTCACTGCAGCCTCTGCCTCCTGGGTTCAAGCGATTCTCCCACCTCAGCCTCCTGGTAGCTGGGACTACAGGCACATGCCAACCCACCCGGCTAATTTTTTTATTTTTAGTAGAGACGGGGTTTCACTATGTTGGCCAGGCTGGTCTGAAACTGCTGACCTTGTGGTCTGCCTGCCTTGGCCTCCAAAAGTGCTGGGATTACAGGCATGAGCCACCGCATCCGGCCTCCTTTTTTTTTTTTTTTTCTTTTTTTCTTTTTAAGATGGAGTCTCACTCTGTTGCCCAGGCTGGAAGGCAGTGGTGCGATCTCAGCTCACTGCAACCTCCACCTCCTGGGTTCAAGTGATTCTCCCACCTCAGCCTCCCGAGTAGCTGGGACTACAGGCGTGCACCACCACGCCCAGCTAATTTTTGTATTTTTAGTAGAGATAGGGTTTTGCCATGTTGGCCAGACTGGTCTGGAACTCCTGACCTCAAGTGATCCTCCCACCTCGGCCTCCCAAAGTGCTGGGATTACAGATGTGAGCCAACCTCCCGGCCACACCCTCTCCTTTTCATCTTGACCTGAGAATTTTGTTACAGCCTGCTATTACTTACTCCTAGTCAGCAAACATTTGGGTTGTGACTTTCTCTTCTACTGTAATAGTTTGCTTAATTTTTGAAATGTGTTTTTGAGAACGTATCTTATGTACATTTATGCAAACTCAAATTTTATGCATCTGGTGACAAAAATAAGAGAAACAGAACCTGAACAGTGAAGACTGTGGATCAAACGTTAAGATGGGAAATGGGAATCTGTTCTTTCAGTCTGTCTTGAGTCCTGAGTGCGTTTTAGCTTGCTGTGATATGTGTGCTTATGGTATTTTAAAGACACACACTTTTAACATCACAACGTGAGGCCTAAATACAAGCCAGCTATTTTATCTGCTAGTCAGTTGAAGAAACTGTGAACTGTTCCAATGCTGGAGTAAAAATTAGTGGTGTTAGAATTATTGAGATGCTGTGTTGGTCTCAAGTATGGCATATCCTTAAGGGATTTTTGAGGCATATTTTTGTCGTATGCTATTTTCACCTTACATATTCACTTCAGACCCTAATTCCTAGGCCTCCTGCGACTCCACTGTAACTAAGTTTTGATAGTGAAAGCATGGAGACATGAAGAGTTCATTATAGCTACAGTCAATCAATACTCGACAAATTTTTTGAATGAATTACTATATCTGTGATACAAAATTAAGGTACAAAAGGGGCTGGGTGCCATGGCTCACTCCTTTAATCCCAGCACTTTGGGAGGCTGAGGCAGGTGGATCACCTGAGGTTAGGAGTTCAAGACCAGCCTGACCAACATGATGAAACCCCGTCTCTACTAAAAATACGAAAATTAGCCAAGCGTGGTGGCATGCGCCTGTAATCCCAGCTACTTGGGAGGCTGAGGTAGGAGAATCGCTTGAACCCAGGAGGTGGGGGGTTGCAGTGAGTCAAGATTGTGTCATTGTACTCCAGCCCAGGCAATAGAGCAAGACTCAAAAAGTGCAAAAGGGAGTAACCAGCGAAAAAAAAAAGTTTCTCATTCCTTCTAGCCACCCAACTACATTCTTGTGTAACCTTTCTATACATACGTGTATCCTGTACACATTATTTTTGCACCTTTTTTTAAGTAAAATATGACTCAGTTATCTTTCATATCAGTTCCCAAAGAGCTGTCATATTTTTTGAGGAGATAATTTAATTTAAAAGATACATGCTGATTTATTGTACAAATATGCCATAATTTGGGTAACCAGTTTGGACTGATGCATGTGTAGATGATTTCTAGTCTTTTGCTGTTACAGTTAATGCTATAAAGAAGAACTGTGCATATGGAAGGTATCTTCAGGACAGGATCTTGGGCATACTGACTAGGTGCTTTTATAAATCTGATAGACATTGCCACATTGCCCTCCAGTCACATTGCAGCAATTTATACTCTCACAGATCTTGAGTAACAGTGCTCTTATTTCCTGACAGTCTCATGGTATTACATGAATTTTAAACTGTTTGCTTTTTAAATTGTTCTTCTCTTTTTCCTCCATTAACTTTTTATTATGAAAAATATCATATACATCTAAGAGTTGAGGTAAAAAAGTATAACATTTATATACTCTCTTGACCTAGATTCAACAATTGTTAACATTTTGTCATATTTGAGTCATTTCTCTGCTACCCCCCTCCCTTCTCTTCCTCTTTCCCCTTCTTCCCTCCTTCCCATTTCTCTCCTTTTCTCCTTCCCTCTCTTACTCTGTCTTTTCCTTCCTCCCTACCTCCCTTTTTTGTTGTTAAAAATTTGAAAGTAAGTTGCAAACATCATAATACTTAACCCCTAAGTTTTCAGCATGTATCTCCTAAAATAAGGATAGTTTCTCTCTCTTTGTCTCAAACCATTACATGCATACACACAACCATATCTCCGTGTATACAACCACATTATATATAATCACATATACTTTATGCATGTGTAACCACAATACTGTTTTCACATCTAAGAAAATTAAAGTAATTCCATAATATAATATCAAGCATCAATTAAATCTAAATTTTCCTAATTGTCTCAAGAATGTCTTTGATACCACTCTCACTTCTTTAAAACAAACAAACCGACAAAACAGGATCCAAACAAAGTACATCCTTTGTATTTGGTTATGTTTCTTGTACTCTTTTTTAAGAACAGTTCCTTTACCCTTTTCCTTCCTTTGCCTGCATTAACTTGTTTGAAGAGACCAGCTCTGGTTGTCTTGTAGGATGTGTAACCTTGTGCATTCATTATTTCCTCGTGGTGTCATTTAACTGGTTTCTCTAGCTCCTCTACTTCCTGTAAACTGGAAGTTAATTGAGATGCATCCAGGTTAAACATTTTGACGAGAATGCTTCATCATAGGTGAAGTGCAGTTCACATTGAGTCATATCAGGAGGCACTTAATGACGGGTTATCCCGTTATGAGCAATGCTAACTTTGATTCCTTGGCGCAGCCAGATCTCTCCATAATGAAGGTAAAATTTTCTCTTCTGCTATTAGAGAGGAATCTATGGGACACTATTTTGGCACCTTGTAAATACCCTGTTTCATTACAGCCTTTCACTCATTGGTTTCATTATCCTGATCCTGAAATCGGTTATTACAATAGGGGTTGCAAAATTGTAGATTTTTTATTTTATTATTTTAAACAGAGTCTCACTCTGTTGCCCAGGCTGGAGTGCAGTGGTGCAATTTCAGTTCACTGCAACCTCCACCTCCTGGGTTCAAGTGATTCTCCTGCCTCAGCCTCCTGAGTAGCTGGAACTACAGGTGCATACCACCACGCCCGGCTAATTTTCATATTTTTAGTAGAGACAGGGTTTTGCCATGTTGGCCAGGCTGGTCTTGAACTCCTGACCTCAGGAGATTCGCCCACCTCGGCCTCCCAAAGTGCTGGGATTACAGGCGTGAGCCACCATGCTGGGCCAAAATTGTAGTATGAATGTATGTGTGTATGTATATATTTATTTATTTATTGAGGTGGAGTCTCGCTCTGTTGCCCGGGCTGGAGTGCAGTGGCGTGATCTCAGCTCACTGCAGCCTCTGCCTCCTGGATTCAAGCAATTCTCCTGCCTCAGCCTCCTGAGTAACTGGGATTACAGGCACCTGCCACCATGCCTGGCTAATTTTTGTATTTTTATTAGAGACAGGATTTTGCTATGTTGGCCAGACTGGTCTCAAACTCCTGACCTCAAGTGATCTGCCTGCCTTGGCCTCCCAAAGTGCTACGATTACAGGCGTGAGCCACCGTGCCAGAATTGTAGTTTTTAAATTGCCACTCCCACAGGCTGCCCCCATTTTTCTTCCTTCCTTTTTTATATCACCATACTCTCCTGGACTTTTATTTATTCAGTGTTAACAATCAATTACAGTCTTTGCTAATGCTCAGATTGTCTCAGGTTTGGCTACTGATAACTTTTTCTAGGTAGCTCCTCCTGTTTCATTTTGACATGACCCCATCACTGTTTTTTTTGTTTGTTTGTTTGTTTTCCCTTGGCTTTTTTGGCACAACAAGATGTCCCAGACTCACCTTATATTTCCATAAGGTGATCAGGAATCAGCCATTTCTCCAAGGCTCTGGTTCTTTTTAGTAAGGAATGGTATTTAGAAACTAAAATCATTGCCATGGGTTGTCATTGCTTCTAGACCCTTTCAGTGGACAGAACTAAGAAATATGTTTAAAAAGAACCGTGAGTTCATGTTATTTCTGATTCAGATGTAATATTAGAGAGACTTTTTTCTGACTCTGTTAGCCTTTTAATTTTCCAAATCTAAGGGACCTTGTCGGTATCATGGCCCCATCAAATTGAGATACACATTGTTACTTAAATAGGCAGATAAATAGTTTCATCCATTCATTATTGAGCATGTACTCTGTTCTAGGTATTGTTTGGGGAATACAGAACAGAATCAAATGCATACCTTGCTTCCAGAAGCTTGTAGTCTTTTACATAAAAAAGTATACCATAGTGTGAAAACTTGTAAGGATCACGGGAAGTAGACAAACAGTGTTGTAGGAGTTAGAAAAGGAAGGAAATTTCATAAGGGATATTTTAAAAACTTACCCTTGGCCGGGCGCGGTAGCTCACGCCCGTAATCCCAGCACTGTGGGAGGCTGAGGTGGGCGGATTACCTGAGGTCAGGAGTTTGAGACCAGACTGACCAACATGGCGAAACCCCGTCTCACTAAAAATACAAAAAAAGTAGCTGGGCATGGTAGTGGGTGCCTGTAATCCCAGCTGCTCGGGAGGCTGAGGCAAAGAGAATCGCTTGAACCCGGGAGGTGGAGGTTGCAGTGAGCTGAGATTGTGCCACTGCACTCCAGCCTGGGCAGTAGAGTGGCACTCCGCCTCAAAAAAACAAACAAACAAAAAAAACCCAAAAAAACTTACCCTTTGAGGCTCGAGCAGAAGTTAGACGTAAACATGGATGTATTGGGATAGTGGAGCTTCATAGCAAAGGGAACCAAGTGAACAACGGTTTGCAGACAGTGGTGTTTGTTGTCTATCTGGGAGACAAGTAAGTAATTCTGTGTATTGCCGGAGTATTGCTTGTGTGGAAGGGAGTATGGGTGATGAATTTGAAAAGGCAGGTTATAACTAAATCTTGAACTTTATCCCGTTAGGTCATTGGTCTCCAACCTTTTTGGCACCAGGGACCAGTTTCCTAGAAGACAGTTTTTCCACAGACCAGGCACGGGGAGTGGGGATGGAACTGTTCCACCTTAGACATCAGGCATTAGCTGGATTCTCTTAAAGAGCATGCAACGTAGATCCCTCACATGCGCAGTTCACAGTAGGGTTCCTGCTTCTGTGAGAATCTAATGCCTGGGCTGATCATCTGACAGGAGGCAGAGCTCAGGTGGTAATGCGAGTGTTAGGGGACAGCTGTAAATACAGATAAAGCTTTGCCTCCTGCTCATCTCCTGCTGTGAGGCCCAGTTCTTAATAGGTCACAGACTGATACCAGTCCACAGCCTGGGGTTGGGGATCCCTGCTTTATGTCATAAGATGCAAGCTAATAACCTGTGGATAGGTAGAGCTTCACAAACATATTTTATGTGGTCCACACGGATTTTTTTTTTCTTTTTTTTTTGAGACGGAGTCTCACTCTGTTGCCCAGGCTGGAGTGCGGTGGCGCCATCTCGGCTCACTGCAACCCTTACTTCCTAGGTTCAAGCGATTCTCCTATCTCAGCCTCCTAAGTAGCTGGGACTACAGGCGCACACCACCATGCCTGGCTAATTTTTGTATTTTTAGCAGAGATGGGGCTTTGCCATGTTGGCCAGGCTGGTCTTGAACTCCTGACCTCAGATGATCCATCCTCCTTGGCCTCCCAAAGTGTTGGGATTACAGGGGTGAGCCACCACACCTGGCCTGGTCCACACGGATTTTATTTATTTATTTATTATTTGTTTTTGAGACAGAGTCTCACTCTGTCACCCAGGCTGGAGTACAATGGTGTGATCTCACTGCAACCTCCACCTCCCAGGTTCAAGTGATTCTTAGGCCTCAGCCTTCTGAGTAGCTGCAACTACAGGTGCATACCACCATGCCCGGCTAATTTTTGTATTTTTAGTAGAGATGGGGTTTCACCATGTTGGCCAGGCTGGTCTCAAACTCCTGGCCTCAAGTGATCCACCTGCCTTGGCCTCCCAAAGTGCTGGTATTATAGATGTGAGCCACCGCTCCTGGCCAGATTTTAAAAATTGGGACATTTCATATGAAAACACTAATTTGTGGTTTTGTTTGAAAATTGGAGCTCAGTAGTAGCTGTCCTTTTGAGTCAGAGCTTGTACTTTCCTGTACGTAACTCCTATGAGACCAATTTCACTTTATCTAATTGGTCATATACATTTTTAATTTTTATTTTTTTGGGTCAGAATCTTGTTCTGCCACCCAGGCTGGAGTACAGTGGTGTGATCATGGCTCATTGCAGCCTTGACCTCCTGGACGTAAGCTATTTTCCTGCCTTAGCCTCCCAAGTAGTTGGGACTGCTGGTGCATGCCACCATGTCTGGCTAAGTTTTAAAATCATATTTTATTTTTCGGTACAGGGTCTTCTTGCTCTGTTCCCCAGACTGAAGTGGTGCAGAGGTGCAGTCATAGCTTACTGCAGCCTCTAATTCCTGGGCTCAAGCCATCCTCCCACCTCAGCCTCCAAGTAGCTGGGACTACAGCAGCATGCCACCATGCCCAGCTAATTTTTTAATTTTTTAATTTTTTTTTTGTAGAGACGAAGTCTTGCTGTGTTGCACAGGCTGGTCTTGAACTGGCTTCAAATGATCCTTATCTCTCAACCTCCTGAAGTGTTAGGATTATAGGTGTGAGCCACTGCATCTGGTCTATTTTTATAATTTTTTTTAGATACTGGGTCTCACTGTTGCCCAGGCTGGTCTCAAACTCCTGGCCTCAAGCAATCTTCCTGCCCAGGCCTCCTGAGCTGTTGGGGTTACAGGTGTGAGCCACATGTAAGTTTTTGAGCGTGTGATCCCTGCCTAGATTGGAGGAGGTATGAGGGTGGTGGATGTGGTTGAGAAGGGAGGTGACTGTGAACATTAGAGCAAGATCTGTGGTTTACAAAGATCACTCCAGTTGTCAGATTAGAGGATGCTTTAGAGCAGGGCAAATTGGAGCAGGGGGACTGATTCATTTACTGTTGGAATGTCCCAGGGAAGGAAAGATGAGATAGTAACAGATGGTATGAAGAGGAGGAAATGAGACATTTTAGATGTAGAGTGGATGACTGTGTTGATAGCTGTGCGTATATGTGTGTTTGTATTGATATGAATGTAAATCAGACTATTAAGAGAGTCCTGTTTCTGAAAAGCTTTGCCTTCATAAATCAGTGTCTGAAAGTTAACTGCTTGTTTTTATAACCTGTTGGTTAATTTTGGAAGGCAGTAGTAATAGTTTTAGGCATGTCGTCACCGTAAAGCTTAGTTTTATAATATGCAAATAACATGCTTCTGCAAAAAATGTAACTTCGACCTGCCTTTATTTTTGAAAATTGTGCATAAAGTAAATATTTATAGTGCGATTCTTTTTTTCTATAATTTTCCTTATAATTATGGAGCTAAATTTTTAAACAAGATTGGAAAGCTATATACTTATTTTTAAGGAGCTTGCTGCATGTATTTAATTTTCCTACAATCGCTACTAGAAGTTAAAAGGATAGTGAATTCATAAGGTCCTTTCCCCCACACTTAAAATTATACCATATTATGATCATCTAGACTGTTTATAACTATTTTGTCAGAAATTCTCCCTGATTGGAGCATGACTTTATCTAGTTCCATTACCGGTGCCATTATTCTGGATATTTAGTATTACCTCCAGCCCACACATGCTGAGGGAGATAGACATGAAGTACATGTAAATGGGTAGACTAGAAGTGAGATTGACTGACAAGCCATGCCTGGCTACTGTGTAATAAGCTTCCGGCTTTGGAGGATAAACAGAGATTGGTTAAAAGAGCATTTGTATAGGTATGTTTTATTGTGTATAACTTACATTAAAGAATACATGTTTTAAGTGTACAGCTCAATGAATTTTTACATGTGTGCACAGCACATCGTGTAACCACTACCTAGATCAAATTATAGACCTTTTCCAGAGCATTTCAAGGCTTCCTCTTGCCTGTAGCTCATCCAGTCAATGAACTCTCTTCTTAAAGGCCTTTTCTGACCTCTTTCACTGTAGGCTAGTTATGTCTGTTTTTGAAATTTATGTAAATAGGATTATAGAGTATATACTCTTGTGGTTTTGTTCCCCCACTCATTATTATTATGTCTGTAAAATTCATCCGTTTTATTATGTGTGGCTGTAGTTTTTTTTTTTCTATGCATTATTCCATTGTAAATATTCAGTTTGTTTGTTTTACTTGGTTGATGAAATGCTTGGGTTGCTGAGTACTTGGCTGTTATTGATGAATACGTGAGTTGCTTCTAATTTTTGTCTGCTACTGTGGACAGCAATTCTAAGGTAGACATGAGCACTTGTTTCTCTTGGGTATGAGAACCCAACAGAATTACTGGGTAATGGGGGTAGGCATATATTTAGCTTTAATAGATACTGCTTGTTTTGGGAAAAACTCTCAAACCATGTTTTTCCTCTGCTCTCAAACCAGTACAACAGCAGTCATGAACACAGAAGAAGGCTTCTGTGACCAAATGTGTGGGAGTGGGTTTCTCTCCACCACTAGTGAGCAATCAGTTCTGCAGCGGGCACCAGCTGTGTGTTCCCCAATTCAATTCCGACACAATCTACCTAGAGATAGTGTCCGATCCCACAGATTGAGGGCTTGGTCCCCGAGATTGCCCCCCTACCCCACATACCAGTGGCAAGCCTGGGCTTTTGTCCTTCTGACCAACTTGCTTCAAGTTGGGGTTCCCGCTACCCATACTGTGGGTTCAATTAATTTGCTGGAAAGGCTCACAGAATTCAGGGAAACAGGTAACATTTACCAGTTTATCATAAAGGATATTATTACAAAGGATATAGATGAAGAGATGTGTAGGGTGAGGTATGGGGCAGAGCTTCCATGCCCTCTGTGAGTGTGCCACCCTCCAGGAACCTCCACCTGTTCATCTGTCTAGAACCCTGTCCTCTTGGTTTTTTTGTTTTGTTTTGTTTTTGAGACGGTCTTGCTCTGTTGCCTAGGCTGGAGTGTAGCGGCACAAACAGCTCACCACAGCCTTGACCTTTCGGGCTTAAGCAATCCTGCCTCAGTCTCCTGAGTAGCTTGGATCACAGGTGTGCACTCGGTTAATTTTTCATTTTTTTGTATAGACCAGGTGTTCCATGTTTCCCAGGCTGGTCTCAAACTCCTGGGCTCAACTGATCCACCTGCCTTGGCCTCCCAAAGTGGTGGGATTACAGGAATGAGCCACTGCTCACATCTTAGGTTTTTATGGAAGCTTCATGACATCGGCATGCCTTCCCCTGGGGTATAAGGCAGGACCCTCTCTGCAGAGGATCTTAAAGATTAGAGTCGTGCCTCGGGTCAGGTCAAAGGAGGGCTGGAGAAGGTCACCGAGATTCCGTTTCCTGAGGCCTAACTTACCTAACATTATAACAAAACACTGTAACAAGGGCTGTGGGAGTTTTGCTGCATTGGATGAAAACCAGTATGTATGTGTCATAACACCACACTGCTAAACTGTCTTCTAAATGTCTGTACTCCAGTTGGTTCCATCTCTAATGTAGAGCATTCTAGCCATCACTTGGTATTTTTAGTCCTTTAAAATTTAGCCCTTCTGGCTGGGCGTGGTGGCTCACACCTGTAATCCCAGCACTTTAGGAGTGGATTGCCTGAGGTCAGGAGTTTGAGACCAGCCTGACCAACAAGATGTAACCCCGTATCTACTAAAAATACAAAATTAGCTGGGTGGTGGTGCATTCCTGTAATCCCAGCTACTTGGTGGAAGGCTGAGTGAGGCAGGAGAATTGCTTGAAGCCAGGAGGCGGAGGTTGCAGTGAGCTGAGATTATGCCATTGCATGCTAGCCTGGGCAACAAGAGCAAAACTCTGTCTCAAAAAAATAAATAAATAAATAAAAATAAAAATAAATAAAATAAAATTTAACCCTTCTAATGGGTGCGTGGTAGTATCTGTATTGTGGTTTCTGTTTTTTATTTAATCAGCTTTATTATGGTTTACATTCAATAAAATCCACTCATTTTAAGTGTACTGTTTGAGTTTTGAGAAATATATATACTCACATAACCACTACTGCTATCAAGATATGGAACATTTCCGTCACCCCAAAAAACTTCCCTGTTCCCCTTTTCAGTCATTTCTCTGCCCCAGCCCTAAATAACCTGCCTTCTATAACTATAGATTAGTTAAATATGTTCTGGAATTTCATATAAGATGGAATCATACAAGATGCACATACTGTATGCACTCTATTATGTTTGACTTATCTTAGATTCATTCTTGTTGTATCAGTTCATTCCTTTTTATTGCTTAGTAGCATTGCATTATATGAGTATATAACTGTTTACCAATTCTACTGATGGATGTTTAGGCTGTTTCCTGCGTTTGGCTATTATGAATAAAACTTGGGTGAGCATTTGTATTCAGATCTTTGTGAGGACATCTTTTTTCTCTTGGGTATACTTAGTAGTGGATTGCTGAGATAGAGTAAATGTAAAGGAACAAACTATTTTTCTATACGCTAACATCATTCCTGACTCCAAATGTTTTTTGTTTCCACACCAAAGCAATTCTTCAGTTATTTGCAGACACCAACTGGGTGTCCTGTAGTTCAATTCAATTCTGACTGTATTTACCTGGAGCTAGTGAGATCCCTTAAATTAACCAAAAGACTGCCCCCACTTAAGGTGCCAGTCACAAGTCCTAAGTTGCCAGGGTACTTTTGGTTATAACTTGAGGGGTCTCATGATCACCTGCTCATGTTCAGTAATTTGCTGTAAAGGCTCACAGAACTCAGGGAAATACTTTACTTACATTTATTGGTTTTTAAAAAGAACATTATAAGGGATACAACTGAATAGTCAGACTAAGAGGTATGTAGGGCAAGGTCTAGAAGGGTCCTGGGTGCAGGAGCTTCTGTCTCTGTGAAGTTGGGGTATACCATCCTCCTGGTAGAGGCATATGTTTGCCATCCCAGAAGTTCTCTGAACCCTGCCCTTTAAGATTTTTTTTTTTAATGGAGGTCACATTACCTAGGAATGATTAATGATTAATTAATGATTAATCATTGGGCATTGGTGATTAACTCAATTCCTAGCTCCTCTCCCGTCTCCAGTCCCTTTCCTTTTCCCGGAGATGGTGGTGGGGGCAGTGAAAATTTGGATCATGGTTCCTCTAGCAGCCAGCCCCCATCTTCCAAGAGTCACCTTATTAGCATAAACTCTAGTATGGTTGAAAGTGGCTTATTTTGAATAACAAAAGATGCTCCTCTCAATACTATCACTCAGGCAATTCCAAGAATTTTCGCTTTTGTGCCAGTAATGGGGGTCATCAGGGCAGCAAAGATCAAATATATGTTTCTTATGTCACAAGATGTATA
The DNA here is from genome assembly GCF_000001405.40 of Homo sapiens. NCBI lineage: Eukaryota > Metazoa > Chordata > Mammalia > Primates > Hominidae > Homo > Homo sapiens. The sequence continues at coordinate 171,980,783 of NC_000005.10, read as the reverse complement.
TTTTGTGTTTCAAGAAACTGCCAGATCTTTTCCCAAAGTGGTTGTACATTCTTATACTTCCTCTGGCAATATGAGTTTAGTTGCTCTACATCCTAGTCAGCAATTGGCATTGTCAGTCTTTTTAATTTTAGCCATTCTCATAGGTGTGAAATGGTATTTCATTGTGGTTTTAATTTACATTTCTATGTGCCTATTGCCCACTTGAATATCCTTTTTAGAGATACGCCTTTTTTGACTTTATAAAAAAAATTGAGTTTTCTTCTTACTAATTTATGAGTCTTTTTATAGTCTGGAAATTAGTCCTTTGTCAGATGCGTATATTGCAGACATCTCCTGTTTTGTGGCTTGCCTTTCCACTGTCTTAATCATGTTTTTTGATGGATAGCAGGTCTTAATACTAATGAAGTCCAATTTTTTATTTCATGGTTACTGTATTTCATGTCCTGTTTGATAAATTTTAAGGTCTTCAAGGTAATTTTATTTATTTCTAGAAGTCTGTAAAAAGTAAAGTAGAGGTTTGTCTTCAAAGACTTTCCTCCCCATCTAGTTAGGAATAAATAGTAACTTCTCTTAAAAGCAAAATTTATTCAAAGACCTGTACCATCATTCTTAAATATCTGCTAGCTGTAATAAAGAAATCAATATACTTTATGTTCTTAGCTCCCACAATTTAGCTTAAGTATTTGCCCTGGCATGCTTATACTGGTCCAAGCAAGCATTAGGTCATAGCCTGTTCCTCTTCCTTATTTGAAGGTGTTTTTACCTTTCTCAGCATTCCACAAGTTACTTCCTTCTTCCTTTGTTCTCCTCTGCCTTTGCCTCTTTTAAAAAGTTCTAAGTTGCTAGCCAATCGGGACAAATACAAAATGTGAGGTCCTGTTCCAGCCAATTGAAACTGGACACGGCAGTAGGGTGGACATGTCAGGTTATAAATGACCCTGTCTCGTTTGTTCAGTGTACTCTCGTGGCTAAGCTGCTGGCGAGTGTACCCTTTCTGCAGAAAATAGAAAAATGGCCTTGCTGAGAAAATTAAATTTATGTTCAAGTGCCATTTCTTTACGGCACCAGGGAACAAGGCTTTCAAACAAGTCTTAGGGTTTTACTATCTCAAAATAATTGTTTTTTATGGTTGCGGTAGGGATCAAAGTTCGTTTTTCCCCCATGTTGTTAACCAGTTAGTCCACCACCATTATTTACACATATATTAAAAAATAATTGCAAAATTATTGAATAGGAACTTACCTTTTTTTACAGAAGCAATTCACATTTATTATAGAAAAAATGAAAATAAATATAATGTAAAATAAGATGGAAAAATGTAATGAAAAACGTAAAGTAAGATGGAAAAAGAACAAAGTTTCCATTATAACTACTATTAATATATGGTATGTATTCTTCCCTTCCTTCATCTATACATATACATGTACATATGTATGTATGTATGTATGTATTATGTATGTATATATTTATTTTTTGAGAGAGGGTCTTTGTTTCCCAGGCTGGAATGCAGTAGCATGATTGTGGCTCATACCTTGACCTCCCAGGCTCAAGTGATCCACCTCAGTTGACTGAGTAGCTGGGACTACAGGCATGCAACACCATGACTGGCTAATTTTTGAAGTTTTGTAGAGACAAAATATAGGGTTTTTGTAGAGACAAAATGGGGTCTCCCTATGTTGCACAGGATGGTCTCTAACTTTTTTTAAGAGCATGAGTATTTCATATAGCCAAAGGTTTTACCCACTGTTCTTAACCTTTATGAACATGATGTGACATGACAGACTATATTCTCTGCATGAAACATGCTTTCTTCATGTTTATGCCATTTTAGGGTTTTAATAAATCAAAAAATCTCAGTTTAATTAAAGATTTAAAGATTTAAGTTACTAGTGACATTGGATGTATTTTTCTAATGTTTGTGGCTATTCGTATTTCTTTTGTGAAGAAAGAGAAGTGTTAAAATTAGCTGTAGTTCTGCTCTGCTGCTTCTAGGTGCATGGGGGAGTGTAGCGGAAGGAAATCACTAGGGTGAGGAACTTCTGATTTTGTCGTGACTGGGGCACTGCTGCTGCCCTTTTGTGATTGAAATGGCCATTTTTGTTAAAAGCCAGCTGTGGAAGTGTTTGCCTCACTCTGCATACTGTCCATGGCAAATGGAAATTGGGTCCCTTCTCTGCGTAGACTCTGGCTCTGGATGCTCTCTGTGAGACACTTTAGGATCAGTTGCTGTTGGCTTCACTGACAGCTTCAAGGACTCTCACTCCTACTACTAGCCTTTGCTGCTTTGAGGTGGGGTTCTGTTGGGAATTCCTTCCCCTTCTCAGGTGGGCTTTTATTTCTTAATATGCACTGAACCCTATTTCTCGTCCAGTTTTTTCCTGTATTATGTTTATAGAAATACCTTGAAAAAACTTATATATGTGGAGGGCACCACTGGACAGGTTTCAAGTGCCAATGTAGTTTGTCTTTTACTTTGATATTCCTTTGATGATTTTGGTTGCATCAGTCAGTAACCCCAACTTTGACACCTCTGTTTTCCTCCTGAGTCTTGTCTATTTTTGCTCTTTTTCACCCTCGCTTTCTGCACTTGAGTCACAGTGATTTTTTTTTCTTTTTCTCTGTTCCTCTGAACCTGCTTGAGGGTTACAACAAGCATTATAATTTGTTCTCATTATTAGGGAGGGGTCACCCTTTCTTCCTTGTCTAGTTAACCTCTGCTTGTCCTTTAGAGTTGAGCTGAAGTGTCAACTCCTTAGGAGCCATGCCTGGGTCCCCTAGGTACCCTTATAGATTAAGTTCCCTTGTCATGCTCTAGCAGCAGTCAGTTCTTTTTTTATTTTTACAGCTGTTAATGTAACTGTAGTTTACAAATTGATATGGTTTGGCTGTATCCCTACCCATATTTCATCTTGAATTCCCATGTGTTGTGGGAGGGACCCCGTGGGAGGTGATTGAATCATGGGAGCAGGTCTTTCCCATGCTGTTCTCGTGATAGTGAATAAGTCTCACGAGATCTGATCTTTCTTAAAAAGGGGAGTTTCCCTGCACAAGCTTCTCTCTCTTTGCTTGCTGCCATTCTACTTAAGATGTGACCTGCTCCTCCTTGCTTTCTGCCATGATTATGAGGCCTCCCCATCCATGTGGAACTGTAAGTCCAGTTAAACTTCTTTCTTTTGTAACTTGCCCAGTCTCAGGTATGTCTTTATTGGCAGCATGAAACGGACTGATACACAAATGTATTGCGTAATCCCCTGCTAGACAATCAGCTCTTATTAGAAAGTAATCTCCATGGGGGCGAGGATCATATCTGTTTTGTCATCTTCAGTTCATGGCATATTCATTCCCAGCATCTGTCTTAGTTTGTTTTGTGCTGCTATAACAAAATACCTGAGACTGGGTAATTTATAAAGAACAGAGATTTCTTTCTCTTCCTCTTTCTTTTTTCTTTTCTTTCTTTCTTTTTTTTTTTTTTTTGAGACATGGTCTTGCTCTGTTGCCCAGGCTGGAGTGCAGTGGTGCAGTCATGGCTCACTACAGCCTCACCTTTCTAGGCAGGGTTCAAGCGATCCACACGTGCCACCATACCCGACTAATTTTTAAATTTTCTGTGAAGGTGGGGTCTCCCTATGTTGCCCAGGCTGGTCTTAAACTCCTGGGCTCAAGTGATCTTCCTGTCTCATCCTCCTAAATTGCTGGGATTACAGGCGTGAGCCACCCTGCCTGGCCAGAGATTTCTTTTTTTTTTTTTGAGTTGGAGTTTTACTCTTGTTGCCCAGGCTGCACCATTTTGGCTCTCTTCAACCTCTGCCTCCTAGGTTCAAGCGACTCTCCTGCCTTAGCCTCCCAGGTAGCTGGGATTACAGACATGCACCACCACACCTGGCTAATTTTGTGTTTTTAGTAGAGATGGGATTTCACTGTGTTGGTCAGGCTAGTCTCAAATTCCTGACCTCAGGTGATCCACCTGCCTTGGGCTCCCAAATTGCTGGGGTTACAGGCGTGAACGACCACACCCGGCCCAGAGATTTATGTCTTAGAGCTCACCTGGAGGCTGGGAAGTCCAAGGTTAAGGGACCTGAATCTCAAAAGGGCCTTCTTGCTGCATTATCCCAGCAGAAGATGGAAGGGCGTGAGAGAGCTTTGCTTGATAGAGCAAGAGATTGAACTTGCAGCCTGAAACCCTTTTATAATTGGCATTAATCCATTCATGAGAGTGGAGCCCTCATGACCTAAACACTTACCATTAAGCCCCACCTCCCAGCACTGTTAGATTTGGGATTAAGTTTCCAACACATGCTTTTTGGAGGACATATGCAATCCATAACAGCATCTATCACAGTGCTTGCCAAGCAGTTGCCCAGTCGAATGAGGGAATAAATTTGGAAGAGCAAATGAGAATTACTATCTTATATCAAAAGGCTATTTCTACTTCCAAAGTGAGTATATTTGCTACTTAAACTCTTGGTGTTTTCTGTTTCAGTACCATCTCGTAATTGACTTGATCCTGAAAATTAAATAATTGGCATCAGAAACTTCTTTCAGAAGTTGAAAAAGCATCCCCTCTCCCCTCTCTGGTTCTAAACCAGATTTTAAAACTGTCGTTGACTTGTAAGTCGTCCAGATAGTTTTATCTCACTGTTACTTCAACTATCATTTTGAAGGAGTTGTCATGGCCTTAACTGCTGCCTTCCCCTCCTTCTTCCTCCCTTCCTCCCCTCCCTCTCTCCATCCTTCCATCCTCATGTGTTTTAGTGATTAATAGGTTGATTATTCCTGTGAGTTGTTAGTAAATGCTGTATATAGTCTCCTTTTGGAAACTCACCTGATAATCATCATTTTAATAATGTGTTTCCCAACATTTCCCAAACTTTCTGATCCCAGAATTCCTCCCCCCATATATTTGGTTCGAAATCTGTGTGATCCAAGAGACACACTTTTGGAAATGCTATTCTTTATGATTTTTGTTCGCCCTAATCCCTTTTATTCACCAAGAGTTTCTCTTGTCATCCTGCCAAAATAAGGAGGGAGGAGAGAACTAGTATTTGTTAAATACCTACTGTTTGCCAGATTTACACCCCCTGTTTCTTTTAACCTTTACTGTAACCTTGAAAGGTAGACTTGTTTTCCACATTTTAGCATGGGAAGAAGTAGGAACTGGAGGTGATTAATTTTTGCCCAAGGTCACGTAGATAGCAAAGTGATAGATTTTATTTACTTACATTTTACTTATTCATTTTTACTGTAATGCCTGTGCTCTTTCTCACACCAGCATGGGGTAAGAAAAACTCTTCTGATTGTTCTAGAGGCCCCACCTCTGTAATAACCACATCTTAGCCAGCAGCACTCGAGAGAGCCTGAGGCTCAGGAGCAGCAGGATCTCCAGGCTGTGGCTGGCCAGCAGCAGATTCTCTGCATTTGGGTAGATTGAGAAGAAAAGGGGGAAGCCTTGACTGCCTCTGCCTAAACTGCCTCTGTAAACTCTCATGTTCCTTCCCTTCCTTGTTCTCCCAGCTCCATTCTTTTCTAGTGGCATATGGCTTCTTTGTTGGAGTTTTAGGTTGATTTTTATTTAGTAATTTCACAGCTATTGTTTATTGGATGTCTCTTTTAATATAGCAGGTCTTGTACCTCTCCAGCCATTTAAACAGCTGACTCTTAGGTTATATAACTTGCTTGAGGTCACATAGTATTGCCAGGCGTGGTGGCTCACGCCTGTAATCCCAGCACTTTGGGAGGCCGAGGCGGGTGGGTCACTTGAGGTCAGGAGTTCGAGACTAGCCTGACCAACACAGTGAAACCCTGTCTCTACTAAAAATACAAAATTAACCGGGCGTGGTGGCGCGTGCCTGTAGTCCTAGCCACTTGGAAGGTTGAGGCAGGAGAATCACTTGAACCTGGGAGGTTGAGGTTGCAGTGAGCCGAGAAAGTGCCGTTGCACTCCAGCCTGGGCAACAAGATCGAAATTCTCAAAAGAGGTCACATAGTGTTAGACTTGGGATCTTAACCAACCTTTGCATGTTTTTTTGACAATGATATCTCTCTCTGTGTTTTTAAGAGATGAGGTCTTGTTATGTTGCCCAGGCTGAAGTGCAGTGAATATTTATAGGTGCAGTCGTAGCACACTGCAGCCTCTAACTCCTGGCCTCAAGTGATCCTCTTGCCTCAGCCTCCTGAGTAGCTGAAACTGTAGGCATAGGTTATGCTCGGCTTCTTCCTGTTTTTTTTTTAGCTTCAAGAAATTTATGTATAAGGGAAACTTATAAGCAATTAAAACCTATAAAATCATGTGTTTGATGTGCTACCTGTATATATGTGTGTGTGTGTGTATTTTTTTTTTTTTCTTTTTTTTGAGACGGAGTTTCGCTCCTGTCATCCAGGGTGGAGTGCGATGGTGTGATCTCGGCTCACCATAACCTCCGCCTCCTGGGTTCCAGTGATTCTCCTGCCTCAGCCTCCCAAGGAACTGGGATTACAGGCATGTGCCACCACGCCCGGCTAATTTTGTGTTTTTAGTAGAGATGGGGTTTCTCCATGTTGGTCAGGCTGGTCTCAAACTCCTGACCTCAGGTGATTCGCCACCCTCGGTCTCCCAAAGTGCTGGGATTACAGACGTGAGACACTGTGCCTGACCTATGTTTTTACAATATATATTTAAATTAAACATGTAGCTATGAAACATTAAAAGAATCTTCATGTACCACCAAAAATCATCTTGAGTACCAAACTTTGGGAAACATTGCTCTAATCTCCCCTCTTAACTTGATCCATCCATCTATCCATGAATTTCTGTAAAAGATAAGTACTCAAAAACGAAGACTTAAAAACATACACACACATATATATCATTCCATTATTTGCATCTAAAAAACTAATAATTTTTAAATATCAAATAATGTTCATATTTGCCTGTTTCATAAATATATTTTAAATTAATAGTCTATTTTTAGAACAGTTTTAGATTTACAGAAACTTACAGAAAAATTGAGTAGGTTGTACAGAATTCTCAATCCCCCTTACCTCCCCAACACTCCCCAGTTTTCATTATGATTAGCATTTATGTTAGTGTGATACATTGTTACAATCAATGAACCAGTATTGATGCATTATTATTAACTAAAGTCCAAGATTTATTCAGATTTCCTTAGTTTTTACTTAATGTCCTTTTTCTGGTCTATGATCTCATCCAGGATACCATCCTTACACTTTGCTGTTGTGTGTCCTTAAGCTGCTCTTGGCTGTTATGGTTTCTCAGACTGTCCTCTTTTTTTATGACCTTGACTGTTTTGAGGAGTACCACTCAGGTACATTGTAGGATGCCCTCTATTGGAATTTGTCTTTAGCTTTCCTCAAATTATTGCATTAGCTTGTCTTTTGAATTCAGGATCCAGACTTAGGTCACAGATTGCTTATAGTGAATAGTTTCTTATATCTCTTTGAATCTATAAAAATCGCCTCTCCCATCTTTTTTTCCTTGCCATTTATTTATTGAAGAAGCTAGGTTGCTTATTTGTTCTGTATAACTTCCCACTTTCTGGGTGTTGCAGATTATGTTCTCATTTGGTCTACATATTTTGTTCCTCTTTGTATTTCTTATAAATTTTAGCTAGATCAGAGGCTGGTTAGATTCAAGTTCAGTGTGTTTTTGCCTCAATTAAAAAACAGAATGAAATAAAACCCAAAACAAACCTGTGATCTTTCCACTGTGCCACAGTACTCTCTCTTTTGTGATATTCTGTATTCTTTCCAAGTAAGTGGTCCTTGAAAGCACAGTACTTCTGTGCATATGCGTTCTTCTGAGTTAAAGCCTACACAGTTTATTTATGATAGATGGTGAAGCAATAACCTGGCTGCTGGAATGTCCACAGGTGGTTGTTAGTTTGCCAAAGTCAATGATGACACATTTCATGGCACTAACAACTGGTATTAAAGTTTTAGTCCTGGCCAGGCACGGTGGCTCACGCCTGTAATCCCAGCACTTTGGGAGGCCGAGGTGGGTGGATCACCTGAGGTCAGGAGTTCAAGACCAGCCTGGCCAACATGGGGAAACCCCATCTCTACTAAAAATACAAAAATTAGCTAGGTGTGGTGGTGGGCGCCTGTAATCCCAGCTACTTGGGAGGCTGAGGCAGGAGAATCACTTGAAGCCAGGAAGCGGAGGTTGCAGTGAGCCAAGATCGCGTCATTGCACTCCAGCCTGGGTGACAGAGTGAGGCTCTGTCTCAAAAAAAAAAAAGTTTTAGTCCTATAGTTTTAACTTTTTTTTTTTTTTTTTTTTTTTTTTATGAGACAGAGTCTCACTCTGTTGCCCAGGGTGGAGTGCAGTGGCATGATCTTGGCTCACTGTAGCCTTGACCTCCGGGGCTCAAGCGATCCTCCTACTTCAGCTTCCCTAGTAGCTGGGACCAGAGGTGTGCGCCACCACACCCGGCTTATTTATTTATTTATTTATTTATTTATTTATTTATTTTTGTAGAGACGAGGTCTCATTGTGTTGACCAGGCTGGTCTCAAACTCCTGGGCTCAAGCAATTCTCCTGCCTCAGCCTCCCCAAATTCTGGGATTACAGGTGTGAGCTGTCCAGACTGGAATGCAGTAACAGTTTCGGCTAACTGCAGCCTCGACTTCCCAGGCTCATGTGATTTTCCCACCTCAGCCTTCAGAGTAGCTGTGCTACAGGTGTACACCACCACGCCCAGCTAAATTTTTGTATCTTTTGTAGAGACAGGGTTTCACCGTGTTGCCCAGGCTGGTCTCAAACTCCTGGGCTCAAGCAATTCTCCTGTGTCAGCCTCCCAAAATTCTGGGATTACAGGTGTGAGCTGTCCAGGCTGGAATGCAATAACACAATCTCGGCTCACTGCAGCCTCGACTTCCCAGGCTCAGGTGATTTTCCCACCTCAGCCTTCTGAGTAGCTGGTGCTACAGTTGTACACCACCAGGCCCAGCTAATTTTTTGTATCTTTTGTAGAGATAAGGTTTCACTGTGTTGCCCAAGCTGGTGTTGAACTCCTGTGCTCAAGCAGTCCACCCTCCTTGGCCTGCCAAAGTGTTGGGATTACAGGTGTGAGCCACCATGCCCAGCCTCCCTATAGTTGTTAATTTTCAACTTTTCCCTTTTTCTCAGTTCAAAAATGTAATAAATTTTTTTTTTTCCTCCTCACTGCCTGCAAAAACGTAATGACTTTTGCTGCTGGTAACATATACAGAAACCTTAGTTTATTTCAGAAAAAGGATTTGAGTGATTACAGTGACATATACAGTGTAGGAAGATTAAAAACAAAATAAGTGGGAAAATGAAGATGAAAGGAAAAATAGGACAAAAAGATGAAGTCAGGGGTAAAGTTACATACAACGCATGGAAAAAGGGTCTTAAAGGAGGGGCACAGATGAGACTCTGCTTGTAATAGTAGTACTCTGTTTCTGCAGTAGTTTATAAGACTTTTGTAACCTTAGATGATAAATATATTCCTTTGTGAGAAGTTCCAGAGTGTTGTTTTCTGTCCATATTCATGTGTACACATGCAAAAAGCATCTGTAAACCTATAGATTGACTTTATTGTTGCAGGTGTTAAGCCATAACTATCTGCTGTTAAGACTGGGTGCTTTCAAGTGGTGTGTACTGACAGCACAGTGTGAGAGATTTAGAGGAACTAGACTAGAAAAATATTTTAAGAACATGGACAAAATGGTCTATAAAGTCTGTAAGGTCCCTTTCAGCTCCAGCATTTAGCGAAATTCCTTGCTTCAAGTCGTGAGAACTCCCCTTTTCCAGTTGCCTGCAGGATTCAAACAATGTGAAGGGAATCAAAGACATCCTTGCTGTGCAGCAAGCAGCAGGAGTCCCTTACTCTAAGGCTGTCCTAGCCCCTGCCTGAAAGACAAATTAATTTCTTAGAGCCCAGTGGACTGTAAGGCACACATTTTATTTTTATTTGAAACCAAGGTCAGCTTAGGATATAAGAACAATGAACTATATGAAGAAGAGCAAGTGTAAACTTTACTGTAAAATTAAGGGATGATAAAATGTGCCACTTTATTATCTTTGACAACTCGCTTTTCATGCTGTTCTTAGCTAAAGAAGCAAAATTTTTATTACCATTGTTTTCCAAATCTCTGTGTGGGCGTATGTATATAAAATTAAAACACTACTAACTTGGAACATGTATTTATTTGGTGTAGGGGCCTGTTAAGTCTTTGAAAATAAATGTTGTATGTATTCAAGAAATGAGTAGTGTTTATAAAATAGTAGAGGGCTTGTTTAAATGATGTAAGGTTTGAATTTGTATTAGTTTGTTCTCATACTGCATAAAGAGCTACCCGAGACTGGGTGGTTTATAAATATTAAGAAAAGAGGTTTAATTGGCTCACAGTTCTGCATGGCTGGGAGGCCTCAGGAAACTTAGAAGCATGGTGGAAGGGGAAGCAGGCATGTCTTACATGGTGGCAGGTGAGAGAGGAGGAACTGTCAAACACTCATAAAACCATCAGATCTCCTGAGAACTCACTCACTATACCAAGAACAGAATGGGGGAGACTGCCTCCATGATCCAGTCACCTCCCACCAAGTCCCTCCTTCGAGGGATTACAATGGGAGATGAGATTTGGGTGGGGACATGAAGCCAAAACATAGCAGAATTCAAAAGATTTTTTAACAGGGCCAACTTTTATTCTGCAGGTACTTTTTCAGAGCTCTCAATGAGACAAGTAGCATGTTAGATGGACTTTCAAAGTCTTTGGAAGTGTTAAGTCTACAAAAGATGTTAAAAATACCACTAATTAAGCCAGGCGTGGTTGCTCATTCCTGTAATACCAGCACTTTGGGAGGCTGAGGTGGGCAGATCACTGGAGGCCAGGAGTTTGAGACCAGCCTGGCCAACACAGTGAAACCCCGTCTCTACTGAAAATAGAAAAAATTAGCTGGGTGTGGTGGTGCACACCTGTAATCCCAGCTCTACTCGGGAGGCTGAGGCATGAGAATCACTTGAACCTGGGAGGCAGAGGTTGCAGTGAGCCGAAATCATGCCAGTGTACTCCAGCCTGGGTGACAGAGCGCAATTTTGTCTGAAAAACAAAAACAAAAAAAGCTGCTAGTTAAGTTTTAATACTCTTGAAGGCAGTGGAACTGCATTTATTTAAAATGTTTCATACTTTAGGAATTTAGCCATCTTTTTCCGTTTAGCAAACCAGGAAATAATTTAAGCAATATGGCTTTATTTGCAGAAATAATTTTTAATACCAGAATATATAGTTTTGAGAATTTTTGTCTATCAAAGCATTTAGTATACTTGATGTTTAGTAAACTTTTTTAAATGACTAAGCAGTTTAAAATGAAAAAGATAAAATAGAAATATGATGTAGTCTGACTATAATTGGGTCAAACCTTTATTGAGAGAAGATACATTTCTCAGGTCATCTTCCAGAAAGTGGTATCTCTTCTTAGAAAAAAATGAGAATGTTCATTACATCAGGAGAAAAAGTTTTCCCTTCCATACATTCTTTTTTTTGGGGGGTGATGGGGGACAGAGTCTCGCTATGTTGCCCAGGCTAGAGCGCGGTGGCGTGATCTCAGCTTACTGCAACCTCTGCCTCCTGGGTTCACATGATTCTTCTGGCTCAGACTCCTGAGCACCTGGGGTTACAGGCATGTGCCACCACGCCTGGCTAATTTTTGTTTTTTTAGTAGAGACAGGGTTTCACCATGTTGGCCAGGCTGGTCTCAAACTCCTGACCTCGTGATCCATCTGCCTCGGCCTCCCAGAGTGCTAGGATTACAGGCATGAGCCACCACGCCCGGCCCCTTCCGTGTGTTCTAATGTTCTTTTAAAAACGTAGTCAACTTTGCCCTCTGTTAAATGAAAGTAGGGTAAGGATTTTGGCTTGGTATATTAGAGGACAATCAGGATCTCGTTGTGCACATATTTCCAGAAATTCTCTGATTAAAGTCTTTTGACTCATGATGGTGGGTAGAAGGAGCAGGAAGCGATGCAGCCAGCACTAGTGTCTTAGATGTTAGGGAAGGGGAAGTTGGATTAACTGAGGGTGGGGACAGGGGCACTAGTATAAATGAGAGCAGATGTCTCTCAGTTCCTAGAAAATGTCTAAAAAACAAATTGGGGTTTTAGTTTTGTCACCTGGAAGACCTCTCAGATGTCATGCGGTATGGACTATATACTGTCACATATTTAGAAGTAGTAACTTAGAAGATACTTAGGAGTTTTCTGACTGGAGATCATCTGTTAGCTATCTAGAAGCCAGAAGCATTGAAATGAATGGAGGAGAGTGTCTTTGTTACCTCAAAGTGCAACCAAATTCTTTTTTTTTTTTTTTGAGACAGAGTCTGGCTCTTTCGCCCAGGCTGGAGTGCAATGGCTGATCTCCGCTCACTGCAAGCTCCGCCTCCCGGGTTCGCACCATTCTCCTGCCTCAGCCTCCCGTGTAGCTGGGACTGCAGGTGCCTGCCACTGTGCCCGGCTAATTTTTTGTATTTTTAGTAGAGACGAGGGGTTTCACCGTGTTAGCCGGGATGGTCTCGATCTCCTGACCTCGTGATCCGCCCACCTCGGCCTCCCAAAGTGCTGGGATTACAGGCGTGAGCCACTGCGCCCGGCAACCAAATTCTTATAGCTGTCCTAACCCTACCTGCTCTCCACCTTCATTAGGAGAATGGTCTACTACAGTCAGGGGGCAAGTTGCTATGATAAGATCCCTAAGTAACTGTGGAAATGCCAATATTCTGTTTAGAGGTGGCTCAGAGGAGAGGGAATGGAGAAGTTTGAGCTGTCAATTGTATGGCCTCATCTGAAAAAATATGGCAGCCCAAAAGAATAAAATAAAAATCACCTGTGTTTAATTCCAGATTTATATGTGTGTGTGTGTGTGTGTGTGTGTGTGTGTGTGTGTATATATATATATATATATATATATATATGCATTTTTTTTTTTTTGAGACAGAGTCTCGCTCTTGTTGCCCAGGCTAGAGTGCAGTGGCGTGATCTTGGCTCACAGCAACCTCCGCCTCCCGGGTTCAAGCGATTCTCCTGCCTCAACCTCCTGAGTAGCTGGGACTTCAGGCGTACCCCACTACACCCAGCTAATTTTGTATTTTTAGTAGAGACGGGGTTTTTCCATGTTGGTCAGGCTAGTCTGGAACTCCCAACCTCAGGTGATCCGCCTGCCTCGGCCTCCCAAAGTGCTGGGATTACAGGCATGAGCCACCATGCCCGGCCTATGTATATATTATATTTATTAAATGAACATGGGATCATAATGTAAGTCCTGGTTTGTTGCCTTTATTCACTTAGTGTTTCTTGAATTCTTTCCGTGTATTGTAACTTTCTTTCTATGCATTAAACTTCCTTTAGTGTCTGTAAATATATTCGTATAGCATGATTTCTATTTAGCAGAAACACAATAGTTTGTCTTATGGGTAATCCCTAATCTGTGGAACCTGTCCCTTTGGTTAGCATTTTCCCTTTGCTATTATGAACAGTGATGTGAATGACATCTTCTTGGCTATATTTTTGGACATTTCTTTATTTTGTCTCCTTGATAAAATTTCTTACATGTGAAATTGCTGAGTCAAATGATGTGCATGAGTTTCAAGTCTTGACTATGTATTGCAGAGTTGCATACCAGAGATTGTATCAATCAGCAATATAGATGAGTGACAGGTAGATAAAATTTGAAAATAAATCAGGGAAACTTGCTGCTCTACGGAGTTTAATGTCAGGTAAAGGAAGTGACGGGCAATTATAGATAAGGGAAGAAAGCAGGGATTTTAGAGTCAGATAGAATGCAGTTTTGCCATTCTTGACCTCTGGCAAGTGATTTGATGTCTGTGGTCCTTAGTTTTTCTTGTCTGTAAAACTCAGCTGCTTGTTTGGCCAGAGGTGGTATGAGAGTTAATGAGTACGGTATAGCCATAGGGTACTCACTTTGTACCCCCTCCCAATTTATCCTTCTTTGTTAATTTTCATGTCATTTAACATTTTTATTGAAAAAGATTAAACTTAGGGTTGAGAGGTCTCGCCCTAGTCCTGAACAACTTTCCTAGTTGGACCACAGCTGCTAACCAACAAAGGCCCAGATGTACTTAGGTGTTAAATTATCTCCAGGCTCAGGATTTATGGATCTTGGAAAAACCTCATTGGGATTGGGTTCAGACTGATTTAACCTTGAGCTTGCTGGGGGATTCTGTTCCCCCTTGGCAGCTGAACCTCACGCTGGTCCTAGTACAACTGAGGATCCATGTGGCTATGCCGGAAATAGATTATTTTGTTACATCCTGTTCTCTGTCATGCTGCTTAGAATAGAGATTCCACTTCCCACCTCAAACATCTAATTCTTTCCTCCTCCAGCTTCTGTAAGAGCTCTGAAAAACTTGGTGACATTTTTGAATCATGGGTGGTAGTTGTAAAGTGGACAAGGATGATTTTTTTTTTCCTTTGGATTTCCTCAGGAATAAACCATTATGATTTTGATGTTTCCAAGGGCCACTAGGTGAAATATTTTTCTAGCACTGAGCATTTAAACACATTTTAAACTGTGGATGTTTAAGATGGACTCAAAATTAATTCCTGGTAAAAGAATATGTTTTTATTTAAATTGTGTATTAGTCCGTTCTCATACTGCTGTAAAGAACTATCTGAGACTGGGTAATTCATAAAGAAGAGGTTTAATTGACTCACAGTTCTGCAGGCTTAACAGGAAGCATGATTGGGAGGCCTTAGGAAACTTACAATCATGGCTGAAGGCAAAGGGGAAACAAGCATGTCTTACCACGCTGATGCAGGAGAGAGGGTGAGAAGGGGGAAGTTCCACACATGTTCAAACAATGAGATTCTGTGAGAACTCACTATCGCGAGAACAGCAAGGGGGACGTCTACCCCCATGAGTCAACCACCTCCTACCAGGCCCCTCCCCTGACACGTGGGGATTACAATTCGAGATATGATTTGGGTGGGGACACAGAGCCAAACTACATGAATATGTTGTGAACTGCCCCATTAAAAAAAAATTGTCAAGTTACTCTTTATAATTAAACAAAATAAGTCATCACTTAAAATTATACTTGGTATTATTAAGGTATTAATATGAGTACTAGGTGGTCATTGGAGAAAAATCGGAAAATATGGATGAATAAAAATTTGAAAAGAACATTACCCTTCATCTCTCTACCAGAGAGATTACAGTGAAGATCCATTTTAGTTTTAATGCTTTTGGGTACTGATATCTTTTTTTTTTTTTTTTTATTTTTAAAGACAAGAGTCTCACTCTGTTGCCCAGGCTGGAGTACAATGGCATGATCTCAGCTCCCTGTAACCTCTGCCTCCTGGGTTCAAGCAATTCTCGTGCCTCAGCCTCCTGAGTAGCTGGGATCATAGGTGCGTGCCACCTGCCTGGCTAATTTTTTGTAATTTTTAGTAGAGACAGGCTTTCACTATGTTGGCCAGGCTGGTCTCAAACTCCTGACATCAAGTAATCTCCTGCCTTGGCCTCCCACAGTGCTGGGATTATAGGCATGAGCCATCTTGCCTGGATGGGTTCTAATATCTTACCTTAGAATAATTCAAGATGAAAATTGTTTGGACATTAATTAAAAAAATTATAGTGGTGTTTAAGCAAAGTTTGGCCTCTGACTTTGAGTCCTGATTCCACTACTTTTGGGCTGTTCTTGAATCTAAAAACTTGGCAGATAGTAAATTTTGGTTTTCCTCATTCTTCTCATCCTTATTTTTTTTCTCCCCTTCCTGCCTACTTCTCTGCATCCCCTTTTCTTCCCTTAACATATATCCCAGCCTGAATATACCCTGTGATATAATATTATGACAAGAACATAATTCTAGAATACAGTTGCTAAGAATTAAAATGTAAACTTTTTGGTTACATGTCACATGTTTACTATCAAATTCTGTTATAATAAAATGCCATTATAAGGAAAAGAAAGTATTTTGCACATTAGGGTAATGGGCCAATATTCAGTTCTATAAAAGGTTATAGAAAATGCCTTAAACCGTGAATTAACTTTTATTTAACAACCTGATTGCTACATTGTGATTCTTGGTTTTAAAAACAATGCATTTATGGTGGTGAGAGTGCTCTTTCTTATAGGTTGCCATCAGACATTAATAGTGGAAGCCTAGGTTCTGAATTTTAGAAGACTCTTCTGAATGCTTTGTCCTTACTTTAATTACAAACACTGCTGCTTCTTGAAAAGCAACAGGCTGAGAGATGAGACACAATAGGATAATTCCTAAGTTGGGTTAACTTTAATGCTTAGTTTATTTGGCAGTCTTCAGCAGAAACTGAATGGGGACTCTAGCTGTCAAGTCTAGGTTTAGAGAGCTGGAGTTATGTACTCCCCTTGAGCCCACCTATTGTCTGATTCATCAAGACCCAGTCCTCACTCATGGCTAGAGATTCCCAGTGGAAAGGGCATTACTGCCAAATGGTTACCCCATGAAATTGATCTTTTATTTCTCTTCTTCATCATTATCATGGCACTCTTTGTTTGATATTCTATCAGTAGGGCCTGGTGGAAGTTTTGTGGGGGGAGAAAAAAGGACCTAGACTGAGTATGAAAGTTGGTAAGTGCTGGTTCTTGTGTCTACTCTTTGTAGCCCATCTGAAAGAAATTGCATTGTTTGTAAAACAAAAATGAGCTGCTATCTTATAGATTCTCGAAGAGACTTATCCTTATTTCTCTGCAAATCATGCTTGGCTGCAGCTGCCAAGGGTCATTCCTTTGCTTAAAACAGTTTAATAGCTGTCTCATCATTGTCTGTAGCAGTGATTTGAATATTAAAATTTTGGATGTCTCACTTAAAGGAATTTAACACATTCAGAACACTCTGGTCTTTAACAAAATCCGTAATATAATATCTATAAAAACATCCTTGGTTTTTGTACTATCTGCTTACACTCTTTGTCATTGGGTTACTGTTGAGCAGACTTCTTTTATCGTTTGCGGCAAATATTCTCCACGAGTTCTAGAAAACATGGGATATTTCTTTGTTGCTGGCTTGATTTGGCTTGGCTTTGGCTTGATGTTATGCTTCACCCCTTACCTCTTAATCTAAAAACCTCCATCCCCTGTCCACCTCCACCTCCATCTCTGTGTTGCATGATCTGTTTCTATTCCTCTCTGACAGATATTGTACAAACTGTGTATCTGCTGAGTTGCAGAAAAAAAAGTCATTCACATTGATGTAAAATTGGATGACACAGCTGAGAAGCATTGGGCCAACTACTGATGGGCTGTAGCACAGAGTTTAAGACCTGTTGTTCTACGGGATTAAGTCACAAGTTTGATAGAGAGACCTCTGGTCCCTCCCTGTCTCTCTAATTAAGCCTTTCTCATCTCACACTTAAGTATTTTAATGCTAAATTAATTGCAGATACTTGCATAGGATGTTTCATTTTTTACCTCTTTGGCTTTGCTTATGCTATGTATTCTTCTTGGAATGTCTTTCTCTTTTTCCCCTGGCTGCCTCCTACTTACCCTTTATGAATTAGTTCAGGCATCCTCTTCCTTTGGGTGGGTTAAGTTCATATTTGTGTGTGTATGTATATATATATGTGTGTGTGTGTGTGTGTGTATGTGTATTTACATTATAAGTTTAAGATTGCCTTCTGTGAGCTCCTGGAGAATAAAGAGAATGTCTTAATTGCTTTACTATGTGCAGATAGATATAAGTTCAGATAAGTTTTTTGGTTAATGGAACAGCCACTCAACTTGATTACTTCAATCATGATGACAGGAGTGAGAAGAAGCTGGTAATGATTCTGTGGGAAGTGGATTAAATAAAAAGATTGGTGGTGGGGGGAGTTATAGAAAACCTATAATAAGGCAGATTTCTAAATCAGAGGTTATAACATTAGAGAGATGATTAACATAAAATACCTCTTTGGGGAAATTTTAAAAGAACTGCTTCTTTGAGAAGGAATCAGGGCAGGAGATTCAAAACAATCCCATCTAAAAACAGACCGAAGTTAGCTTTTGTGAGTTCTTCAAGTGAGCCAATCAGAATACAAGGTGCCTGCAACCACTTTTTCCTTTTGATTTGTGGTTCCTATGGTAATAGGAAGAGAGCCTAGGACATTTTTCTCCTACCTCTTTTAATAAACTTTTTGCTTTTGAAAAATGCCAAAAGAGATTATTCTTTTTGTCTTTACTGACTTATGGTGTTTCTCAGCATAATGGTTTCGATTTAGGTTTTTTTGATTATACGGTGGATATGGCAAAAGTAATAAACACTGTCAGCTTCCCTGGCTAATATTATTTTCTTCAGCTATAGAACCTACAAATATACAATCTAATTAGGTATTAGCTGTTAATATCACAACCCATTATGAATCATTTCCTGTTCTCTGTGAACAACCCTAAATTAGAATATTAATCATTACAAGTAGCTAAATACGAAATTATAACAAATGTATCTTGGCAATTTTTGACCCTCCAAAGTCTTCTGTTAAGTATCCCCACTATGATCCTCCTGGGTTGTTTCTCTTGAGCTCAAGGCTAAAGTCTTAAGGGGAAAGAGGCTTAGTGTGTATTGTTGGCTTAATAAGCAGGTCAATAAGTATTTGTTAAAATTGGTAAATACCCATGGTATCAGGGGTATTCTTCAGACATATTTTAGCAATATGAAAGAACACTGCTCACTTAAAAAAAAAGGACAATCGTCTGTACTGTGAATTTAGCTAATATGAAGAAATCTTTTCATTATTCTAACTGAATAGTTAAGCAATCATGGATAATAGTTATTCTCGAATGATCAACATGGGTTTCCAGCCATGTCCCTAAATTAAAAATTTGAAGCTTCAAGAATCACTTACGGCCAGGAGCCATGGCTCATGCCTTTAATGCCAGCACTTTGGGAGGCCAAGGCAGGCAGATCACCTGAGGTCAGGAGTTCAAGACCAGCCTGGCCAACATGGTGAAACCCCGTCTCTACTAAAAATACAAAAATAAGCCGGGCATGGTGGCAGGTGCCTGTAATCCCAGTTACTCGGGAGGCTGAGGCAGGAGAATTGCTTGAACCTGAGAGATGGAGGTTTCAGTGAGCCAAGATCATGCCACCGCACTCCAGCCTGGGTGACAGAGCGAGGCTCCATCTCAAAAGAAAAAAAAAATCAATTACTGTTGTGGTCCTAGCTGTAATTTAATGCTCTTAGGTTGATGAATGTGGAACTTTTATTTTTATCCATTATTTTCAAATTGGATCAATGTCCTCCTGATCTATTAGATCTAAGACCTAAGAGGAACCTACCTTGTTTTGGCTAGCGGGTACAGACTTTCTTACTAAAAGGTGGGTGTATTTCCTAGAATAGCATTTTCTGTTGAGTAGAGATGATTTTCAGCAATGTGGCTGGTCACTTAGCTTCAAAGTAATTATTGAGTGTGAAAGTAAGCAGTTGTAATACTTTTTAACCACTGTCTGTGTTCTTACCAAATGGAAAACAACACTCGTCTTGAAACTGGAAGTTCCCAGTCCTGGGATGATCTGAGAGTTGAGACTTCTGATTAGTAGATATTGGCAGTTGCATCACACACCAGCTTGGGTGCTGCCTAGGATCAAGCTGTCTCAGTGAAGAGTACTCTTGCCTCAGACCTTAGCACCAACCCAGCACTATGCGATTTTGGATAAGTAAATTACTTCATCTCTGAGCCTGTGTTTCCTCTTCTGAAGGGGAAAGTAATGTCTATTGTGTAGGATTATTGTAAAAATGAGATGAGATATCCTTTATAAAGTATTTAGCATGATGTCAGCATCTAATAAATACTGGCATCATTCTTTATATCTTACAGTATCTACCATAGATATTATGAAGAGAAAATCTTGGAAATCTGACCCTCAGAGGGTCTTTTAAAAATCTTTCCCTGAATATACTAGTTAAATAACAAGCTTCAAAAAGCTTTGAAATATCAGTCTTCTAATAAATGGCTAATGTTTTAAAATCAAGTTCACTGAAAATTTTCTTTATGTTGATTGTTTTCCACATTGTTATGAGTATTGATTAAATCATTAAATGGTTAAAAAGCCTTGATAATATCATTGTTTTTCTAATTTGGATTTAATTTCTTCACCTCTTAATCTAAAATTAGCAGTGCGAGGTTATACTAAATAGTATTTAAAATGCCTTCCTGTTCTCACAATCTGTGATTTTTTGATTTACTGAATGTGAAAAATTGCCTTTTAAAAAGTTTTAGATTCCAACTTATTAGCAGAATCTAATCAATACCTTATGCTTTCATGGTTTTTACCCTTTGAGGCAAATACTATTAACCCTTGCAGAGGGAACCTGACTTTTTACTGAATAAGTAAAAATTGATTTACGTATGAGCTTTGGTGTTAATTTGATATTAGTTGCTGAATCCAGATGTAATCCTTTTTTGTTGTTGTTGTTGAGACAGGATCTCACTCTGTTGCCCAGGCTGGAGTATAGTGCTGCGATCTTGGCTCACTGCAACCTCCACCTTCCAAGCTCAAGCAATCCTCCCACCCCAGCCTTCCGAGCAGCTGGTACTATGGGTGCATACCACCATGCTTGGCTACTTTTGTATTATTTGTAAAGGTGGGGTTTCACCATGTTGCTCAGGCTGGTCTCGAACTCCTGGGCTTAAGTAATCCCACCACCTCGGCCTCCCAAAGTGCTGGGGCTATAGGCGTGAGCCACCTCACCTGGCTAGGTGTAGTCCTTAAACTCTCTTCTTTGCCCATCCACTTGTGATGTATGCTGATGTAAGTATTCTTTTATTAAACATGTGTAAGAATATCTCTGGATAGAGAGTGTTTGTTGTAGTGGAAAGAAAATCAGCTTGTCAGGTTTAATTTACTAGTCCTAATTCTGCCATCAGTTAGCCCTTATTCCCCTGCACCTTGGACAAGTTGCTGGTTTTTTTTCTTTTCTTTTCTTTTCTTTTTTTTTTTTTTGAGGCAGTCTCGCTCAGTCGCTTGGGCTGGAGTGCAGTGGCGTGGTCTTGGCTTACTGCAACCTCTGACTCCCAGGTTCAAGCAATTTTCCTGTCTCAGCCTCCCAAGTAGCTGGGATTACAGGTGTGTGCCACCACACGCCTGGCTAATTTTTGTGTTTTTAGTAGAGACGGGGTTTCACCATGTTGGCCAGGCTTGTCTTCAACTCTTGACCTCAAGTGATCTGACCACCTTGGCTTCCCAAAGTGCTAGGATTATAGGTGTGAGCCACCATTCCTGGTCTGTGTTGCTGTTTTAACAAATCAGGCTCTCCTTTCTGTTTTAATTAAAAAAATTTTTTTCTTAATGGAAAAAAAATTCCATGGGACTCTGCTTGATATCTCTTTCCTGATCATCAGTTTCCTCATCATAAAATGGAATAATACCTATTTTACAGGGTTATTGTGAGAGTTTACTATTTCAGCTGTCTAGCACATAACAGAAGCTTGATAAATGGCAACTACTTTCATTATTTTATTTCATTATTTTATTCAGCACCTTCTGTGGTTGGTACTCTGCAAAGTGTTGAGGCAACAAAATTTGTGTACCTGGAGTTTCAATGATATATTGCCACTGTATTGGCTTTGGAATAAAGGCACACCTTGGAAGTGTGTCATTTTCATTGCTACCAGAAAGCTGCTCAATTTTTTTATTCCATTTGGTTCCTCTGATTTTGTATTCTTTAAATGCCTTTTCTAAGTAATCTCAATATTCCGTGTATCATAGGTGAACTGTAACTAGTAAGTGACAGATACTAGATAGGAACCCAGGTCTCTCTGATTTCAAGCAAAGCTATCTTTGTTTGTATTGCAGTTGGGTGATAATAGAATTTATCCACTAAACCAGAACACTTTTGAGAGTGAAAGTTATGAGGGGACAATAAGTGTCATCCAGGACTATCTCAGGCAAATGAGGGTGTTTGGCTATTCTAATTATAGCTAGAACAAACAAGTTTATGAGCTTGGGTCCAAGACTTCTGGGATGTTTTGGTTGAACCCAAACACTCACCTTTAATTTTTGTTACATGAGTATTGATTTTGCCATAGTAAATTAATTGACTTTATATCTGAATGATTGAACAGTATGGTCTAATGGTTATTAACTTTACAGTATGGTCTAATGGTTATTAAGTAGTAGCCGTAGTACATATGTTCATTTTATATTTTACTTTTTTTCTTAATTCCTTTAAAATCAGCAAGCTTTTAAAAGAGGATCGAAGAGGTAAATTAAATAAGCTTTTTAATTCTTAGTCATGTCAGACGGACTTTGTAAACAAAGTCTAAAATGAAAATCATGACGTTCCAATGTTTTTCCTTTGGGAAGGTGGAGATGTGATGACACTGAAAATCATGCATTTTAAATCACCTCTTTTATTGCCTTTATCTATCAGTCTGTCACCCATCTTTCTTGTTCTTTTTGCCTTATTCTTTAGGTCTCCTGTGATTTTACCTTAGGGAGGTGCAAAACTTTACTCACATGATAAAAGTTGGGGTGATATAAGTTTTCACAATAGCAGCATCATAGTCTTGTGGAAAGAATGTGGGTTTTGGTAGCAGACAAACCAAAGTTTGAAATTCTGGCTCTCCCCTCCTTTGTTGTGTGTCCTTGCGCGAATCACTTAACCTTTGAGCCTCGGTTTCCTTACAATGATATGAGGATTAGAGAACAAATGTAAAGTGCTGGGCAAATAGCACTTTTTGTGGTTTTGTAGGTTCTTAAACAACGATGACAATTATGGTTATGTGACATAGACGAGAAACTGTGGCACTGATGAAATTGTAGTCGACAATCTCACCACTAATCTTGTTTTGCACTCAAACTTTCACAGTTCCCTTTGGTGGGTTTTTGTTTAAACATTCTCTCTGTCCCTCTTGATTCTATTCACTGTACCCTGAGAAATTAGTGGTTGGCAGCAGAAACCTCCTTTCCATAGAACATCAAGTGGGCCCTCCCCCAAGGTTTCAGTGAGCTGTCTGGGACCATCCCTAACCTCCAAACTGCCAAGGGTGCACCCCCTGCCCCAACTAACATTCAAGTTGCCTGTGTGAAGGAGTGATTTGTTGCGGCCTCTAACTGCTTCTTCTCTTCCTTCCTTTTTGTCATCCTGCAGTGTTCTGTGCCAAGGTCTTTGTGGCTAGGCTGCGCCAACCTGGTAGAGAGCATGTGCGCACTGAGTTGCCTGCAGAGCATGCCCAGTGTCAGATGTCTCCAGGTGCCTCTCTTCTTTCTTGTTGTAAATGTGTTTTTACGTATGCCATGAACATTTGTTGAAACTTGCAGTAGTGTGTTTAATCCAATGTTAAGTCTGCTAAATGTTCTGTGTAACCCTCTGCTTTCCTCCAGCCTGGGTGCCCCACATGGAGGAGTTAGTACCAAGAGGGGCCCTTTTGAGCAAACGGGTCTTTGGCTGGGCCCTGTCCTCCCCTTTTCTGCTCCTGCTTTTTACTCTTTTCCCCTCACCTTGAGGTTGTAATTCTCATGTTTAATAGTTGCGCATGTGCCAAAAAAAACTCCTGACATTTTCCATTTGGCTACCTTTAACAGTTCTTTGTTGAGTTGGGAGGGTTTCATAATTAAAGTGGTGATTTTTTTCTATTTTGAAACTCATCCTTTTGGCTTGCTTTCTCTCCCCTCTTCAAAAAAGGAGCGGGGAGGGAATCACTACTGGCATAAAGCCTCAAACTGAAGTTTATAAAGATCATAGCTTTATGCTGCCAATAATTTGTCAGTTTGGGCCACCTCCCAAAGGCCAGATCTGACACCTGTCCTCAGGGTCCACCCAGTTTTCCAGGCCGAGGCCGGCAGAGAATTCCACAGATAAAAGTAAAACTTTTTGGGGGTGGATGGGAAAGGGTTGCTCAGGATAGAACTGTTAGCAGGAGTGCAGCTGGTGACCCTCTCTTGTTGGGGTGGCTTCTAAGAGAGCCAAGGAAGAAAACATTGTAGCTTTATTTCTGAAGCTCTGAGCAAGCATGTGTTTAATTAAATATGGTTTCAGTAGCAATATTCAGTTTTCATCACTGCATATTCCAGACAGTTTGATATATCTTTGAAAAGCCATATTAAATTCCTGGCATCTGGTTGAGACTGTCCTGTTTGAGGAAAACTGCAAAATTAGGCACTGAGTTAGAGGGATATTATTGATGGCATGGGTGACTTTGCTGTTCTCAAGTTTATCTTTCTATTCATGTTTACAATTTTTAAATGGAGCTGGGGAGCCAGGAAGGAGGAAAATGTTCTTCATATTGGAGTCAGGCATTTTATTTACTTATTGGCAAACATTCAGAGTAGCACTGGTGTGGTTATTGATTCAAATTGCTTTCTTTGGGGAACTGTACTGGAACCTCACTAACACAGTTAACTGGAGAGCGAGTTCAATATAAGGCCCAGTTGTCTTTAGATTCTGTATATAAAGGTGGGTTACAAGTCTCACCTTACAAGAACAGGATGCTTCAGTGAGGCTCAGTGTAATGAATATATGTTTACTTTTGGAAAAGCAGCTTCTGTGCATGCGATGTAACTTTTAACAAAAATGTTCTTGGAATGGCAGCCATTATTGCATGTGCTCTCCTTGATGCTGTATAATGGATATTTGCGTTATTATAATAGGTGTATAATAGGTGTATTATAATAGGTGTATTTTTGTCTCTATTTTTCTGGATTAAAAGGAATGTTACAGTTGCTTTTTAGTGGGCTGACCGAGTTTTTTCCAGAACTGGAAATTTAAGAGGGGGAAAAATTGTAGTTGTTAGTGAGGTCTTGAAGTGCGGATTCTTTTTATTGCATTCAGTTAAAAGTAATTGGCCAATGGAAGGCATCATTCAATATATTTTAGTAACAGTATTGTGAGTTCTCTGGAGGTGGGGTGAGTGGGAGGAGGTACACGGGTTCCTACCTTGTTGAAAATGGAAATCCAAATTTGTTAAAAGTTCCTTGACTCATCTTTCTTAGTGAAATTCACTTAAGAAGGAAAAAAAGATTTTTTTTTTTTTGCCTTGATTGGGTCTTATTTCAGTGAGTGGAGCAATATTGTCTTTAGAGACGTGTAGAGTATTCTGTTTACTTAGGTTTAATTTTTGCTAGTATATAATTGAGGGTATGCAGCATAGTAAAATGAACTAAGTACTCAGCTCATTGGCATTAGCAAATCATTACTCTGTTTTGTCCCACATGTGAATGGAAAGTAAACATGTATTAATATTAATGAGCCTGGAAGACTTCCTTCCTCTGTACTCATTTAAGTATTATTTTAATGCCAACATTTCTCCCCTTTACCTCCAGTCTCCAAACAGTGCTAAAATTTCGTGCCTTAATTTGGGTTTGGGCTCTCAAAGAAGGCCTGTTGCTTATATGCTGCATCTTTGGTTTATTGCAAAGATGACTCTTCCTTTGCACACCTTTTAGCAACCTCATATTAGAGCAGGCCTGAGAAGGGAAGGAATAGTTAGGCTACCTGGAGAGAACAGAGCCTGGTTCTTTCCTGGTCTCTGAAGTTCCATGAAAGAGTCCCCCTTAAAATTGTCAGAGTGGACCCACTGATAATTGCAACTTGAGCCCATTGACCTGTCTATATGGCTGAATTTTAGTTTACCTTTCGAAAAAGCCGGAGGGAAGATAGTAGTTGCCCTTAGGCATAATTTACCCATTCCGGAAGTTTCTACCATCGTCTAGAAGGGAAAACAGGTATCAGAGACTTAAAAATCACTCATTACCAACTGTTACATGGTGCTTCACATATATTAGCTTTATGACAACCCTGTGAAGTAGGTGTTCTTATCTCCAATTTTCTGATATGGAAACTGAGTCTGACGTGACTATTTGGCCCAAGATAATGTTTACATAACTGTAAAGTTACTGGCATATGAATCACACACTTGCCTGATTCCCAAACTGGTTTTCTTTCCTCTACTCTGGAATGCTGCTTTTGTAGTTTTCCATGTTGGTTTTATTTGTAGAAACCTCACTATTGACACCTGGTATATGGTTTGTTTAGTTATTAATATTATTTGAAAATAAGAAAAGAAAAACCTGCCAAATTCTGTAGAAAAAAAAAGTTGCCATTCTTTTTGCCAAAATGAGCCCTCCTGAATCTTACAGCTAGTGAGGTTCCTGAGTGGACTTTCTGCAAACTTAATTCCATAAATATTTACTGAGCAATTGGTATGTGCCAGGGCCTCTATTGGTTATCTCTCAACCAAGCTGAACTGAGTCAGTGTTTCATTTGCCTCAGATGTCCTGATTCAACCAGTTGATTGTTATAGCAAATAATCAGGAATTCAGACCATGTGGATTATTGATTTGCCCAGATTCCTGTGGCATGAGAATCATACCAATGTTAATAATAGTATGTATCATTTATTTTCCACGTTCTTTCTATGTGTTGGACTCTAGGAATTGGATTATCTCATTTGATCTTTTATGGAAAAGTTATCTACCTTGCCATTTTTGTATATGAAATTATAGAGGTGAATTGACCTGCCTAAGGTTACACATTTATTTAAGTGGCAGAACTGGGTTAGGAACATAATCTGGATGACTGCAAAGCCAGTGCTCTAGTCACCAGTCTGTAGTGACAACTGCCATTTTAACTTGCAACTGCCATTTTTAGGTTGAAACAAATTCCCCTTAATTTTTGGAGTTAAAAATTTAAAGCCAACACAGCAGCATGATGTAATAGACTGGCAAGTTGTCTTGGGAATGTCATTTGCAGCCTCAGCTGGGGGAGAGTGTTAGTGATAAGCCTTTTGCTGGGGTAGGACTGATTGCTTGGAATGACAGTGAGGATCACGTGAATTGAGTTTGAGTGCCTCCTTCCAAGCTCTAGTGCATATAGTGCTGGGCAGTAAGTAGCACAACTTCTTGACAGCTGCCTTTCTTGTTTCTTTTTTTACTTTTAATAGGTGTAGTGAGCCACAGTGGTCTGAGAATGCCACAGAACTTATCATAGCTTTTGATATAAGAGAATATTTTTTAGAGGAGGGAGATAGCTTGGTAGAAAGAACCCTGGCTTTGGTGCAGACAAACCTCTATTCTAGTCCTGTTCCTACTACTTAATGACTTTGTGATACTGGGCAAGTTACTTTATTTTCCCGAACCCCTGTTTCCTCATCTTTAAAAATCATAAAGGGTTTTTATGAGGTAGAGAAAGATAATTGCCACCTCTTACTGATTCTTACTCTTGGGGGGTATGAAATCCATTTTTTAAATTTACTTGCTCCTGGTTCTCCATGTAAGAAGGAATTTCAGTCTTAGATTCCAGGGCTAGGTAAGGATTAGCTAAAAGACCATGCATATGATAAGGCTGTTTTTGTTCAGGGTCGGTCTGTCTAAGGTCAGACATGGCTGTTTGAATTCATTGCCTCTTGTCTGTTTTCTAATAAGCATTAGGGATTTGTCATTTCTTGTTGATTATCTTAATTATCCTATAGCACTCTGGGTCTGATAATGTGAACGTTTTGGGTTGCTCAGTGGTAGAATCTGTAGTATTTTATAGACACTAAAACCTACATTTTTGGCTGAGCATGGTCGCTTACCCCTATAATTCCAGTGCTTTGTGAGGCCCAGGTGGGAGGATTGCTTGAGGGCAGGAGTTTGAGACCAGCCTTCGCAACATAGCAAGGCCCTACAAACATTTTATTTTTGTATTTTGTCTCTACAAAACAAAATAAAAAATTAGGTGGACATGGTGGCATGTGCCTGTAGTCCTAGCTACTCTGGGAGCTGAGGTTGGGGAATCCCTTGAGCCCAGGAGTTGGAGGTTACAGTGAGCTATGATCACACCACTGCACTCCAGCCTGGGTGACAGAGCAAGAACCTTGTCTCTAAAACAGGGGTGTCCAATCTTTTGTCTTCCCTGGACCACATTGGAAGAAGAATTGTCTTGGACTACACATAAAATTACACTAACACTAACGATAGCTGATGAGCTAAAAAAAAAAATTGCGAAAGAAAAAAAATCTCATAATATTTTAAGAAAGTTTACGAATTTGTGTTGGGCCTCATTCAAAGCCGTCCTGGGGGCCTGCAGGCCACGGGTTTGCTCTAAAAAATATATAAATAGGCTGGGCGCGGTGGCTCACGCCAGTAATCCCAGCAATTTGGGAGGCCGAGGTGGGCGGATCACTTGAGGTCAGGTCAAGACCAGCCTGGCCAACATGGTGAAACCCTGTCTCTACTAAAAATACAAAAAGTAGCTGGGCATGATGATGGGCGCCTGTAATCCTAGCTACTTGGGAGGCTGAGGCAGGAGAATTGCTTGAACCCAGGAGGTGGCGGCTGCAGTGAGCCGAGATTGTACCACTGCACTCCAGCCTGGGTGACAGAGGGAGACTCCGTCTCAAAAAAAAAAAAAAAAAAAAAAATATATATATATATATATATATATATGTATGTACACACAACACACACACACATATACACACACATATATGTGTATGTATATATGGTTAAAAAAAACCACATCTTTCCTCTTTATAAGAAAATTTACGAAATAGACTTTGAAAAAGAAGAAAACGTCCATTGGTAGCGTGAGCATCTACCACCCAGAGAGAACATTTGTTGCTATTTTAGGGCCTTACTTCCTCCTGTCTGTTCGGTAGGGAGGAATCCATCAAATTGTGCAGTGTTATTCTGCTGCTGCTGATTTTAACAGTGGTATTTTTAATGCCCTGTGGAACCCCAGCTTGACTTTGGAGTCACTAGAGGGATAAAGGAGGGGCTAGCACAGTGTGCCTCCTACTTCGATCTCACTTAGAATGGCTCTGGATTTATCTATTCTACTTAATGGGGCTCTTAGGAAGATTTCATTTTAAAAACTTTCTCCTTATAGAAATAGCTAAACACACAAAAATAAGAGAATTATTCAACTTAATCTTGAACAGTTTTCAAAATTATGCTAATCTTAGTTCAACTTTTCTTCAATTTTGTTTTTCTTGGGGCATTTTAAAAGCAAACCTAAAATGCCTCAAAGTTTTACAAACCACTGTTTCATGCTAGCATTAAAAAATTTTTAAACAAGCTTCAAGAAATTAAAAATAAAGGCCAGGCATGATGGTTCACACCTGTAATCCCAGCACTTTGGGAGGCCCAGGCAAATGGATCACCTGAGGTCACCAACATGGTGAAACCCCGTCTCTACTAAAAATACAAAAATTAGCCAGGTATGGTGGCATGCACCTGTAATCTCAGCTACTCGGGAGGCTACATCACAGGGCTTTAGCATTTTTTTATTTTCAAAAAAAAATAGCCACTTTTTTTCTCTCTCTCTTTTTTTGAGATTGGGTCTTGCTCTGTTGCCCAGGCTGGAGTGCAGTGGTAGGATCATGGCTCACTGCAACCTTGACCTCCCAAGCTCAAGTGATCCCTCGCACTTCAGCCTCCTGAGTAGCTGGGACCACAGGCATGTGCCACCACGCCCAGATAATTTTTCAGTTTTTTGTACAGACAGGGTCTTGATATATTGCCCAGGCTGGTCTCAAACTTCTGGTCTCAAGTGATCCTCCCAATTCAGCCTCCCAAAAGTGTTGGGATTACAGGTGTGAGCCACTGATCCCGGTGGCTAGTTTTCCTTTTGAGGGGCCTTTAGACTACAATTTTTTTTTTGTCTTTTGTGGCGGGGGTTGTATTATAGGAACTTCAGTGATTTCATTGCATATGTATCTTTAGGCTTGTACGATTTTGTATGTGTAATTGCTTGGTCAAGGAATATCAGTATTTTATTATGACTTAATTAAATTATATACAGAAAAGTTTAGTAATCTCTCCCTTCTAATCCCTTCCTTCCCCCTAAGAAACGAATGTTAACATTTTGTTCTTTATCATTGTATATTTGTTTTCTTTGTTCATAGGAGGGTATGCAATCTGACAACTATCAGAATTCCCTCATTTAAATTAAAAAAAAATTATTTATTTATGTATTTTTTTGAGACCGAGTCTAACTCTGTTACCCAGGCTAGAGTGTAGTGGCATGATCTGGGCTCATTGCAGCCTCTGCCTCCCAGGTTCAAGTGATCCTCCTGCCTCAGCCTCCTGAATAGGTGGGACGACAGGTGTGCGCCACCACGCCTGGCTAATTTTTTGTATTTTAAGTGGAGACGAGATTTTGCCACGTTGGCCAGGCTGTTCTCGAACTCCTGACCTCAGGTGGTCTGCCCGCCTCAGCCTCCCAAAGTGCTGGGATTACAGGCATGAGCCACCGCACCCAGCCATTTTTTTTTGAATAGAGGAAATGGGCTCACCCTAGAAAAATCACAATACGGGGTCACTTATTTGCTTTATTTATTTAACATTATGTTATAGACATGTCCCCAGATTAGTAAAGTCTAACTCTTTCATGAATGGTACTTTTATCATCCCTAGATTTTAGGGGTGGAGGCGAGAGTACAGGTGTTTTTTTTTTTCTTTCCATTTTTGAAGTATAAAGTGTATATAGAAAAGTTCAAAAATCTTAAGTGTGTACAGCTCAGTGATTTATCTTAAAGTGAACAGTGCTTTATTTTGATAGGTATGGCTAAATTGCTTTCATGGAAGATAGACCCATTTATATTCCAAGCATTGCCATAACCCCTGAATATCATTTAAAAATGTTTAAGGTGTACTTTAAAAGTATTACTAAAAATAACATACTTGTTCAAAGTTAAACCAATAAATAAAAACTGGCAAATAGTAACATGATGAATTAAGATTTTCTATCATCATTTAAAATCATTGTATAATATTCCATTTAATAAATATATTAATGATTTTAAGAAAACTTCCCTTCCATATTAAGACTGCTACCAGTTTTGAGACATTTTAAGCCATGTGGAGTTAAGCATCATTGTAATTAAGTCTTTGTATACTTCTGTGATTATTTTCTTAGGTAAGACAGTGTGCACATTTAGGTTGCTAACTTGTACTTTTGAGAAGCTGGGTAAAATTATACTCTTAAAAGCAGCCCATCAGAGATCCCTTTTCATACTCTAGATGACATTGAATATTTTAATTTTGTACTTTGTTGAGATTTTGATGGATGAAAATGCAGAAATGGTATCTTGTTATAATGTACATTTAATTGCTAATGGGTTGGAATATATGTATACATAAAAATATTCATTGGCCATTTCTGTGGTTGTTATATGAGTTACCTCTTCATGTTCTTTTTTCCATTTTTCTAATGATGGCCTTATTTAAAAAATCTGATTTATAGGAACTCTTTATATATTAAATATATTAACTGTTATTTATTGCAAATACTTCTCCCAGTTTGACATTTGCCTTTCAGTTTTTTAATAATGGTTTTGGCCATGATGAAAGTTTTGAAAAAATGTTTACTTTTTGTGTGGCTATACTTGTTCCTTTCTTATAATATTCTTCTAGTGGTTTATAGCATTGTGCTTTGCAATCTTTCATTTTCTCTGTAATTTATTTTCCTATATGCTGTGAATTAGGGATGCACATTCTTTCTGAATGACCTATCAGTTGTCTGCATACTATTTACTGATCTAGTGTTTTTTCATTGATTTGATATCATATGCGCATGTTTCACTTCCTTGTGTCCAATGATGTGAAGTCACCGAAGCCTTCTTCAAGCTTTTATTCTTCTTCACCTTCCTATTATTATCATCAGCCATCAACCTTTGTAAGCTCATCATCCACAACTGTATCATGCTGTCTTTTATATGTTGTACTAGTTTGAAAGTGTCTTACTGATGATATGGACTTTGAAAGTTTAGTGTCAAACGTTATTCCTATGCATTGAAATTTCCATGTCATATTTTCTGAAAACAGTGAGGATGACTTGGTGATCTGAGAATTTGAAGCAGCAGGAAAAACAGCAAATAAATTAATATTTTAGAGAAAGTTTTAATGATAACACAATGCCTGCATATAGTACTAGCACTAAGAAATCACATTCCCTTTGGAAGAGAGCCTGTGCTATGGGAGAATGAAAACTATACCTTGCCTTACTAGCAGTTGTAATTTATGGTTTCCAAAACAATGTGTATGATAGATTAAGGTTTCACAGTATAATTTGAGGATAGGGACGTGGGTAAATGGAATTCAGAACACATTAAAAAACGTCTTTTTAATTCTTGAACAAAAATGTCATGTACCTGATACTATAGACATTTATTATGTTGCTTGTAAGAGTGCTTGGTTTATTTATTTCTGTTGGTTTATATTTACTGTTCATTCTGTTTATGAAAATAACTTTTTTTGTTTGATTTTTGTTGTTGTTGTTGTTTTTTAATTAAATAGAAATGGGATCTTCCTATGTTGCCCAGACTGGTCTCGAACTCCTGGGCTCAAGTGATCTTCCTGCCTCTACCTCCCAAAGTGCTGAGATTATAGGCATGAGCCACCATGCCTGGCTAGTAACACTTTTTTTTTAATGGCAGAGATTTTAGAGAGTGGACAAGCATGAAGAAGAAATTAACCAGTCAATCATAATCTCACTTCACTTTAATATCTGTTCTTTGTTTTCTGTCATTTTGTTTCTATATAGATATGCTTATCTATCTATACTTTTTGTTTTTATATAGGTTTATACTCCATACACTGAAGTATAACCCAGTTTTTTTTTTTTTTTTTTTTGAGTTGGAGTCTCACTCTGTCGCCCAGGCTGGTGTGCAGTGGCATGATCTTGGCTCACTGCAACCTCTGCCTCCCGGATTCAAGCGATTCTCCTGCCTCAGCCTCCCTAGTAGCTGGGATTACAGGCACGTGCCACCATGCCCAGCTAATTTTTTGTATTTTTAGTAGAGATGGGGTTTCACTCTGTTGGCCAGGCTGGTCTTGAACTCCTGACCCCGTGATCCGCCCACCTTGGCCTCCCAAAGTGCTGGGATTATAGGTGTGAGCCACCATGCCTGGCCTACATTTTTATTTTTAAAAATAAAGTTTCTATTTTTTTAGGCGGGGTCTCATTCTGTTGCCCAAGCTAGAGTGCAGTGGTGTGAACATGGCTCACTATAGCGTCGACCTCCCAGGCCCAAGTAGTCCTTTCACCTCAGCCTCCCAAGTAGCTGGGACCACAGACACACACCAGCCACTCCTGGCTAATTTTTAAATTTTTTGTAGAGATGGCGTCTCCCTATGTTCCCCAGGCTGGTACATTTTTAATAACTGCAATTTCATTGTCTGGGTATACAATAATTTAATCAGTCTCTTATTAATGGACATTAAGGTCATTAAACTTTAGTGTACATTCATGCTTCATACCTTAGATTATCTTATTCACTGAAAAAATTCTGAGTCAAAGGAAGTGGACCTTGTTTTTTTTTTTTTAATAATTGAGATGGGGCCTCCCTATGTTGTCCGGACTGGGGTCTTGAACTCCTGAGCTCAAGTGGTCTGCCCGCTTTGGCCTTGCAAAATCCTGAGATTACAGGCGTGGGCCACCACACCCAGCCCTGGACTTTAAGCCTTTTAATCTACTAGCAAAAACATTATTCTAGTTTTTAATATCATCAGCAATGTATGATTATAATAGAAATAAATGCCCAATGTAGAAAACTGGGAAATATAGGAAAACACAAAGAGTAAATTAAAAATCAGTCTTCACTCTTTTGTTTTTTCTTCAAGCAACAAATGACTTATGATGTT
Source organism: Homo sapiens (assembly GCF_000001405.40). NCBI lineage: Eukaryota > Metazoa > Chordata > Mammalia > Primates > Hominidae > Homo > Homo sapiens. The sequence goes on along the minus strand of NC_000005.10, from coordinate 171,947,223 downwards.
CTTACTATGTGTTAGGCATAGGGCCTGGTAATAGAGGAGTGCACAAAACAGACAAAAAGCCTTGTTGTCTCAGAACCTACATTTTAGTGGTGAAAGAAAATGAGTAAAACGGCCAGGTGCAGTGGCTCACGCCTGTAATCCCAGCACCTTGGGAGGCCAAGGCAGGTAGATCACTTGAGGGCAGGAGTTCAAGACCAGCCTGGCTAACATGGTGAACTCTGTCTCTACTAAAAATACAAAAATTAGCCAGGCGTGGTGGCAGGCACCTGCAATCCCATCTACTTGGGAGGCTGAGGCAGGAAAATTGCTTGAACCCGGGAGGTGGAGGTTGCAGTGAGCCGAGATCCCGCCACTGCACTCCAGCCTGGGCGACAGAGTGAGACTCTGTATCAAAAAAAAAAAAAAAAAAAAAAAAAAAGTAAAGTACACAGGATGTTAGATAGTAATATGTTCTGTGGAGAAAAGGGGGGAATAGAGCACCCCAAGATTTGGGAAGGGCTTCAGTTTTAAATAGAGCGAAGAGGGAAAGCCATTTGAGCAAAGACTTGAAGGAAATGAGGGAGCAAGCTGTGCAGTTATCTGGAGGAAAAGAATCCCAGGTAGAGGGAACAGCAAGTGTACAACAAGCCCCAGAGGTAGGAATGTTTGTGGCATGTTAAAATAGCCAGAAGGCTAATGTCTGGCTGGAATGTGGAATGAGGGAGAAAGTAGTAGGAGATGAAATCAGGGAAGGAAGGAGGAAGGTCATAGAAATTCTGTGGGGCTTCTAGAGTTTCGTAGACTTTGGCTTTTATTCTGCATGAGATGGGAAGTCATTAGAGAATTTTTACCAGAGGGGTCATTGAATGTCTTGACAGGATCCCTCTACCTGCTGTGTAGACATAGAAAGAAGAGGCGGAAGCAGGGAGACCAACTCTAAGATTGATCAGCATGTCAGTCAGGGTTCTCCAGAGAAACAGAATCAATAGTAGATAGATATTTTAGGAAACTGACTCACATGACCATGGGGGCTGGCAAGATTGAATGTTATGAGACAGGCCATTAGGCTGGAAGCTCAGGCAAGATTTCCCTGTTGCAGCCTGGAGGCAAAATTTATCCTTCTCTGGGAAACCCCAGTCTTTTCTCTTAGGCCTTCAATTGACTGGATGAGGCTTACCTACATTATGGTGGGTAATAGACTCAAAGTCTACTGATTGTAAATGTTAATCATACCTAACAATACCCTTACACCAATATCTGCTAATAGATTAGTATTTGACCAAACAACTGGCCATATAACCTAGTCTAGCCAAGTTGACACATAAAATTAACCATCACAAGCAGATTGGAAGGAGGCCACACTTTGGAGTTAGGGATTCAAAATGGAAACAGTTCATGATGAAATGAAAGAAAAGGTGAGTATGAGGTTAGTAAAAATAATATTAATCTTGTTAAGCCAGTATCATTTATAGCATCAATATCTAACAAGAATTTAGTCAGCGGTGATTTGGACTTTGGAGCCTCGGTGTGGTTGGAAGATAAAAATGTGATACGTTTCTACTTGCAATAGTGAAATAGTGAGTGCTTCGCAGAGAACCATTAGTATATAGTGCTCAATTTGTGGAAGAACTATAAGTATGTAGGGAACTTACAGTTAATGAGTACTACATGCCTAAACATGTTACTAAGCTCTTTCCCATATATTATCTTTCTTCACTTTATAAACTTTATAAGCTAGGCACTATTCTGTCTGTTTTATATGTGAGGAAACTGAACTGAGGGAGAGAGAGCTTGTGACCTAAACAGGGGTATCTACCTTCTATGTAGTGGAGCCACGATTCAAACCTAGTCTTTCTAGTTCTATTATACCTTACTGCCTCTTAAAGTAGAAACTATTTTCATAGGGATGATTTTTATATTTTAAGTTGTAAACAGACTTTTCTAAATCCCAGGTCAATTACGCAATAGGAATGCTATTTATGTTGTTATACCAGTAGCTTGCATGATCAGATATCTCCTCTTCAGAGAGACCTTTTCTGACCACCCAATTGAAAATAGCTTCCTGCTTTCCACTGTTATTTTATGTTGCTTTATTTTTTTCCTTCATAGTGCTTAGCACTGTATGAAATTATATTCCATGTTTGTTTGTTTTCCTCCTGTCTGTTGTCTTTTCCCCCACCAGAATCCAAGTTCTATGAGAAAACGGGTCATGTCTTCTTTTTCACTGCTTGGTAAACACATCTGTTTCTAAAACAGTCCCAGCAGGTAGTAGGTGCTCAATAATTATTTACTGAATGAAGAATAAGCATAATAAGCTGGAATGTGAAGGAAAGGCTATTTCTAAGCTTGGTTAGGATTATCTGGTATAATATTATTTGCTGTCATAGTTAGGACTACTTTGGACTTCTTTCTTTGAATTCTGTGAATGTAAGTATTCCTGTGAGTTGAAAGATTATCTTGAAAAAAACTGATTTTGATTTGAAAGTCTTCAAATCAGACTGTATTTTGTTTTGCTTTAAAAAGTTCTCTTTTGATTGTAAAATTAATACTATTTATTATAGACCATTGGGGTAAAAGTGGAAAGAAAAATGAGAAACCACAGTTTATGGAGTACCATTCTTAATATTTTTGGCATGTTTTCTTTTAGTTGTTTTTTTTTTTTTTTTTTTTGAGATGGAGTCTCGCTGTCGCCCAGGCTGGAGTGCAGTGGCGCGATCTCCGCTCACTGCAGGCTCCGCCCTGCCGGGGTTCACGCCATTCTCCTGCCTCAGCCTCCCGCATAGCTGGGACTACAGGCGCCCGCCACCTCGTCCGGCTAATTTTTTGTATTTTTAGTAGAGATGGGGTTTCACCATGTTAGCCAGGATGGTCTTGATCTCCTGACCTCGTGATCCACCTGCCTTGGCCTCCCAAAGTGCTGGGTTACAGGTGTGAGCCACAGCGCCCGGCCTTCTTTTACTTTTAAATCTATGCATATGTTTTACATAGTTGGGATTATTATATATATAATTTATTATATGCATATAAATAGATGTATAATTTTACTTTCTATGCTTTGTATACTTAATAGAATGAGTGTATTAATGTATTCCTATAATTTCTCATAGCATAATTTGACATTGTCTTATATATTTTATGAACTTTCCATAACTTGTCATTTCTTTGGGTGCTTAGAGTCTTTATTCTTAATTATCCAAAAAGCTAATCACCATCTTTGTGCGTAAATCTTTGGCTTCATTTTGAATTAGCTAGGATATATTTCCAGGAGATACATCATATATATCTTGTCAAATTGTTTCCCGGAGTGTTTACGTCTCATTATGCCTTCACTAGGATTGAACATTTTTATTTTGAAAAGCTTTAGCAAGCCTGTTGCTCTGTATAATTTAGTAGCATGCTCTAAATTCAAACCTCTTTACAAGTGGCAACTCTTTCCCCTGAGCAGTTTGAATATATGTTGAGTCAGCTAAGGCATGGCCTACTAAAACAAGATCTAGGCCATGCCCGGTGGCTCACGCCTGTTATCGCAGCACTTTGGGAGGCCGAGGCGGGCGGATCATGAGGTCAGGAGATTGAGACCATCCTGTCCGACTTGGTGAAACCCTGTCTTTACTAAAAATTAGCTGGGTGTGGTGGCGCATGCCTGTAATCCCAGCTACTCGGGAGGCTGAGGCAGGAGAATCGCTTGAACCTGGGAGGTGGAGATTGCAGTGAGCTGAGATCCCACCACTGCACTCCAGCCTGGCGACAGAGCGAGACTCTGTCTAAAAATAAAAACTAAAAAAGAAGATCTGTGCTGCTGTGCTTGGCCAAGAAAAGGATGTCAAGAGATGTCCAAACACCTAACAACAGCCTGCCATTGAGTTGCCTGGCTGCTACAACTAGATTTCAAAATTCAGATCATTCACTTAGAATGGAGTTACTCACAAACTACTTAAGAAAACAGAATCACTCTTATATCTTGGACATATTTATGTACCATGGTTCTGAGTCCTACTATGTCCCATGCCTTATGTTACATGCAGAGAACAAGCTGCCAATTGTTGTAGACAGATTGCATATGAACACTGTCTACCCTAATATAAAGAAGGTTCCTCTCTTTAGAAAACCAACAGTCACTTATTGGCATCCCTGTAAAATCTTTACATTACAGGATGCATCTTAGTTACTTAATTTGGAGTAGAAGGCAAATGTTAAATCCTTCATCTTTAAGACAATAAGAAATGAAAAATTGAGGGTTAAAGTAATGGTAGCTCTGATGATAGTAGATAGGAAGAAACTGTCACCTAATTTGAAAGAAAAAGACTGTCAAAAGAAACATTGCCCAGGGCATCTGGTAGAGTTCACAGAAAAGAGATAGATGGATGAACCCCTTATTTTTAAAAATAATAATTTATTTTTAATTAAATTTAAAAAATTTAATTGATTAATTAATTAATTTTTGAGATAGGGCCTTACTCTGTCACCCAGGCCAGAGTACGGTGGTGTGATCACTGCCCACTGCAGCCTCAACCTCCTGGGCTCAGGTGATCGTCCTACCTCAGCCTTCTGAGCAACTGGACTACAGGTGTGTGCTACCACGCCTGGCTAGTGTTTTTGGATTTTTTTGTAGAGACGGGGTTTCACTGTGTTGCCCAGGCTGGTCTTAAACTCCTGGGCTCAAGTGATCTGCCTGCTTTGGCCTCCCAAAGTGTTAGGATTACAGGTGGTAGCTGTCACAATAGCAATGAGAAAACAGCAATCGCTTTTATGATATTCATTTAAACTAAATCTAACCATAAGGAAACAAAGAACAAACCTAAATTGACAGACTGTGAAACAGCTGGTCTGTAATCTTCAGAAGTGTCAAGGTCGTGGAAGTCCCGCAAAGACCAAATAACTCTTCCAGACTGAAAAAAACTAAAGAAGTGTGACAACTAAAGGCAATGCATCATTCTGAACTGGGTAGCTCTGCTATAAAGGAAATTATCAGGACCTCTGATGAAACTTAAATAAGGGCTGAGAATTAGTTGGCAGTAACCTGTCAGTGCTAATTTACCGATTTGATTCTCGTATTATGACTATGTAGAACATCCTCCTTTGTAGGAAATACACAGTAAAATATTACAGCATGAGAGAAGCATTCGGTCAGCTTTACTTTCAAATTGAGAAACAAAAGGTTCTGTGTGTTATACTAATAACTTTTCTATAAGCTTGAGACTATCTCAAAATAAATAAAAAGCAATATTTCAATGGCTTGTTTACATTAATTATTACCTAACACTTCAAACTATGAGCTCATATCCCCAGGAATAAGTGTGCTAAAAATCCTTTGTGACTTTTTTACCACCACATTTTAATCACATGATCTTAATGAACAAATATTCTCAAACTAGCACTGACTGACACTACAGGTTCATGCGTCTTTCCCAACCTAAAAGTCACAAAGGATTTTTAGCACCTTTATTCCTGGGGATATGAGCTCATAGTTTGAAGTGTTAGGTAATAATTAATGTAAACAAGCCATTGAAATATTGCTTTTTATTTATTTTGAGACAGTCTCAAGCTTATAGAAAAGTTATTAGTATAACACACAGAACCTTTTGTTTCTCAATTTGAAAGTAAAGCTGACCGAATGCTTCTCTCATGCTGTAATATTTTACTGTGTATTTCCTACAAAGGAGGATGTTCTACATAGTCATAATACGAGAATCAAATCGGTAAATTAGCACTGACAGGTTACTGCCAACTAATTCTCAGCCCTTATTTAAGTTTCATCAGAGGTCCTGATAATTTCCTTTATAGCAGAGCTACCCAGTTCAGAATGATGCATTGCCTTTAGTTGTCACACTTCTTTAGTTTTTTTCAGTCTGGAAGAGTTATTTGGTCTTTGCGGGACTTCCACGACCTTGACACTTCTGAAGATTACAGACCAGCTGTTTCATAGTCTGTCACTTTAGGTTTGTCCTTTGTTTCCTTATGGTTAGATTTAGTTTAAATGAATATCATAAAAGCGATTTCTGTTTTCTCATTGCATCCTCTCAGGTAGTACATAATATTGATTTCTCTCATTCAGAATGGTGATCACTTAGATCACTTGAGTAAGGAAATGTCTATCAAGCCTTCTTCATTGTAAAGTTATTCTTTTTCCCTTTGTAATTATGCATTGGGTGGGGAGGTACTTTGAAACTCCACAAATATCCTGTTTTCATCAGAATTTCAGTTTTTCATTTATTCTATCAGTATACACCTATATTTTCCTATTTTATTCAGTACGTTATTTTAATCTTTTATTATCATTATTTATTTCGATGGTCAGAGTGTTTAAAGTTTAGGCAGTGGGTGCCTTTTCAGGTCAGCGTCTGTATCTTTTTTTTTTTGAGACGGAGTCTTGCTCTGTCGCCAGGCTGGAGTGCAGTGGTGCAATCTCGGCTCACTGCAACCTCCATCTCCCAGGTTCAAGGGATTCTCCTGCCTCAGCCTCCTGAGTAGTGGGATTATAGGCGTGTGCTACCACGCCTGGCTAATTTTTGTATTTTTAGTACAGACGGGGTTTCACTGTGTTGGTCAGGCTGGTCTCGAACTCCTGACCTCTTGATTCGCCTGCCTTGGCCTCCCAAAGTGCCGGGATTACAGACATGAGCCACCGCACCCAGCCTGTCTGTATCCTTTTGATCTGTTCTCATAATTGTTTAAGTACTTCCTTATTTTCTGTTGCAACATGTTCCAGGCTTATCTTGTATTTTCCCACTCTCAGCCTTGGAACCAGCCATTTCTCCGAAGAGCCTTGTTTCCTTTCACTGAGGAATGGTATTAGATCTGGGTGGCAAGTGTGCTTAGTGCTACTGGAATGTCATTGCTTCTAGGCCCTCTCAGCCAACTGTGTTAGGAAATGTATGTATAATTTTTTGTCTATATAAAAATACTTCCCTCCTTGTTCTATGTATTAGAAACTGTGAGTCCATACTGATATATCCAATTCTAGTCTAGTCTCACAGATCTCATTCTAGCCTTCCAGAAGGAAACCCTTTTCATATTTAGTACTCGCTTCTCTAACAGTGAGAAACCTGACTCCGGTTTTCCACAATATATTTACTCACTTGCTCAACCCCAGAATGCATATCAAGTAGTTTTAGAATTACAGTGGGCCCTCCGCATTCCATGGATTCAATCAACCTAGGATTGAAAATATTTGGGAGAAAAACCAATAAAAATAATAATATAACAGTAAAAAATAATACAAATAAAAATACAGTAGAACAACTATTTACATAGCTTTTACTTTTTTTTGGAATTATAAGTAGTCTATAGAGATTTAAAGTATATGAGAGGATGTGCTTAGGTTACATGCAAATACTATTCCACTTTATATAAGGAATTTGAGCACCAGTCGATTTTGATATCCATAGCGGGAAGAGTGTGTGTATCCTGAAACTGATGCCTGAGGATGACACTGAGGGATGACACGCCTTGCAAACATCACTGAAAAATACATGTACTAACACTAGCCATACTAAAGATTCTTTACAGTTTTCTTTCTTTCTTTCTTTTTTTTTTTTTTTTTTTTTTGAGACAGGGTCTTGCTGTGTAGCCCAGGTTGGAGTGCGGTGGCACGATCTCAGCTCACTGCAGCCTCCACTCCTGGGATCAAGTGATCCTCCCCACTCAGCCTCCTAAATAGCTGGGACTACAGGCACATGTCACCATGCCCTGTTAATTTTTGTCATTTTTCTTAGAGACGGGGTCTTGGCATGTTGCACAGGCTGGTCTTGAACTCCTAGGCTCAAGTGATCTGCCTGCCTTGGCTTCCCAAAGTGCTGGGATTACAGGTGTAGCCACCACGCCTGGGGATTTCTTTATAGTTCTTAAAAATAATGTTTATGACTGTGTAGTCCCATTACTGAGTTCAAGAGTCACTTGGGTGGGTTTTCACCCTCTTCCATTAAGTATGATTATGTTATTCATTTGTTTCTGCTGATGTATTACATCTCTCTTTCTCAGTTTTTGTTTATTTTTGGTTTATTTATTTTTGAGACAGAGTCTTGCTGTCACCCATGCTGGAGTGCAGTGGCATGGTCTTGGCTCACTGCAACCTCTGCCTCCCGGGTTCAAGTGATTCTCCTGCCTCAGCCTCTCAAGTAGCTGGTATTACAGGTTCCTGCCACTACGCCCCACTATTTTTTTTTGTATTTTTAGTAGAGATGAGGTTTCACTATGTTGGCCAGGCTGGTCTTAAACTCCTGACCTCGTGATCCACCTGCCTCAGCTTCCCAAAGTGCTGGGATTACAGGTGTGAGCCACTGCGCCTGGCCTATCTTTGCTTATTTTTTACACAAAAGGTAGTATACAGTATATATTCTTTTGCACTTTGCCTTTTCACCTAAAGGTGTATACTGAAAGTTATTCTATATCAGTCAACAGGGGCCTTCCTTATTCTTTCTTATGGCTGCATAGTACTCTGTTGTGTTCATATGCCATAGTTTATTCAGCCAGTGTCTTTCGTATGAGCATGTAGGTTGTTTCCATTTTTTTTGAAATTACAAACAATGACTGAATAACCTTGTATATATGTATTTTCATATTGTTACTGAATTAGTGTATCTTCAGGGAGAATTCCTGTAAGTGGAATTGCTGATCAAAAAGTAAATGCACAATTAGTTTTGTTAAATATTAACAAATTTTCTTCCAAAAGGGTTGTGACACATTTGCCTTCCCACCAGAAATACACAAGAGCACCTATTTCCTCACTGCTTCATTGACTGAATGTGTTATCAATTCTACATATTTGCCAATATGTTAAGTGAGAAATGTGTAGCTTTAATTTGCATCTCTTTAATTATGAGTAAATCTGAACATCTTTTCCTATTTAAGGGTCATGTTATGTTTTTTGAAAATCTGTTTATGGCCAGGTGCAGTGGCTCACGCCTGTAACCGCAGTGATTTGGGAGGCTGAGGCTGGGGATTGCCTGAGCCCAGGAATTCAAGACCAGCCTGGGCAACATAGGGAGACCCTGTCTCTACAAAATATAAAAATAAATTACCTGGGCATGGTGGCATGCATGTGCCTTTGGTCCCAGCTCCATGGGAAGCTGAGGTGGGAGGATAACTTGAGTCTGGAAGAGTGAGGCTGTAGTGAGCTATGATCGTGCCACTGCACTTCAGGCTTGGCGACAGAGTGAGACTGTCTCAAAACAAAACAAAGTTTGATTATGACTTTTCCTCATTTTCTTATTGGGATTTTGGTGTTTTTTTTACTTCCCTCAATTTAAAGAAATTTTTAGGGATATTAGTTCTTTTATTTGTGACATAGGCTGCAAATTTTTTTTCCAGTTTGTCATTTAAGGTTTAGTTTATGGTAGTTAATAAAAATGCTGTGCAAAAGTTTAAAATTTTTATCTAGTTTAAATTTTCCTTTTTTTTTTTTTTTTGCTTTTTTTTGAGCCAAGGTCTCATTCTCTCACCTAAGTTGGAGTACAGTGGCACAATCATGGTTCACTGCAGCTTCAACCTCCCAGGTTCAAGTGATCCTCTTACCTCAGCCCCCTGTGTAGCTGGGACTACAGGCGTGTGCCACCATGCCTGGCTAATTTTTGTATTTTTTAGTAGAGGCGGGGTTTCACCATGTTGATCAGGCTGGTCTTGAACTCCTGAGCTCAATGATTTTGGCCTCCCAAAATGCTGGGATTACAGGTGTGAGCCACTGTATCCGGCCCCCACTGCGTTTTTATAAATAAAGTTTTATTGGAGCACAGCCACACTCATTCACTTACATATCATCTGTGGCTGCTTTCATCCTATAACAGAAGAGTTGAGTAGTTGTGACAAAATCAGTGAGTCCTGCAAAGCTCAAAATATTTACATCTGACCCTTTACAGAAAAAGCTTGCCAACCCTACTCTGGAGTATTTGTGTATTCATGTGCTATGAAAGTATCTTGCTTTTCAGTAGAGAGGCTTATTTATGGTGTATTTTGATGTCTGGTAGGACTGATTCCCCACTTTTCTTTTTTTGTATTTTTTACTGAATACTCATGTAAGTTTGCTTTTGAATATGAACTTGAGTATCATTTTGTCTAGCTCCATAAAGAATTTTCTTGTGGGGTTATTGGGGAAATGTTAAACTTATAAATTAGGGAGAACTGTCATCTTTCGAATGTTGAGTTCTCTTATCCAACAATAGTTATGAAGAAAAGAATAGAGAAACCTGTCAAAGAATTAAATCAGAAAAATGTATCAGGTCAGTGTGGATTCACAGAGAATTCCACCAGACCTTTAAAGAACAAATGGGCCAGAAGCTCTATAAATTGTTCCATAACATTGATTGAAGGAATTGTTCTTCTTTTTCTAGGAATTGCTTTTAGTTTTATTATCTTTTGATCAGAGGCTCTTATTTTCTAATTTTTCTTTTTTATTGAACTTATTTCTTTGTGATCTAATATATGATAAGCTTTCAGAAATTTTTTACACGTGCTGGAAAAGCAAGTTTAGTCTGTGTAAACAGGTTATCATATCCTGTAAGACCTGCCTGCCTTACTGATGCTTATGAATTTTTATTTTTTGTTTTCTTGAGCTGTCTTGTAGTGAGAGTAGTGTGTATAGTGTATTTATATCCATGTCTCTCTGCATTTCTTTTAGTTTGTTTCTGTTCATGATGTGCTTTCTTTGCTCTTTTATTTTTGAAATTTCTTTTTATAGAGAGGTTTGTATTTTTGTTAGTTTTAATTATAATTTTTGTAATGCCTCTATTTCCTGTTTTTTTTTTTTTTTTTGGTGAGACAGGCTCTCACTATGTTGCCCAGGCTGGAGTGCAGTAGCATGATCATAATTCAGTGTAGCCTCAAACTCCTGGGCTCAAGTGATTGGGGCCGCCCGCCTCAGCCTACCAAGTCACTGGGACTACAGGTGCGGGCTACCACATCTGGCTAATTTTTAAATTTTTTTAAGAGATGGGTCTTGCTGTGTTGCCTAGCTGGTCTTGAACTCCTTGGCTCATGGGATCCTCCCATCTTGCCTTCCCAAAGTGTTGGGATTACAGGCATGAGCTACTGCACCTGGCCTGCAGTTTTAAAGTTGTGTTATTTCTTTGTCTGAATATGACATGTGATTCTTCTGTTATCTTCAGACTTGTTTTATTCTTTTTTTTTTTTTTTTTTTTTTTAGATGGAGTCTAGCTCTGCTGCCCAGGCTAGAGTGCAGTGGCACAATCTTGGCTCACTGCAACCTCTGCCTCCCAGGTTCAAGCAGTTCTCCTATCTCAGCCTCCCGAGTAGCTGGGACTACAGGCACCCGCCACCATGCCTGGCTAATTTTTGTATTTTTAGTAGAGATGGGGGTTCACCATATTGGTCAGGCTTGTCTCGAACTCCTGACCTCAGGTGATCAGCCCGCCTTGGCCTCCCAAAGTGCTGAGATTACAGGTGCGAGCCACAACACCTGGCTCAGACTTGTTTATTCTTAGAGCCATAATTGTTTTAAATGTTTACCATTAATTTTTTTGACAATTTTTTGCATCATCTCAGGATTACTCAAGGAAACCTTTACCCTTTATTTTCTAAAATTTTGGAAGATGCTGCTCCACTGATGCCTTGCTTGGTGTGTTGTTTCGAGAAGTTTGATGCCAATCCAATTAATGCTCTTTCTCTTTAAAGGTTTCTTCTTAAATTAAAAAAAAAATTTGGGGTGGGGATTGAAAACATTTTTTCTTTATTTTTAAAGTCTAACAATTGTCTTAGGATATCTCTTGGAGTTTATTGCTGTGGGCCAGTTTCCCCTATTACCTGGAGCCCCTTTCAACATGTAGTTCAGGTTTCCTTTTATCTCTGGAAAGCTTTTTGAATTATCGTTTTTTTTTCTTTTTAAATAACAGCTTTATTGAGACATAACTCAAATATTGTAAATTTACACATTTAAAGTGTACAATTCAGTGATTTTTAGTATAGTCACAGAGTTGTATAACCAGTGCCACAGTCAGTTTAGAACATTTGTATCACCACCAAAAGAAACACGCTACCGGCTGGGCGCGGTGGCTCACGCCTGTAATCCCAGCACTTTGGGAGGCCGAGGTGGGCAGATCACGAGGTCAGGAGATCAAGACCGTCCTGGCTAACACGGTGAAACCCCGTCTCTACTAAAAATACAAAAACAAAATTAGCCAGGCGTGGTGGCAGGCGCCTGTAGTCCCAGCTGCTCGGGAGTCTGAGGCGGGAGAATAGCATGAACCCAGGAGGCGGAGCTTGCAGTGAGATCAAGCCACAGCACTCCAGCCTGGGCTACAGAGCGAGACTCCGTCTCAAAAACAAAACAAAAAACAAACAAAAAAAACCACTGTACCCTTAGGCTGTCATTCCCTATATCCCTCACCCATCCAACCCTAGGAACCGCTTGGATTATAGTTTTAAAGGTTATTTTTATTTTATTTTTTTCTTTAGAAACTCCAATTATATTTAGGTTGGATCTCCTTTGTTTTCCATGTTAACTACTTTCTCACTGCCCATATTGCTTATTTCTTCATCTCATTTTTATTCTCTTGGGTTGTTTTCTTGCTTGTCTTCAATGTTTCCTAATAATTTTCTATTTTTTTTTTTTTTTTTTGAGACAGGGTCACACTCTGTCACCCAGGCTGGAGTAGGGTGGCGCTATCTTGGCTCGCTGCAACCTCTGCCTCCCGGGTTCAAGCAATTCTTGTGCCTCAGCCTCCCAAGTAGCTGTAACTTCAGGTGTGCACCACCACACCTGGCTAATTTTTGTATTTTTAGTGGAGTTGGGGTTTCACCATTTTACCCAGGCTGGTCTTGAACCCTGGCCTCAAGTGATCTGCATGCCTCGGCCCCCAAAGTGCTGGGATTACAAGGCATGAGGCAATGTGCCCAACCTACTTTTCAAATTTTTAAAATTTTCATTTGCTTTATCTGTTTTGGGGGTATTTTAATGTATTCTTGTTTGTTATAATTTTGTTTTTATTTTTTGAGTTAGGTCAATTCTTATTACATTTCTTCTGGTTTTTGGTACATTTCTGTCTTAAGTTTTCAATTTCTGATTCAGTGTTTCAGAGTGTTTTTAAGTAACATCACATGCCTGTTTGATCATATTTAAATCAGTTTGCAGTAGCTCTTTTCAACCAGGTTTCTCAAAAACAGTATGCGCTTACGCACTAAGGCATACATTGTATATAGTGAATTAATGTCTCTCATACATGACAGGAATGGTATTATCTATGTACCATCCTTAGGGAAATTAAGAAAACTGTCTGCAAAATTACTCTCATAAGGGCTTCATGATCTCACAGAACCTTAGTTAAGAAAGGCTTGTTTGGGATGTTGTTTAGTTCTCTCTGTTTTTCCCTCCTTCCCTTACTCCCTGCCTCTTCTTTTATATGTAGGAGTTTAATGAACTTTTCCCTGTATAGTTTTTTTTTTAAATAGATGAAAATTGCATGTGTCTCTACATTTTTTTGAGACAGACCTGGCAGTTTGAGGTAGTTTAAGTTGATAAGATTCCTAGCTTAAGAGCATTCCTTATCAAAGTATTATTTCTTTACTGCATGGCTTCCTTTGCAGGATAAGCAGGTGATGGTGGGAGGAAAGGCTTTGTATCCTTTGGATGTTATTAAAAATTCTTTTCTTGCAGGATCCTAGAATACTTCCTCCTGGGATTCTAGGATCCCTTCTACCCACATACACACACAACCTCTTACAATGTGGGCATCCCATACCACAGGGATACATTTGATGCAATGGATGAGCCTACCTTGACACACCATTATCACCCGAAGTCCATAGCTTATATTAGGATTTATTCTTGGTGTTGTACATTCTTTGGGTTTGGACAGATATAATAACATGTTTCCATCATTGCAGTATCATACAGAATAGTTTCACTGCCCTAAGAATTCTATGTGTGCTTCCTATCCATCCTTCCTGACAATCACTAATTGTTTTAATGTCTCCATAGTTTTGCCTTTCCCAGAATGTCATCTAGTTGGATCACACGGTGTGTAGCCTTTTCATATTGGCTTCTTTCACTTAATAATAGATGTTTAAGTTTCCACCAGGTTTTTTGATGACTTGATGCCTCATTTCATTGGATGACATTCAATTGTCTGGATGTACCACACTTTTTTTTTTTTTTTTTTTTTTTTGAGAGAAGGTCTTGCTTTGTTTCCCAGGCTGGAGTGCAATGGTGTGATTGTGGCTCACTGAAGCCTCAACCTCCTGGGCTTAAGCAATCCTCCCACCTCAGCCTCACAAGTAGCTGGAACAACAGGTGCATTCTACCTTGCCTGACTAAATTTTTTTTTTTTTTTTTTTTTTTTTTGGTAGAGGCAGAGTCTCCCTATGTTGTTCAGTCTGGTCTCAAGTCCTGGGCTGGAGAGTCTCCTGCCTTGGCCTCCCAAAGTGCTGGGATTACATGCATGAGCCACTGTGCCTGGCCCTACCACAGTTTATTCATTCACCTATTGAAGAACATTTTGGCTGCTTCCAAGTTTTAGCAGTTATGTGTAACTGCTGCTATAAACAGCCATGTTAAGGTTTTTCTGTGGATATTAGTTTTCACTTCATTTGGACAAGTAAAAAAGAGGATGAATATTAGATTGTTGGGCAAGAGTATATATAGTTTTGTAAGAAACTGCCAAATTGTCTTCCAAAGTGACTGCACCAGAGTAGGGTGAATATAGTTACAAAAATGTGTTGTACTTTGGTGATGGGAACCCTAAATACCTTGACTTCATCACTACACATTATATACATGTAACAGAATTTCACATCTACCCCATAAATTTGTACAAATTAAAAAAAATAAAGTGGCCTTACTATTTGATATTTCTACCAGCAATGAATGAGAGTTCCTATAGCTCCACATCTTCTCCAGCATTTCATGGTGTTTGCATTTTGGATTTTGGCCATGCTGATAGATGTGTTGTGGTATTTTGTTTTAATTTGTATTTACCTGATGACTTATGAAGAGATGCTCCATATTCCATGTTTATTTGTCATCTGTATATCTTTTCTGGTGAAGTGACTGTTAAGGTTTTTGGCCCATTTTAAAAATTGTGTTGTTTACTTTTTTCTTGTTGAGTTTGAAGAATTGTTTCTAGGCCAGGCATGGTGGCTCACACCTATAATCCCAGCACTTTGGGAGGCTGAGGCAGATGGATTAGTTGAGCCCAGAAGTTCGAGACCAGCTTGGGCAACATGGCAAGACCTCATCTCCACAAAATATACAAAAATTAGCCACGTATGGTGGTGTACCCCTGTGGTCGCAGCTACTCTGGAGGCTGAGGTGGGAGGATCACTTGAGCCTGGGAGGTTGAGGCTGCAGTGAGTGGTGATTGCATCACTGCACTGCATTGTGGGTGACAGAGTGAGACCCTGTGAGAGAGAGAGAGAGAGAGAGAGAGAGAGAGAGAGGGAGGGAGGGAGGGAGGGAGGGAGGGAGAGAGAGAGAGAGAGAGAGGAGAGAGAGAGAGAGAAATTGTTTCTGTATTTTGGATAACAGTCCTTTGTCATATATGTTTTTTGCAAATATTTTCTCTGAGTTTGTGGCATATTTTTTCAATTCTCTTGACAGTGTCTCTCAGAGATTTTTATTTTTAATGAAGTCCAGCTTAATAATTCTTCATGGATTGTGCCTTTGATATGTCTAAGAAAGTAATCAACAAACCTAAGATCATCTAGATTTTCTCCTATGTTATCTTTTAGGAGTTTTAGAGCTTTCCATTTTCCATTTAGGCTTGTAATCTGTATTCAGTTAATTTTTGTGAAATGTGTAAGCTGAGTGTCTAGATTCATTTTTTTTGCATATAGATGTCCATTTGTTGATGAGACTCTTCATCGTATTGACTTTGCTCCACAGTCAAAGATGAGTTGACTGTATTTGTGTGGGTCTATTGTGTGGGCCCTCAGTTCTATTCCATTGACCTAGCTCTGTATTCTGTTGCCAGTACCACACTTTCACTTTCGTGAATACTGTAGTTTTGTAGTGCCTTTTGAAGTCAGACAGTATCATTCCTTGAACTTTGTTCTCCTTCAGTTGTGTTTGTTATTATTTATTTATTTTGAATTATTTATTTTTTTTAGCCTCTCCATGTAAACCTTAGAGTCATTTCAATATCCACAAAGTAACTTGCTGGATTTTGATAGAGATTGTATTGAATCTATAGATCCAGTTGGGAAGAACTGATGTCTTGACCTTATTGAATCTTCCTTTCCATGAACATGGAATATCTCTTCATTAATTTAGTTCTTTGATTTCCTTCATCAGGATTTTCTAGTTTTCCTTACAGATATCTTGTGTATATTGTTAGATTTATACCTAATTATATCTATAGGTGTTTATGTAAATGGTAATATGTTTTTAATTTCACATTTCATTTGCTCATTGCTGGTATATAGGAAAGTGATTGACTTTTTGTATATAAACTGTGTATACTGCAGATCTGCCATAATCACTTATGAGTTCCAGGGGCTGTTTTGTTAATTCTTTCAGTTTTTCTTTTTTTTTTTTTTATTTTTTTATTTTTTATTTTTTATTTTTTATTTATTTTTTTTATTGATCATTCTTGGGTGTTTCTCGCAGAGGGGGATTTGGCAGGGTCATAGGACAATAGTGGAGGGAAGGTCAGCAGATAAACAAGTGAACAAAGGTCTCTGGTTTTCCTAGGCAGAGGACCCTGCGGCCTTCCGCAGTGTTTGTGTCCCTGGGTACTTAAGATTAGGGAGTGGTGATGACTCTTAACAATTCTTTCAGTTTTTCTACATAGACAATCATGTCACCTGTGAACCAAAACAGTTTTCTTTCTTCTCAATCTGTATATTTTTTATTTCCTTTCCTTGTCTTATTGCATTAGCTAGAACTTAGAGGATGATGTTGAAAACCAGTGTTGAGAGGGAACATTCTTACCTTGTTCCTGATTTTAGTGGGAAGGTGTCAACTTTTTCACTAATACGTATGATGTTAGCTGTAGGTTTTTTGCAGGTGTTCTTTATCACGTTGAGGAAATTCTCCTCTATTTGCCTTTTGTTTGTACACTCCTTTCTCCTAAAAACTGATCTTTTGAAGACTGCCTTTTTGCATCTTGCATCCTCTTTATCTGTAATCAACTCTGAACTAGCAGGACGCTTTTTAAGTATTTTCATACATAATGTGATTTTATGTCAATCTTTTATCTGCTGCTCGTTTCCTTCTTTTTTTATTCTGCACAGTTTTCCTGAACTGCCCTTGATCTTCATGAAGATTTATGGCTGGAGCATAAGGATGTACTAGGATTTAAATTTCTACTTATGTTCTGTGCCTTTTAGTTATACTGAGAGCTTGAGCTTTACGTAGCTTCATTTTTTTTGTCAGTCTTTGTGTCCTGTGAATTCACTAATATCCCATCACTTTTATTTTTTAATTTTTATTTTTATGTTTTATTTTTGAGACAGAGTCTCGCTCTCTCGCCTAGGCTGGAGCGCAGTGGTGCGATCTTGGCTCTCTGCAACCTCCGCCTCCCGGGTTCATGCCATTCTCCTGCCTCAGCCTCCCGAGTAGCTGGGACTACAGGCGCCTGCCACCATGCCCGGCTAATTTTTTTGTATTTTTAGTAGAGATGGGGTTTCACCACATTAGCCAGGATGGTCTCGATCTCCTGACCTCGTGATCTGCCCACCTCGGCCTCCCAAAGTGCTAGGATTACAGGCCTGAGCCACCACGCCCGGCCATCCCATCACTTTTATTTTGTAGATTCAGCAGGATTTTCTAGTTAGACAGTCATACCATCTACATTCTTTTTGTTATTTATGTTTTTATTTCTTTTTCTTGCTCTGTTGCATTGACTATAGTGAAACTTGTGATTTTCAATTTCAAGTTCACGAATTTTCAATTTTTTAAATTATTGATTGGTTTATTATTATTTTTTTTTGAGACAGGTCTCACTCTGTCACCCAGGCTGTAGTGCAGTGGTGCGATCTTGGCTCACTGTAACCTCCTCCTTGAGGGTTCAAGTGATTCTTGTGCCTCAGCTCCTGAGTAGCTGGAATTAGAGGCGCGTGCCACCACACTGGCTCATTTTTTAAATATTTTTAGTAGAGATGGGGTTTTACCATGTTGCCAGGCTGGTCTTGAACTCCTGACCTCAAATGATCCACCCACCTTGGCCTCCTAAAGTGCTGGGATTACAGACTTGAGCCACTGCCCAGCCTATTTTTTATTTTTTTTTTAGATGGAGCTTGCTCTGTCACCCAGGCTGGAGTGCAGTGGCACGACCTCAGCTCACTGCAGCCTCCATCTCCCAGGTTCAAGTGATTCTCCTGCCTCTGCTTCCCAAGTAGCTGGGATTACAGGCACATGCCACTATGCCCAGCTAATTTTTGTATTTTTAGTAGAGACGGGGGTTGACTGCATTGGCCAGGCTGGTCTTGAACTCCTGACCTCAAGTGATCTGCCTGCCTTGGCCTCCCAAAGTGCTGGGATTACAGGTGTGAGCCACTGTGCCCGGCTCAAATTCACAAATTTGAATTCACACTAGAAGTGTGAATGGATATTCTAGCTTTGTCCTTCAGGACAAGGGGAAAATGTTCCATCTTTAAACATTAAGTATGATGATGTTTCATTATATGACCTTTATCATATTGAGGAAGTTATCTGAGTGTTTTTAAGCATGAATAGATGTTGAATATTGTCAAATGCTTGAAATGCACCGATTACAATCTTCCATTCTGTCCCGTTGGTCTATACATATGTCTTCATGCTAGTTCCACAGTTTTGGTTACAATAGCTTTGTAGTAAATTTTGAAACCAGCTTTTCAAAGCTGATTGAAGTCCAGTTTAATTCTTGTGTTTCAAGATTATGTTGTCTGTTCTGAGTCCCTTGAGATTGCTAATGAATTTTATGGTTGATTTTGCTACTTACGCAAAAAACATCGTTGGGTTTTTTTAGGGATTGCATTAAATCTGTAGATAGTTTTGGGTGGTACGAAGATCTTAATATTAAGTCTTGCAATCCATGAACATGAATTGTGTTTTCTATTATTTGTCTCTTTGATTTTTTCTGCAATATTTTATACTTTTCAGTTAGTCATATTTTCTATAAATTTAAAGAAAAGAAATTAATGTATATGCACTCTCATTTTTACTATTTTTCTTTTCAGTTATGTCTTCATTCCTTTACTATATCCAATTTTTCTTTTCTTTTTGTCTGAAGAACTTTAACGTTTCTTGTAGTGAAGGTTTGAGAATTAGATCAGAGTCCTGGAAGCCAAGTGAATGAAGTATATCAAGAAGATGGAAGTGCTCAACCTTGCTGATCGGTGAAGAAATAGGAGGAATAAGAATTGACCCTTAGATTTAATAACTTGTAGTATGAAGTCTTTTCTGATGAAAACAAATGATTATTAGTCAAGGAATTCGCAAAGGAAATTCAGTTCAGCCATCCTTTTGGATCTCATGGATTTCTAAATTTGACCAAGAGGTAATTGTCAGAGTAGGCATGAAGGTTCATTACAGTGTTGTGTTTAATAGTAAAAAATGTAATGTTTGTTACTACTTGTATTGAGTAAGGAAATTATGGGATGAAGTGAACTGTAGCCCTTAAAAATGAAAACGTAGAACTACAATGATGTGGAAAGATGTGCATGACACATGGAAAAAACAGTTAACCGAAGAGCATGTTTTAAACAATTTTCACTTACATATATGCAGTTTTCAGTCTGTGTACCAAAATGGTCCAGTGGTCATCCCTAGGTGGCAGTATTTTGGTTGATTTTTCCTTTTTAAAAAAACTTCATTTGTGTATTTTCTTTTGTGATGTGCCTGTGGAAGTCTTTTGCTCATTTAAAAATTTAGTATGTGTGTGATTGTGATTCTTCCTTGGTTTGAAGTGAGTTAAAAAAAATTCTGTGTGTATTGCCACTCTTTTCTTGCTCTGTAAGTTGCCTTTTTTCTTCTACATCTAGTTCCTTTGAAAGAATTGAGGTATATTGTGGTATATTTTGCATATCACAAAACTAATCCACATATGTAGTCCAGTGATGCATCATCACCATAAATCAGTTTTCAAGCATTTTCAATCTCTGAATGTTTTCAATGAACAGAAATTATTTTAATATAGTCTGATTTATTACATTGTTCTTTGTGGTTAGCAGTTGTGTATTGTTTAAAAAAGTTTTGCCTATTCCCAGGTCTTGAGGATGTCCTATGGCTTCTTCTAAAAGCTTTACTGCTTTGTCTTTTACACTTAGATCTTCAGTCTATCTAGAATGGATTTTTTTTTGTATTTCTTTGTATGCATGTGAGAGGGTAGGGCCCAAAATATGTTAAGAATATCTAGTTGATAGAGTCTTTTATTTAAAAGACCATTCTTTTCCCACTGCACTGAAGTGTGTAGCTAATATTTATCAATAGATATTTATTATACCTCTGTACTTAAGTAGTATGCTGGGAATTATTCTAAGTGCTAAGGATACAGATTGAATAATACAACCAAATATCTCTGCCTTATGGAAGTTAAATTTGACTAAAGGAGCCTCTATTAGTCTGTTCTCACACTGCTATAAAGAAATACCTGAGATTGGGTAATTGATAAGGAAATGGGGTTTAATTGGCTCATGGTTCTGCAGGCTATATAGGAAGCATGGCAGCGTCTGCTTGGCTTCAATTATGGCAGAAGGCGAAGGGGAAGCGGGCACTTCGTGTGGCCGGAGCAGGAGGAAGAGAGAGTGGTGAGGTGCTACTTTTAAACAATCAGGTCTCGTGAGAACTCACTCACTCATGCCACGACAGCACCAAGGGGGTTGGTGTTAAACCATGAGAAACCGCTCCCATGATTCAGTCACCTCCCACCAGGCCTCACCTTCAACAATGGGGATTACAATTTGACAAGAGGTTTGGGTGGGGACACAGATGCAAACTGTGTCAGAGCCCTGCTTGGGTGCCAGGATTATCTCTTAAAATTTTCTCACTTACTCTGCCAGGGAGGCCCTGTTTTCACCTCAGTTTTGTGGATGAGGACATAGGCACAGAGAGGTCAAGTGGAATACAGCACTGCTGGACCTTTCAGTAAGAGTTTCTGTTTCCCTAGACCACAGCATATATATCTGGGGTCTTGGTGTGAATCTTTTACTTACTTTTAAAGTTTAACTTCAAAATCACTTTTCCTTGCTGTTAAAAAGATACGTGTGTACTTTAAGGAAAATTTAGGTAGGATAAGTAAGCAAAAATCAAATAAAAATTACAGAGATAATATTGTAAGCACATGGTTGCTTTTGTAAATAGTAAAATAAATTTTATTTGTAAAGATGAGATTGTACAGATATATTGTGACTTGCTTTTTTCCCACTTAAAATAGTTTAGGCCTTTTCCCCTATCATTGTTCTTCTAAAATAGTGTTTCCCTGACTTTGGGCAGTTTGAGTACAAACCTCACAATTTTTGACATGTCTGCACACCATTTGTTCTTTTACCTGCTGACCATGTTTTAAAAATCTACTTTGTAAAGTAAATCAGAAAAGGGAACTGTAATCACTACATGACTGGAAAATCAGTGGTGCTTACTGGCGTAGATTAGTGTAAAAGTAAATACCATTAAAAAACCCCAACCTGGGCAACATACTGAGATCTTGTCTCCATAAAAGAAAAATAAAAAAATTAGCCAGGCACGGTGGCATGCACCTGTGGTCCCAGCTACTTGGGAGGCTGAGGCTGGAAGATTGCTTGAGCTCAGGAGACTGAGGCTGTAGTGAACCATGATCATGCCACTGCACTATAGCCTGAGTGACAGGACAAGACTTTGTCTCAAACAAAATAAAACAAAACGAAAAACCAAAAACCCATATGACGTTTTAGCCAGATACTGTTTTTTTTGTTTGTTTGTTTGTTTGTTTTTTACAGAAAATTGAACAGTAGCCTGGCTCTTTTTGTTAAAAACAGGTGATGGCAGATATTAGAGAGGTGTGAAAATATCTTTTGATGAAATTAGAATTGAAAGCAAACTGAAAAGGTAGTAACTTTTAGTATGGGATTTATTATACTCTGCTAACCTTTAGCAGGGTTTTTCAGGGGTTTTCAATGTAAGAAATGAAATTTATGTTTATACCTAGTGTGTGTGTGGTAATTTTTATATATATGCATGTGATGCAGGATGTTTTCTGTGCTGCTTCGCCAGCTGGAGACTTTGCAGCTGGCAGTGCCCCTGCCCAGGGCCGCGCTCCGCCCTGGGCTTGCTGTTGGAGGTATCTTGCCCACTTGGCCTGGTGGGCTGCTCTTAGCGCCCTGGCCCTGATCCCGCACTCAGTCTGTGCCGGGGCCAGGCGTGCTGTAGCCTGCTTCTGCCTTGGGCACCGGCATCTAGACAAGGGGGAATGCGGTGGCACTTGAAACTTTTGGAGACACCAGCATCCGCGTGACCCCAAAGAGGGTGTTACAGCATGTCGCAACTCTGGCTCTGGGAGTGGCGAGGTCTGGGGCCCCAGAAGGGTTGTAGCTCTTCTCTCCTCTCTGCAGCACTACCAATCAGCGGGGGTGGGGGGGTGGGACGTGTTTCAGCCCACTTATGTTACAGCTCATTTAATCCTGTCGCCCTGCTCTGGCCCACGGCTCCTGGGCTGGCCTGGCCCCGTGGCTGCTTCCTGTCATGCGGGGCTGCTGCCTGGCACCGGCAGAGGGTGGAGGGCTACAGTATTACAGCGTTTTACCTACCCATGTTCGGTAGGTCCTGAGTTCTTGTCCCGCATCCAAGAAGAATGAGGTTATGCTCACAACCAGAGGGTGAGCAGGGCGGAAAGTTTTATTGAGCGACAAAACAGTTCTCAGCGGAGAGGGCACTCAAAATGGGCATAGTCCCCCAGTGTGGCTGAGTTCAGGGTTTTTAATAGTCACAGAATGGGAGAGGTGCGGGCAGTAAGTAGCATTGGAAAAGGCAATGTTTGATTAAAAGGCATTATCCAGAAAGAAACAATTGGGAAAGAGCTGGCAAACAGGAATAGAAATTCTCACTCTGGGTCGTGGGCTTCATCCAGAACCAGCAGCCTTGTCTTCAGGCTTCAGGCTGTTTTTAGCTTGAAGGTGGGGTTTTGGCTGGGTGCAGTGGCTCATTCCTGTAATCCCAGCACTTTGGGAGGCCGATGTGGGTGGATCACGAGGTCAGGAGTTCAAGACCAGCCTGGCCAACATGGTGAAACTCCATCTCTACTAAAAATACAAAAATAGTTGGGTGTCGTGGCGGGTGCCTGTAGTCCCAGCTACTCGGGAGGCTGAGGCAGGGAATTGCTTGAACCCAGGAGGCGGAGGTTGCAGTGAGCTGAGATCGTGCCACAGCACTCCAGCCTGGGCAACAGAGCAAGACTCTGTCTCAAAAAAAAAAAAAAAAAAAAAAAAAAAAAAAAAAGGTGGGGTTTCACCGCGGACCCTCCCCTGTCTGCCTAGGATTTTGTCTGCCTTCTGCTGCTATCACGTGTGTATGTGTTATGTCTGTATAGTCAGGAAAATTGCCGCCATTTTTAATTGTAAGATATTGATTATAAGAAACATCTCTATTTCAGAGACGTTAAAATGTGAAAAAAAAAAATACATCTTAGAATTGATGAAGTAGAGGATATAATATGTGCTCTATTCTATTTCAGTTTTAAAAAAAATGCTGGTTATCCCTTAAATTGATATTTTAAACTATAATGGATTGCAGTCTCCAGTTGGAAAAACATGGACTTAAAATTTAAAAATATGAATCTTAATTTCTGCTTTACTTAAAAATCAGTAAAGATGAATTTTAAATGAAAATGTACAAGGTAAAATAAAACCTAGGTGTGGAAGAATATCTTTATGACGTTAGAAGAAAAAAGATTTCTTGAGCAAGATGACAGCATAAATAAGAAAGGAAACAATTGACAAATTAAACTTCATTAAACTTTATTACTTCTGTTTATCAAAAGACACCATTAAGAGAATGAAAAGTTAAGCCACAGATTGAGAGAAGACCTTTGTAATAATATATTTGAGAAAGGAGTTCATTCTAGAATATATATAGAATTTCTAGAAATCAGTAAGAAAAAGTCTAACTAAAAATTGATTAAAAGCTTTGTTATCCAGGCTGGGTGTGGTGACTCAGCCTGTAATCCCAGCACTTTGGGAGGCTGAGGCGGGCAGATCATTTGAGGCCAGGAGTTCGAGACTAGCCTGGCCAACATGACGAAACCCCATCTCTATTAAAAATACAAAATTAGCCGGGCATGGTGGTGCACGCCTGTAGTCCCAGCTACATGGGAGGCTGAGGCACGAGTATTGCTTGAACCGCGGAGGCAGAGGTTGCAGTGAGCTGGGATTGTGCCACTGCACTCTAGCCTGGGCAGCAGAGCATGACTCTGTCACACACACACACGCACACACACACACACGCACACACACGATTGGTGATGACAAAAAGAAGAAAAACATTCGTCCACATTCATTCTTTAAGGTATTTTTGGTATCATTTCTTGTCGTATAATGTCAATAACAATGAAATACTTGTTACAAATTTGAGTGGAACTACAGTTTAGATTAATTAGAAGAGAACTTACTGTATTATAATAATCCATATAACAAATTTCAACCAAACTCCTAATGGATTTAAAATTTATTAGTGGTTTACATTTTTATGAGATGGCAGAAAGAAAATAACTGGTATATTCCTATATTTTAGTGTTTGTCCGGAGAGGGGAGAAGATTTCCAGTCAAGCTGTTTGATGGTGGTTGTGTTAATGTATGAGCACATATGGCCTTCTTCCTTCTGAATTGCCTTGTTTGTTTGAGAGATAGGAACTGCTATTTTAGACAAATTTATCTCTTCTTTTTCAAAATGAATACTTCTGGCTTTCTAGTGATTTTAATTCCCAGCAATGTGTTGGCAAGATTTGGGTTTTAGGGGCCTACGTGTAGGTAACAAGAACAATGAAAAGCTGTTTGGTTTGCCTTTACCAGTCATTGTTCTATGTATTTATCTTTGGAATTTATAGCAAGTAATAATTGGCGGAATATATTTAGATTTTTCTACTTGGCCTAATCTTAAATATGTAATAATCTGTTCCTGATTTCTAACTATATTTGGAATTTTCTTCTGTGACCTATATCAGTTTTTACAAAATGCTCCATGGAAAATTGAGAATAATATGTAGTCTCTTATTGGGTAGAAAGTTTGAGATATATCTAGTAAATCAAGCCCCTCCCTCCCTCCCTCCCTCCCTCCCTTGTTTGTTTGTTTCCAACTTTTCCCCTTTATGTACTGTTGCTTGGTGTGGTGACTTACCTGTAATCCCAGTGACTTGGGAAGCTGAGACAGGAGGATCACTTGAGCCTGGGAGTTTGAGATCAGCTTGAGCAACATAGCAAGACCCTGTCTCTGAAAAATTTTAAAAAATTAGTTGGGTGTTATGATGTGAACCTGTAGTCCTAGCTACTCAGGAGGCTAAGGTGGGAAGATTGCTTGAGCCCAGGAGTTCGAGGTTGTAGTGAGCTATGATCATGCCTCTGTACTTCAGCCTGGGTGACAAAGTGGAACCCTGACTCTTAAAAAGCACTCTTCTTTTTGAATCTTGCTTTTCAGAGATTTAAAATGTAAATATTGCTCTCCTTGCAATAAAGACCCTTGCTTTCCTTTTAATTTGAATTTTTCTATGTTTTTGCTCATTTCTTTTAGGCTTTTTTATATGAATTTGTTATTTTGCTTACCTTTGTGTGTAGGGGATCTTCTCAATTCAGCTTTGTTTTATTAAAACATTCTGCTTGCAGTCTATTAAATTGATTTCATAGGCCAAAACCAGCAGTTGGAAAACACCTAAGACACATTTTTCTGTGTGGAAAGTACATTGATTTCTGAGTAGAACAGGCTTAGGTCTGAATCCTGTGTCTCTCATTTACTAGCTGTGTGACTCTTAACTGTTAATTACTTAATGCAGAATTTGCAGCATTTTTAAAGCAGGAAATTGATTCCTCATATAATTCTCAAAGTAGAGAGTTTTCCAATTGAAATATATTCTGTGTCAGTTCGTGGCTCCTATGTTAAACATATATCACTGCTAAGAGCCTGTTGTACCTATACATAAACTAAATGAAACTGGAGGCTAGGTCATTGGAACCAGCCTACCACTTCCGTTGATTGGTATGAAAGAGAGAAGGGGGAATGTACAGAAGAGATTCTAGGATTATTGAAATGCTCTGAAGAAAGAATGAATTCTAAGTGGTAGCTGAGATTCCATAGCAGACACAGTATTGCTGTACTAAATTACCCAGTTGATGAAAACATCTTGACAAGTTTTCAAGTCACAATATTGTGGGATTTTTTTGTTTGTTTGTTTTAGAATGATGATGCAATGGGGTCCACTTTCTCAGGTTTTGTTTGGTTTTATATAGAATTCAGTTTCAGAAATGTAATTTACATCTCGGCTACCTAGAATGCATTCGTTTCCCAGGGCGAAGACTTTTTGCATTGGGGTCGCCATGTTCATGAAAATGCACAGATAAAAAGGAAAGTTACTTTTGCTAATCTGTTTATCATATTAAAAAAACACACTATATGTATTTTCAGTTATTTTTTATTTTGTTTATTAGTATTATTGCTTTTTTATAGAGATGAAGCTTGCTCTGTTGCCCGGGCTGGAGTGCATTGGCATGATCTTAGCTTATTGAAGCCTCAAACTTCTGAGATCCTCTTGCCTTGGCCTCCTGAATAGTTACGAGGCTTGGCTTATTTTTAAATTTTTTTAAGAGATAGAGTCTCACTGTGTTGTGCAGGATGGTCTCAAACTCCTCGCCTCAGGCAGTCCTCCTCCCTCGGCCTCCAAAGTGCTGGGATTTACAGGAGTAAATCCACTGTGCCCAGCCCTTCAGGGTTTTTTTTTTTTTTTTTTAAATAGCGGTGTGGAATTTGATTATGCTTCCCATCCTCCTTCACCGAACATATCTGTGATCAGTTGGCATGAAGTTTCCAAATCTGACTCTGAGGATAATGGAGACCTGACTAAATGAACTAACCAGACACCATCCAAACCAGTCATCCCTAGAATGGAAGCTTACGCTACTTCCACTTATGTTCAGAATTCAGTTTATGAAGACAGAGTAACTGTGCCTGTGTTTTCTCTTCTTTTCTTTTTTTTTGTTTTTTGAGACAGAGTCTCGCTCTGTTGCCCAGACTGGAGTGCAGTGGTGCGATCTTCGCTCACTGCAACCTCTGCCTCCTGGGTTCAAGAGATTCTTCTGCCTCAGCCTCCCAAGTAGCAAGTAGCTGAGACTACAGGCATGTGCCACCATGCCTGGCTAATTTTTGTATTTTTAGTAGAGATGGGGTTTCACCATGTTGGCCAGGATGGTCTCGAACTCCTGGCTTCAAGTGATCCGCCCACTTCAGCCTCCCAAAGTGCTGGGATTACAGGCATGAGCCACTGCGCCCAGCCTGTGTTTTCTTTGTGATGGTGGGAAGAGTGTCTTTGAAACAAGATTAGGATCTTCATTGTGCTGCAAATAGCTATAATATATATGCAGTCTAACTGGGAAGGTAGTGTCTTACAGAGTCTAGCTTTGAATCTTGGTACTTTTTGATGTGTAACCCAAGGCAAGTTGTGTAACATTTCTGAGCTATGGTTCCCCCAATGTGTAAAACAGGATATAGGTGCTATCATACAAGGTCATCATTAAAGGTAATTTATATAAAGTTTCTATCACAATGCCTGACCATCATAGGCAATCATTAAATAACAATTATTTTCTCTATTCTTCTTTGGAGCTACTTGATAAGGTATATAGTTGGTCATGTTTTTAATATCCAGTGAATGACTGGTTTCATAATTTTTCCTTGTAAAAGACACCCAGGAACAGGCGTTAGAGTATTGTGGTATTTGGTAGTTATGAAATATCACATATTGGGATGGAGTCTGTCATGATACCATCAGTGCAGCTTCCTTACTTAGGTTGGTGCTACCACATGGGCTGCATCATTTTGCCATAGCAATGATTTTTGAGCAGAGATAGATCAGAATTACTTGGAGAACTTGAAAGGAAAACGTATGCCTAGGCTCCATCTGCTCCATGATCAGCTGTATATATATGGCTTCCTGTTATTTATAGTCCTCATTCATGCCCCAAGTCCATGGACCTCTAGTAAAGAACCACTGATAACCATGGTTTTCCAAATATGAATTTAATGGCAAGCAGGACGTAGCCCTGAATTTAGATATCAACATACTTCGTGAATTACCCTACCATGGCGAGGTCAGGATGTATGTGAATAGCATCACAGACTGTCACACGGGCCAAGGAAAGATGGCTAAGGAGAAAGAAGGGCCAGGCCTGAGATGGTAGTGCCTTAGTATATTCTCCCACGGTGTCAAGTTTAGGAGCCCACATCCCTAGAGCACTGGTTTTCAAGTGGAGAGAGTGATTTAGCCCCCTTCCCTGGGACATTTGGCGATCTGGAGACATTTTTGATTCTCACAGTTCAGAGGGTGTGGAATGCTCCTGGCACAGGCACTGGCCAAGGATGCTGCTAACCTTCTATAATGCACACAGCAGCCCCACAACAAAGAAATATCCATCTCAAAATGGTAATAGTACTAAAATTGATCTGCCTGAGAGTCTAGCTTCTTCTTCCTAGGTTATATCTTTGATTGGTAGTAGTATCAGAATAATAGGAGGGTCTGCATTGTAATCTATTTACGTGT
This sequence comes from Homo sapiens, assembly GCF_000001405.40. NCBI lineage: Eukaryota > Metazoa > Chordata > Mammalia > Primates > Hominidae > Homo > Homo sapiens. The sequence goes on along the minus strand of NC_000005.10, from coordinate 171,918,610 downwards.
GATGCTCCTTGGTAGACATAAGAGGAAGGAAATGATGAGAAGGGTAGAAAGTAAACTGGTTGGTATTTCAAATAACTTTTCCTTCTCATAAGTGTTGGAGACTTAAAGAGGATTTCAACTCTCAGATTGGCCATGGTTTCACATGAGAGTTTGGATATAGGAAATGACCTTTCTTTTCTCTTGGGAAGCTCATTGTTTTTTCTTACCTCACCCTTGAACCTGTGACCTTTTGTCTCTTGCCTTTAAGGAATAAAATTCAAAGTGATTAAAAAAATTATAGCTTCCATAAGAGAATTTTCTATTTTTGCCATCACCACTTATTCCTGCGACCCTGTGTACGGATTGAGTATCCCTTATCTGCTTGGGACCAAAAGTGTTTCTGATTTTGGAAATGTACAGATTTTAGAATATCTGTATTATACTTTTGGAATTAGGATTTTTGCATGTGGGATGCTCAACCTGTAGCAGGCTGAGAAAGATGATGGGGAATAGGAGAGGACTGTATTGTATTTAACAAAGTGGGTGTTTCCTTTGTCTCCCAAAAGTATTTGGTGAAGAGAGAGGAAGGAATTACGCCAGGCTGTTGCTCTAGTCCAGTGTTTGCCAATATGTGCTGAGCTATTATTAATAGATATTATTATAAAATGGGGGCTGTCCATGTCCAACAAACTTGGGAAAGTTGGATTAAATGAATTTAACCTAATTTTAAAATAATAGTATATTATAGAACCTTTTGTATCTTAATGGAGTGTATTGTAACTTCTGAGAGACATATATATAAAATATATCTCTGAATTGAATATATATATTTACACACACACACACACACACACACACACACACAGAGTGAGTCTAGAGTGCAAGGATGTGTATAGCATTTCTCTAATTTCTAAACCTAATTAGACTCTTGGATGCTTTTTTCTCCAGACATCTTTTGCATTGCCTGGAATCCTCTGGATCCTCTGGTCAGTGTAACTTGAGAGCAGCATTTTCCCTTTGGTGTCTTCTGAAACCTTTATAAAAGAAGTGGAAAAGTATGTAGGATGGGAGAACTATTGCAGCCCCCATGGTTTTATTAAAAACAATTTTATTAAATTGTATGTCTAGCCTTCTTTATGAAGCCTTAAGGCAATAGCTGCTATTTTCTTCAGGGGGTTGTTTCCTTATCAACCATATAAGTAAACATCATTTCTCTGTTTTGGAATAAATGAAGAGTGAAATTTTCTCACTGTGAAGAGTTGTTTCATGTATAGTGTACAGGGAAGTCTGACATTTCTTGTGTTTCCATCTTAAGTAAAGAAAATATTAAGGTGGTTTAGGTCACAATAGCTCTGGAGGATTCTGGCTCCTATATTTCAAAAGCTTTTAGTTTAAAACATATATACATCTCTTGGCTGGGTGCAGTGGCTCATGCCTGTAATCCCAACACTGTGGGAGGCTGAGGCGGGCAGATCACGAGTTCAAGAGATCGAGACCATCCTGGCCAACATGGTGAAACCCTGTCTCTACTAAAAATACAAAAATTAGCTGGGCATGGTGGTGTGTGCCCGTAGTCCCAGCTACTTGGGAGGCTGAGGCGGGAGAATCGCTTGAAGCCGGGAGGTGGAAGTTGCAGTGATTTGAGATCACACCGTTGCACTCCAGCCTGGCGACAGAGCAAGACTCCGTATTTAAAAAACAAAACAAAACAAAAAAACCCCACAAAAAACAGAAAACAAAACAAAACCATATATACATCCCTCATATGTTTCCTCTGCAGTACCTGGAGACATGGGGTGGGGACTGACTTCCCATCTCTCTTCCACTTAATTCCTCATTCCTTTCCGTGCTCCACCTTTCATGTTTCCAGCCATTTGTTCTCCTTACCACTCTTAGAACCCAGACATTGTGGCCTTGCAAGACGGCTTTGTAACTACCAAACTCAGGGGATGCTGTACTGAGTCACTGCTCCCCCTTTCTTTATTCCCCTGAGGAAACCTGCTTGCTTTAAACTCTTAGGTCCCTTCAAGATAGCAATGAAAAGATTACATGGAGAGACCTCCATAAATACTACCTTTGTTTCCTTGTTCTTCATCCCATTCAGAATTACTTACTGCTTTCACCACTCCAGTCCTGTTTTGGACTCTTGGACACACTGCCTTCCTCTCTAGCTCATGGTTGATTTTCACATAGAGCCCCACCCTCCTGTCCCTCTCCCTCATTGTGGACCTTGATGCTGTGGGGTTTATAAGATTTTACTGAGAAAGTCAGGTTTTCCCCATAGGCGGCCATCTGGAGCATCCTGTCAAAATCTCTGAAATTAGAAAAGCATAAGAAGATAACACAGGGGAAAAGTAGCATCTTTTTTTTTTTTTTTCTCATTTTTTTTTTAAATTATACTTTAAGTTCTAGGGTACATGTGCACAATGTGCAGGTTTGTTACATATGTATACATGTGCCATGTTGGTATGCTCCACCCATTAACTCGTCATTTACATTAGGTATATCTCCTAATGCTATCCCCCCACCTCCCCCCACCCCACGACAGGCCCCAGTGTGTGATGTTCCCCTTCCTGTGTCTCCAGTGTTCTCATTGTTCAATTCCTACCTATGAGTGAGAACATGCAGTGTTTGTTTTTTTGTCCTTGCGATAGTTTGCTGAGAATGATGGTTTCCAGCTTCATCCATGTCCCTACAAAGGACATGAACTCATCCTTCTTTATGGCTGCATAGTATTCCGTGGTGTGTATGTGCCACATTTTCTTAATCTAGTCTATCATTGATGGACATTTGGGTTGGTTCCAAGTCTTTGCTGTTGTGAATAATGCCACAGTGAAAAGTAGCATCTTCAAATCGGAGAGTGAAGTAATGTTTTTTGGAATACCCATTATGCACTAAGCATTGTGTAGGGCAGTCTCCATCCCCACAACAACTCTGTGTGTTTGTATTTGTTCCCATGGTAAAAGAACTTGCTCAGGCTCACACACACACACACACACACACACACACACACACACAGAATGAGTGACCAAATCAGGAATCCAACTTCTCTTTGGCTTCAAAGCCTTTGACTTTCCTACTCCATCATACTGCATTCCTGATCAGAGCCAGTTTTGTGACCTGTAGAGCAGCTAGTGTTCAGTGGTGATTCTTACATCATTACCTACATTGGTATTTTCAAATGGATTGTTTGGAAATACTGTATAAATAGTCCAAACATTTTAGGACTTGTAGAACATAAAGGAAAAATAGGGAAAATTTGAGAGAGGCTTATTCCCTAAAGACAACAAACAGGATCTTGTAAAACACTGATACCTTAAATAGATCTATAATATCCTTTTGAATAATACTATGAGACAAATGTTGTTTAAATTTTATACCCCAGTCTTATAATTTTAGGTTTTGGAAGGAATTTAGAGAGACTGCTATCCATAAATGAGTTGTTACTCTTTTCAGAGCACAACTAGCCCACTTCCCCTTCTCATTAAGTTTCCATTTAGCCATTAGGTGGGAGCTTCAAAAGGGAAAATCCAATCATGTATAATCTCTAGTTAATGGGCATCTATTGAGCGACTGGATCACCAGAAAGAATAATTACACAGTACCTCTTTGTGCAGTAAGCACAAAAATCAAAAGCTAATGCATTCCCAAGGCAAGCCAGATTGTTACTGGCTAACAGCATCCTCCTCTTCAGGGAGAAGGTTGGGGCACCCGCTATGCTTGCTAGCAGAGATTGCAAAGCCATTCCAGAAAAACAAGGCTATCAGGGGAGGAAAGACGAAGGCAGGGGGGCTTCCAAGGCTTTGCTACTTCTAATTGCGGATTCCTTGGGGTGCATTACTGAATAGCAGACCTTCTAGTAAATGTTTTGTGCAATCATCGGAAACCTCATGGGTCTTTGGAATTTCTTGTCACAAGTACAAAAACAGTGATGACGGAGGTTGAGCCTCAGCCTTACTCCCACAATTTAGCCTTTTTTTCTAAGCACACCCAACCTTTGTAAATAATGACTTTATGCTTGCTTTTGTCTAACCACTAACTTTATCGATTTATGAAAGATGAGCACATCTCCCTTGACCCAAAATGGCATGTGTTAGCCACAAAGCCAAATAGTTCTTGGGTTTGTATTGGTACACTCTAGTTTGGGTTTTCAAAATTATTTATTGTAGTTATTTAGGATTTGCAAAACTTGGTATAATTCAAATAACCTGTTTTTCCCCCCCTAGAACACTTCAGTTATGGAAGATCAAAATGAAGATGAGTCCCCAAAGAAAAATACTCTTTGGCAGGTAGGAATGACGGCGCACAGATTAGATAGCAACTGACTTACTGTAGATAGGATGCTCCCTCAGTTAATGTCCTCAGTGGAATCAAGAGCCAAGCATTTTGTTTTCTTTTGTGCAGTTTTGCTAGTTTCAGAATCCACCCTAATTTATCTTCATTCCATAGGGAATTGTCATTACAAATATGCTAAATAATTTTGGAGTTTCCACAAAGATTCTGAAGTTGGCTGTAGCCTAAAATGTTCTGTCTGTGGCCTCTGCCTAAGCCAAAGATGGACAGTGATGGCATCCTTTGTCACCAGAATGGCACCATGCCACACACCAGTGTATACATGGATGACCTTTTCTCCTTTTGCTCTCAACCTTTACTCTTCTCTCCCATTTCCATTGGTTTGCCTTTTCCTTTTAAGCTTGTCTCCTTCTCCCTTGGCTCTAGTTTAAGGTTTGCCAGTTTTCTTCCCAATTTCCCAGGTTGTGTGTGTGTGTGTGTGTGTGTGTGTGTGTGTGTGTGTGTGTGTGTGTGTGTGTGTATGTGTGTGTGGTTGGGGGTTTGGGGAGCAAGCAAAGTTTCACGATTTGGTGGTTTATCAACCATGCTGGTACACATGGCTTTCCCCTTCATGAAGACAGGATTAAAAGCAAAACAAATCTAAATCTGAAGATAATAATGTAAAAATAAATTCTCTGGGTTCATTTGATTTGAAACTGAAAAGATAGATTAGTTAGCAGGAACAAAGTGCATCCAACACATTTAAGAGGAAATGAAGCAAAGAAAAACAATGCTAGGAAGAGCTTGCTGGGCTGAGCACGTGGCTGGAAATAGCATATTGAAAATGTGCTATAGAATAGTGCACATGCTGTTATTTTCTTCTTAACACTGTGTACAGACTGAGTTTTGTACCCTCCACGTTTATTATTTTGCAGTGGGATGCTCTTCATTTACTATGATTTTTCAATTGGCAGTGGTTCTTCACACTTTAGCTTTCAGTTTTTCTTTCATTTATCTTTCAGTCAACTAGTTAATAGTTATACAAACACTCTAGGGAGGCCAGATGATTAGGAACTTATCTGTAAATAAAATAACACTTTTGTTTATCAAATGAATTAATGGCTGTGAAAGTACTTTGTAAATTATAAAGCAGTACACAAATGCAAGTTGTTATCATTATATTTAACCTGTTATGAACCATTATTTTGGCAAGTTATTTGGAATCAAATATAGAAATAAAGGGGGAAGGAAAGCATACATAGTTTTTTTTCTTAAGATAAGGCACTTTTGAGATTTTGATGTATATCCTTTACTCTGTCATGGTGTGTTCCCCTTGTCATGAATTACTGTGATCATAATGTTTTATAAAATCCTGGATCTTGCCTTTTGTTTCTTGATATTATTTCATAAGCATGTTCTGTTGCTATAAAAATATTACTTTTTTTTTTTTTTGACGCAGTCTTGCTGTGCACCCCAGGCTGGAGTGCAGTGGTGCAATCTCAGCTCACTGCACCCTCCGCCTCCCAGGTTCAAGCATTTCTCCTGCCTCAGCCTCCTGAGTAGCTGGGATTACAGGCGCCCACCACTATGCCTGGCTAATTCTTTTTGTATTTTTAGTAGAGACAGGGTTTCACCATGTTGGCCAGAGTGGTCTCGAACTCCTGACCTTAAGTGATCCAGCCAACTTGGCCTCCCAAAGTGCTGGGATTACAGGCATGAGCCACCATGCCTGGCCAAAATCTTACTTTATATGCTAGTTTTAGTGGCTTACATTATAGCTCTTAATGGTGATGAGTTAGAATTTGTTTTAAATAGTTGCCTGTAATTGGGCAGTTATTTCTAACTTTTCCTTGTTATATTGTGGTGGACATTCTTATGCTTAAAGCAACTTAGATGCCCCTTATTCTTGCCAATATTCATCACAGCAAAGACTTTTCATCTCTGTTTTGAACTCTTATTTTTTGGATCTGTTAAGACTCAAATGTCTTAGTAAAAGCAAAATTTCAAAATCCTTGTTCAATGCTTCCCCCTGGTGGTACCTGGTGTCAGTGAGCTTTTCCTCACCCAAGATACAAGGGAAGAAACATTCCTCGACAGTGGGGCGCTAGGATAAATTGAGTGGAAGATAGATGCCTTCCCATCTCATACCTCTAAATATGGACATAAGAACTTCAGACAAGATTTTGTGTGAAGGAAAACTGAAGACTCCTTTGGATATTTATAAAGGATGTTTTCTCTGGGATGGATTTAGTCCACTTTAAGTTAGGGGACATACTGATAGTGAAAGCTCTTGGTTCATTCCATGTAAGACTCCTGAGATAAGTTCCTAACGGAATTAATAGGTATTTGTAATTCAGCTCTTCAGTTCTTAGAATTATCTTTTGTGTTATTTTTTCTGGTATTATGTATGAGGAGGCTGTCAGAATAGTGGTCAATAGATAGCTTGACAAATGTTTGACAAAAGTATTGAGGTTATTTTGTTTTTAGACAGGGAGGTTACTGCACTTCATAGTAGTTGTGGTTTGAGTCTAGTGATTGAGATTATTTTTAATGTTACTGTCCAGATGCAGTGTATGTAGTTTCAGTTTTAAAAAATATGTACTGATTTTATGTAAGGACTTGTAGGAAGATTTGATGAGAAATGCATTGTTAGTATAAGAGTCTGTGAGTTGTCCATAAACCACCTACGTAAGATGCAGAGCTTTTCAGGTATACATGGTTTATTTACCTTGGGTCACTTTCTGAGAAGGTAATCAAAAGAAGGATGGGAAAGTCTAAACCGTTCTGCCAGATTAGTAGCCCTGGGAAAGTATGGAGGAGATTGAAACTGTTGGGTAAAATGAAGCTTTTTGGATTGAATTGCTTTCAGGTTTCAACACAACACAGCTTATCTTTGTTATATAGACCTGTGGTTCTCAACATGTGGTCCCTAAAGTGTAGTCTCTGGACGGGTGGCATCAGCATTGCTGGGAAACTTGTTAGAAATAGAAATTCATGGGCTCCACTCCAGACTAATAAAACCGAAACCTCTAGGGTGGGACCCAGCAATCTGTGTGTTTAACAATCCCTCCTGTTATTCTGATGCTAGCTCAAGTTTGAGAACCATTAGCATAAATGTATGTAGCATTAACTTTGAACTTTGAGGAAGTAAAACAAACTGTTAATAATCAGTTGCCACTTTGCCAAGTTGAGCAGTTTCTCTAAGATGGTTATCTCCAGCATTAGCTATCTTTGGAGATGATAATTCATATATATCCCGTGTATAGAGATACCCAGTATATACCTTTGGAGCATCATTTTGTAGTAAGCATTGGAAAATGATAATTTAAGGTGCCTTTTAGAAATAGCTACAATTTTGGCATTTCCTGTAGTGACTAATTTGAGGACACAGACCCTGAATACATTTTTAATTCCTGAATGAATTAGTAAAGGAATGAGTTTGGCTTTAGGGTAAAAGTGGCATTTTAAGATTAAATACACAGGGTGAAAAATATTTCTAATGAAATATTAATTAGGTTTCTTTCCTTGTTAAACTAATTTTTTTTTTGTTTTTCTAAAATAGATAAGTAATGGAACATCATCTGTGATCGTCTCCAGAAAGAGGCCATCAGAAGGAAACTATCAAAAAGAAAAAGACTTGTGTATTAAATATTTTGACCAGTGGTCTGAATCAGATCAAGTGGAATTTGTGGAACATCTTATTTCACGAATGTGTCATTATCAGCATGGACATATTAACTCTTACCTGAAGCCCATGTTGCAGCGGGACTTTATTACCGCTTTACCAGGTAACTGTACTTGTCTTTTCAAAAGCTGAGCAGTTGAAGAATGCCCGGCCCAAGGACCTAGGTGGATATTTATGAAATGATTGAATGAGTACTGTGTGAGGCAGCATTTCTTTGGGACGCATACTTTAATATATGGAACTCGAGGAATTATAATTTAGTATCTATCTAGGAAATATAGGCAGTATCTTTAATAATGTTCATTCCTGGCCAGGCGCAGTAGCTTAACAGCTGTAATCCCAGCACTTTGGGAGGCTAAGGCAGGTGGATCACTTGAGGTCAGAAGTTTGATACCAGCCTGGCCAACATGGTGAAACCCTGTCTTTACTAAAAGTACAAAAATTAGCCGGGGGTGGTGGCAGATGTCTGTAATCCCAGCTACTCAGGAGGGTGAGGTGGGAGGATAGCTTGAACCCAGGAGGTGGAGGTTGCAGTGAGCCGAGATCATACCACTGCACTCCAGCCTGGGTAACAAGAGCGAGACTCTGTCTCAAAAAAAAAAAAAAAAAAAAAGTGTTCATTATTGGTCATAACTGTTGCTTCATTTGGTCTGTTGAATGAGTTAATGATATGCTTTTTATTTTGATGTAGTTTAGAGTCTGCACTTTGCCTTTGTATGTAATTTTAAAAAAACTGGTACTCTTTTCCCTTCAAACATAGTTTGTATGTTTGGGAAGTGTCCCAAAAGTTTAGGGCATTCATTTGTATCTGAAGTGGCACTTAAGGAATGGCAAAAATACATTGGGAAAACTGGTAGCATGTCTTTATTATATTTCTCAAAAGCTGTTTCTGCATCCTCTCCCTCACTACTGTCTTCCCATATATGTCTCATACACACATAGGTGTGTACATGCACGCGCGCACGTGCACACACACACACACACACACATCTGGTTAAATTTACTTTGATTTTTAAAAGTAGACTTTATATTTTTAGAGCAGTTTGAGGTTCAGATCAAAATTGAAGGGAAAATGCAGAGAATTCCCATATTCACATAACCCGTTCCCTCAGCCTGCCCCACTATCAGCATTGCACAGCAGAGCAGTACATTTGTTACAATTCATGAACCTAAGCTGACACATCATTATTACCCCAAATTCATAGGTTACATTAGGGTTTACTCTTGCTGTTATTCATTTTGTGGGTTTGGTCAAATGTCTAATGACATATATCTGCCTTAAGAGTCTCCTACAGAATGGTTTCACTGTGCTCCACCTATTTATTTCCCTTTGATTTTTAAAAAATAATTTAAAATTTGCTGTGTTCTGTACCACCTTTTTGTTTTTCTCAACGAGGTGGCATCTTGCTGTGTGGGCCAGGCTGGCCTTGAGCTCCTGGGCTCAAGTGATACTCCTACCTCAGCCTCCTGAGTAGCTGGTACTACAGGCATGCACCACTGTGCTGAACTCCCCTTTGAATATGATTAATCATGAATTTTTTTCTGTTTCTATATTGTTTTTTAAAAAATTCTCAATTTAAATTTGGCTAGGTAAGATATAGAGATTTCACTCCTATAGAGAATGCTGGCCAGAATGTTTTCCTCTGATGTGGCCAGTGTAGTGTGTGGTTAAAATTGCCATGTCAAAATAAGCCTAGAAGTAGCCAGGGATGAGCCAGTACCATTACCACAACCCTAGCCCTTGTCAGAGCTACAGGATAGCTTCTTAAAGAGTAGCTCCTCCCTTAGCCTATCTGTGATTTATAGAACATCAGGACTCCGTGTTCTAAGTACTTCCACAGCAAACAAGACTCATGTTCTAAGTACTTCCACAGCAAACAAGACCCAGGCTCAGGCCTCAGGCCTGAAACCTGAGGCTGCAAATTGACAAACCAGCTTCTGATTTCTAATCTCTCTTCCAAAACGTGTAAGTTTACCTTCTACAATGGGAGTTTTAAGGATATTTGAGAGTTAGCTTAGAAAAATTTGACACTGCCGTTCTTTTTATGCTGAAATCTAGCATGACTTGCTCATTTCTTCCATTAGAATCTCTAGGAAAGCAAAACGTAAATCCTCTCTTTCTAGAATCATACTATTTAATTGCTGAAGGGGATCTTAGCCATCACTTAGTCCTGTTTTTCATTGTGTAGATTAGGAAGCCAAGGAGAAGTTAATTGGGTGAGATGCCCAGAATCACACATCTTGATTATAGTGGTGGTGATGTGAATGATGGTAGGGGTTGGTTCAAAAATTAGTACAACGGCTAAGGAAAATTCCTTAAATTGGCCCCAAGTACTGAATGTAAGGATTACAACTCAGTTCAATAATTCTCACTTTTAATTATGAGGGAGGGATCCAGGGAGGGGGAGATGGAGACATGCTTTTGATTGCGTGAGAGAGAATTACAGGTGAATGGAAGTAAGATGAGGCATGTACATATGATGCAGCTTCTCTGTATGTGCAGAACTCAAACCCAGAAACCTATAGAATCAGACTGCATCTCACACCAAGAAAAGACAGAGTCTTTTTTTAAGTTGGTGATTGTATTTGTCCCTCATAAGTGATTTTAACTGATGAGAGGATGCCTTCATTTTTCTCAAGCAATTCAATTTATTGTTTGTTTTCCACCGTTTTGGTTTTATTTTCTTCCCTGTAATTTGCTTCTCAAACGTTTTAGAGGGCCAGGGAACTCACCTTGTATTTGCAGAGTAGCCACAAGGTGGCACTGTTGAAGTTCTCTTGATTTTTCAGAGTATAGTTCAGAGGCAACCCCATCTCTTAGGGAGTATACAGCCTTGGAGAAGAAGCAGAACAGATGAACATGTGTTATGTATATAAATATGGTTAGTATAATTGCATACAATTCAGTTTTCATTACAGCGAATGTTAAGGCATTGTCCATATCTCTGTTAAAGTGGAATTTTGTGGTATTGAATATTACATGAAATGAATGGACCATTGGCTGGGACATGGAAATACTTTAGTTAAAATGCTATTTGTTTTAACAGGACTTGATCTGAACATATATACATATGTCAGTGTATATCATACATATGAATCTAATAGCTGAGGACGAGCTGGCCAAGTTGATTGTGTTAGTTAGTATCTAGTAGACCTAGATTAAACATGGCATTAGTTCCTTAACACAGACTCTGCTTTAAGAGCATCACAGGAGAAACAGGTCTGTGTCCATGTTCATACTTAGATTTAATAATGTGTGGAGCAACTTATGAATCATTATACTAGTTTGGTGTTTCATTTTTACTGTACATCATCTTGAGTTTGAGGTTTTTACACTATTGAAATTGACAGTCAACTTACGACTTCATTTGATTGTGAAAACCATTAATTCTGTAAAAATTATAATTATAGCTTTTAAATGCTTGCTGTGAATATCATACCTGTCAGTATAGGGAAAATGGAAAATGTTTGTGGTCTCTGGCTCCTTTTGGCTCAGTGGAAAAAGTGATAATTATGATATGCCTTTCTAAAAATCATAGTAAATGTTTAGTCTGCAATGTCAATTTCTGCAGGCTGAGTTTGCGGTTTGTAAGAACTGTTGTTAATGGGAAAATTCATACCATGTAAAGTAGGGACAGATTGTACTTCAAAAAGGATGATAAGCATTGGTGATCGGTTTGTTGAGGTGTCTAAGCAATTAAGAGTTTTGAAACACTTGGCTGTCTGGCCCTGGTTTATTCAATTGTCTTATCCCCAAGAAAGGATGATAAGCCATTATGGACCATAAATGTGACAGAGATTAGATTAAAAGTCCCAGGAGATGTGGAAGAAACAGAGCGTAGATAAGGCTTTAGGATGGGTACACGGCCAGAGCAGCGTGACAGGAAAAAGCATGGGTGCTGGAGTCACACAGGCCCTTGGTTTGAATCCTAGCCCTTACACTTTACAGCTGTGTGGTCCCACTTTCTGGAGCCTCAGTTTCCTCCTCTGTGTGGGAATAATAGTAATACTTTATGGGTATTGTGTGAGGATTAATGATAATATGTTATAATATGCCTGGCATCTATTGGGTACTCTGAGGATGGCAGCTTAAGAAAAAGCCCAGAGAGGCAGGAAACACCTGCTTCTCCAGAGGTAGTAAGATTTATTGGTAGGAAATTTTAATTATTCACCCACTGATTCCCGAATTGATTCATTCTGACATCATATAGGTGTCTGTCACTTTGTTGTTTTGTTTCCTGGGTGTTTTATGGAAAAAAGATGTTAGACTTTGTGACCTGAGCTTCTTTTCACTTCATTTCTGTCTGAAACCTTAGGTTGGTGTTTTCCAAGTGAAAGGCATCCGTTGAGGGACTGTTGCTGTTAGCAATTGCATTGTTTTCTTTTAAAACGTTTAGAACTTCAGATTTTACAACTAGATTTGTGACTAGGGAGGGGGAAGGGATAACACGGGTGGGTGGGAAAGGAAGTTTCTTTGCAGCTGCTCTTTGAAATGCATTTCTAAAATAATAAAAGTTTCTGTAATTGTATGATCTAAGCAGCTGTGTTAAAACTGGTTGTAGTCAAGGGCATTTAATTGACATTTGAGTTTTGATACAGTGTTATTTACATATTGAGCTTTGAAATTTGTGCCTTTTAATTGTTTTAATTTATTATTGAAGTTTTTCCAGACTTTCATCTGGTTCCTGTAATTAACAACAGCAGCATGTCTTCAGCACTGTGTGCGAAGTATTATGGCCTCAATTTTCTGAGGCTGTAATGTGTCCTCTTGTTGCCTTAGGAAGAGGGGGTGGTGGTGAGAGATGGGGGAGTCTCAGCATGATAGAGTAATGAGAGCCAGACATAGGTACTTCAGAAAATGCTTAGTTTTAACACCTCAAAGCACTTTTTAGCCCAGGCAAATGGACCACCTTATTCAGTAACCTCTTTGTCCTGAATAGGCTTGAAACCAGAAAGTTACATGCTCTGCATGGCTCCTGAGGGTGGCCACTCTAAGGTACCTGAATAGAGATTGTGTGATTCCTGTTCTTCTCAAAACATTTAAGGGGCCATGAGACTTATACCAAGAAAATAAAGGGGGGGGGGTTAGCTTTTTGCTGGAGGAGATGCGTAGTATTTTTTCTGCAGAAGGTAACAAGAAGAATATTGTGTATCGGCCTTGTCCATTGATATCTGCTGAGAGGATTTGGGGGAGAGTAGAACAAAGACTGATATTTCTTGAGTGAACTTCTTATTTACCTAGCTCTTTACGTATGCTGTTTTTTAAACTTTCGCAGCAAGACTGGGAGGTTCCCTCTATGTAAAATGAGGGTATGTAGAGTACCTATCTCAGAAGGTTATTGTGAAGATTATATGATGTAATTTATTTCAGACATTTAATATCATTCTGATATTATGGAAGACTGAGATCCTAAAAGGAAAACTGATCTGCTTAAGGTCACACAACTAGCAGTTGACAGAACTGAGATGCAACCTAGTTTTTCTGACTTTCAGGCAGTGTGTTTTTCACAAGACTAAAACATGCTGCCTCATAGAAGGAGGAAATGCATTTAAAGTATCAGACAAAGGAAATAGGTCAAATCTCATAGATATCACTGAGATGTTGCTTAATTGGACTGATGGCATTTGAAAGAGGAAGAAATAAGTATTAGTAAGGGATTTATTTCTGTAAAAACTCATGATAGCCTAGTTGTGAGCAATTGATGGGGGAATCAAAGAGGACTAAAAGGGATATCATTGCTATAAACCAATAGTTCCTAATACTTCAGCATTATCTAGTGGCACTTCTTAAAAATACAGATTCCTGGCTGGGCACGGTGGCTCACACCTGTAATCCCAGCACTTTGGGAGGCCGAGTTGGGTGGATCATGAGGTCAAGAGATCAAGACCATCCTGGCCAACATGGTGAAACCCCATCTGTACTAAAAATACAAAAATTACCTGGGCATGGTGGTGTGCGCCTGTAGTCCCAGCTACTCGGGAGGCTGAGGCAGGAGAATCGCTTGAACCCAGGAGGTGGAGGTTGCAGTGAGCTGAGATCCCACCACTGCACTCCATACTGGCGACAGAGTGAGAATCTGTTTCCAAAAACAACAACAACAACAAAAAAACCACACCCAGATTCCTGGGCCTTACCGTCTAGAGATTCTGATTTTGTAGGTCAGGAGAAGATTGGGGGGATCTTTTCTTTTTGCTGTTGTTTTGAAAATCAGTAACCCTGAGTTGAGTCAGATACAACCACACAGGCTTATAGACCACCCAGATAGGTTGAAGGTTTGGGTGCTGCTTTCCCGTCACAGATGATGGGGATGTTGCAGCCTTTGAGGTTTGAAAAGGCGAGTATCTAATGCATTCTTTTTATTTTTTATTTTTTTTAAAAAAAGACAGAGTCTTGCACTGTAACCCAGGCTAGAGTGCAGTGGCATGATCTCCACTTACTGCAACCGCCACCTCCTAGGTTCAAGTGGTTCTCGCGCGCCTCATCCTGCCAAGTAGCTGGGATTACAGGCGTGTGCCACCATGGCTAATTTTTGTATATTTAGTAGAGATGGAGTTTTGCCATGCTGTCCAGGCTGGTCTCAAACTCCTGGACTCAAGCGATCTGCCCATCTTGGCCTCCCAAAGTTCTAGGATTACAGGTGTGAGCCACCATGCAGCCCCTAATGCATCCTTGTCTTGCCATTTGTTTCACCTTTCAGAGAGCAGAGGGTTCTAGAGAGGAATTAGTTTGAGATGTGTTTATAACCAGTTAGGAGGATTTGGGTTAATGATGTGAAGTTTACATTACTTTAAAAGTGGCTATGTTCTCAGCCTGGGCAACATAGTGAGATCCTGTCTCTACTAAAATTTTTTTTAAAAAAAATTAGCCTGGCATGGTAGTGCATACTTGTAGTCTCAGCTACTAGGGAGGCTGAGGCAGGAGGATCACTTGATTCTGGAAGGTCAAGGCTGTAGTGAGCCATGATCATGTCACTGTACTCCAGCCTGGGCAACAGAGTGAGATGCTGTAATTAGCTATGTTCTAATATTAAGTGTAGAAATCAGAAAAGGAAGATAGATAAGTACCCCAGCGTTAGAAAGATTGAAAGAGCTAAGTCTGTTAGTCCACGGCTAGAGACTGAACAAAAATGTGATAAAAGAAGGCTGACGGATTCTGCAGTTTGAAATTCTGATGAATAATTTGTCAATCCTAGTGATGGAGAGGCACAAGCAGAACCCCACGTGATTATCCTTGGATTTCCCTGATTTTAAGTAAACATAGAAGATGGAAGAAAGGCAGCCAGGCGCAGTGGCTCACGCCTGTAATCCCAGCACTTTCAAGACCAAGGCAGGAGGATTGCTTGAGCCCAGGAGTTGGAGACCACCCCGGGCAATATAGTGAGACCTCATCTCTACAAATGATAAAAAAAAATTAGCTGGGTGTGGAGGCATGTGCCTGTAGTCCTAGTTACTTGGGAGGTTGAGGTGGGAGGATTGCTTGAACCCAGGAGTTTGAGGTGGCAGTGAGCCATGATTGTGCCACTGTACTCCAACTTGGGTGATAGAGTGAGTCCCTGTGAAACCTTTGAGAATGGTACCAAGAAGACCAAACTCCAAATAATGTTAAATTGTCCAAAATGTTGAAGTAAATTGAAAGAGTTGAAAACAAAATAATTAACTATTTGGAGCCAGATTATAAAGGATGAAGGGATAGTGTGCTTAGAATAGATAGTATAGTGATAATAGAAAGAAACAACATATTTTCACTCCCATTAACCTAATCCCACCATCCCCCCAACCCAAGAATAATGGCTTTAAAACAAAGGTTAGCAAAGTTGTGTTTGAGAAAGATGTGAAGATATTTAGCAATCACATAGCTCCTATAGACAAGTAGGCCTAAATACATTGTATGCCTGGATAGTGGCAAAACCTGTGGTTGTGATTTTTCAAATTGTAGAACATTGTGAAGCAATTGAAAATCAGTATGCAGAACTATTGGGTACAATTGTGCCCTGTACAGCTTGTACAGTTGCACATGGTAGTCTTGCATGATAGCACCAGAGATGATTGATGAGCAGACTTCCTGGTTTTAAGAACTGGAGAAGGTGTTTTTGGGGGATTTAGCTATTAAATTTGATGTTGTGCTTTAGCAGAATTCTTAGATGAGTTTCAAAGGCTAATCAGCCTCTGAAAAGATTGTGTATGGTTGTGTAAACCTAGAAGGATGTATACAGAATGTGAAAAGTGGTTCCCTTCTCTGGGAAATGGGGTTTAGGGATTTAAAAATTTTTGCTCATCTACACTTTATAAATTTTCTATAATGAACATGAACTAGATATGTTTAAAAGGGTTACCAAGCAGCTAGTGTCAACATGTAAGTGAAAAATTGCAATACAACTTTATGTAGTAAACCCCAGCACGGGAACATGAAAGCAGCCATACCCTCCTCACCTTATTTCCTTTTTGGATAAAGTTACCAGGCTAGTAGGTAGGTCTGAAGAATGATGTAAATAGATGGTAATATCATCATCTGCTGATTTTTCCAAATACCTCCGAGGACAGAATAGAGAGATATGGACTGGGCAATGGCACATATAGATGACTACAGACCGGATGTCGCAGTGTGGGTGCCCTGGGCATATTGATGCGGCATCAGTGCTAGCTTGGAGGGAAATATTATAATAATAGGTACTAATAGCTAGTGTCATGGGTGCTGTCCTTGGTTCTGACCCGTTTAACGTGTTTGCCAACATGGTTTAACATGTTTGCCTTAGTACTTTAGCCCATCATGCAGGTCTGGTGTGGAATACCCACTCTTCTGGGTGTGACAAAAATCAGAATTCTAGAGACTGAAATGGATGGGTCAGACAAAGCTTTGAAGGTGAATTATAGTAAGGATAAATATAAACCGCACAAAGCTGCCCCCCACCTTTCCAACTAGCTGTGCAAATAGAGCATTCGGGGAAATTGTTTCAATAGATGTTTTTGGGGGAGAGGCCTGGGATTTTATTCTAACTTACTGCCATCTTAGGCGTCTTCTGTGATATGACTATCAGATGAAGGCAGTGCAGCCTTTGACCACATTAACTGTAAATGACATGCAGGAAAGGACAGTGGTCCCAGTGTAGTCTTTATTCTTAGACCATAGCTTGGGTCTTTGATCTAGTCCAGAGTAAGAGAATTTTAGTATATGAAGGACCTGGAAATTATAACCAATGGTATAATAATAGTCATTCTTAGAATTGAAGGAACTTTAGTTTGTAAAGCATTTTTCATGCATCATCTCATTTTGATATTTTCAGAATCAAGTAGAGATTATCGTAATCTTATACAGATGAGGAAACTGACTCTGAAAGTTTAATAATTTACCTACATCTGGCCTTTCAACAACCAAGTTTAGTGCTATTATACTACTTCTAATTATTTTGAGAAAAGAGAACAGATATTAACCTTGTAGAGTGCTTGTCTATAAAATGTTTTCATAAAACTGTTGAATTTGATTCTGACAGACAGTGTAAGAAAGGATAGTTGTTACTGGTGATTACCATTTTGTATGTTAGGGCACAAAAATTCAAGGCACAGGGATGTTTCAGTGTTTGTTTCATGTCATAGAACTAGTAAGTGGTGAACCTGGGACTTGAAATGGGAATTTTCTGATGATAAGTTCTGTGTTCTCGTCCCTACACAGAATAAGCTTGGGGAGAAGCTTTATTTCTTGCAACTGTAGAAGACATACTTACCGCCACAGGATGGGAGTTTACAGGTGGCAACAGTGGTGGCCATGTTGATCATCTTCCCATTGTGAATGTCAGGCAGAGGCTGAAAGTGGTTTTCTTTGAGAGTATCCTTGTATCGTGGGAGGTTGAAGCCAATGACCTCTAAGATTCTAGGATTTGTAGACATGGGGCTATTGCTTTTGAGGATTGTCCCATCTGTTTAGGAACAGAAAATGGATACTCACGAAAGGGAGATGAAAAGATTGACAAAAATACATTTAAGCACAATCGACTTTAATTCTTGGATTGCCATTTAACTTTTCATAAGTTTTTCAAGATGAGTCGGTGTTTTGCCTTTTTTGTCTTCTGATCTCCCAGGGATTCACACCGGGTATGGATTAATGGGGATATGATTTGTTATGAGAGACAGTGAGTAAGATGGGAATGAACACAAACTTTGAAGCAAGAAATCCGAGTTCCAGTAGTAAAGCCAAGGGAGTGTAAAATCTTGAGTTCTTTACCTTTCTGTGCTTCATCTGTCAAACTTGGGGCGTCATTGCCCTATAGGAGTGCTGTGAGAGTTATATAAAAGAAAATGAAAAGTCTTATCTTAATATTTGACAAATAACAGAACTGTCCAAGGTCAGCTTTTACACACAGAGAAGAGTTGCTATCAATTGTTTTATCGTAAAAAATCAGAACCAAAAAGAAGTGTATATGTTTATGTACTCATGGATTTGAGTATCTGTAGAACTTTTGATATGACTAAAATATTTTACTTGGTTCAGGATTTCTTTATTCCTCTTATCTTTAAGGAAATGATGGCTGGTACCTTTCTATCTCTCTTCCCGTTCCTTCATTCCCTTTTCTGTTTTGTAGAGCAAGGCTTAGATCACATAGCAGAAAACATTCTTTCGTACCTGGATGCCAGGTCTCTGTGTGCAGCAGAGCTGGTATGTAAAGAATGGCAGCGAGTGATCTCAGAAGGAATGCTTTGGAAGAAGCTGATTGAACGAATGGTACGCACTGATCCCCTATGGAAAGGACTTTCAGAAAGAAGAGGGTGGTAAGTACTTGGGTTGCTTGTTCCCTTGAAAAAATTTTATTGACATAGAGTCAGCTTGATTACTCAAAAATGCAATTATACTTGCAAATGTGCTGGCCTATTTTTAAAAAGGGGGGAAAATGAGTGGTCAAAAGTTGGAAGAAAAAGTTAAAGCTGTTAAAATTTCTCCCTCTGAAATGTGTATTTCCTTTATGAACTGTATTATATAGTTTGATGGGATTTGGCGTTTCAAAGCTATGTATTTATGTTTTTTCCTTCACATTTTGCTTAGTTGATGATACCATTACCAAAATATAGATATGACAAAAATATGAGAAAGTCAGATAGTGCCATTTTGCTGTTTGTTATTACTGCTGGTTGAGGAAGTAATAACAGTGATAGGATTTTTCAGAGAAAACTCATAACTCTGATGCAGCTTTATAGCTAGCTGTATGCTGTATGGCCCAGTTAGCAAAGAGAGAGAGCTACAGACAGAGGTGCATATAGGGCTGTATTTTCCTTACGGGAGGAAGTTTGATGTGTACTAAGTTAGATTTTTCACAAAGCTACATTAGCGCTTTTTATTAAACTCTATGGAATGAAAGGCTAGATTGTTACATATTAGTACTCAGAAAACACGATCAGGATTTTGTTAGAGAGCTGTGAATTGAGCTAAACTTGTCTGTAACATGTAAATTTGTCAGAAATCCTGCTTTTGAACTGTTAAAACTCAATGCAAATTAAAAGACATGAAAGATATATCTTTGTCAGCACCATGTTTAGATAAAATTCACCCTTTTATGTGCAAAAATGTAACATCTGTTTGTTTTTATTTGCCAGGGATCAGTACCTGTTTAAAAACAGACCCACAGATGGCCCTCCAAATTCATTTTATAGGTCATTATACCCAAAGATTATCCAGGATATAGAGGTAACTTTATGATTTATCTGTTTTATGGGCTCTTTGTTTCTTGTTCTCAACTTTTTATGTTGCCTTAGAGTGTTCTTTTGGTCTAAAATCGTAGAACTAATAATTTTTTTTAAAAAGTTGAGCTTTTGGAGTAAATGTGTCATGTTGTATATAATCTGCAGCTATTCTGCAGAGAAAATAATGTCTTTTGCAAAGAATATCTAACTTTTCTAAAACATGAAATGCTTCTGCAAGGCTGCCGGTTAATTCAAACCTTAATCTAAAATCATCTTTTTATTCTAAGCTGATAAATTTTCCAAAATCCAAGGCCCCGTTTTTTTAAGTAAGCATTGTTTTACATTTTTGAGCCATCTCTAGAGAACTAGAGAAGGCACATTTCAAGTTTTCTCTGTACATTACTCATAGTTTTTCATAAACATGACTCAGATATCATTCTAAGCAATAGTTAAGTGGATTTTATAGGGCAAATTATGCTCCTGGACCATTTTGGATTTGAGCGTAACTTCACCAGACCAGTAAAACTCTGTAAACTTGATGAGAAACATTGGAGATGTTTGATATCGTTCATGTGTTCTAATTAGTTCAGTTTTACTATTTTAGCCTTTTTCCTTGAACCAGGAAAGACATGCACAGGCATTTCTCATTAACTCTTTCACATGTGTTCTTGGCAGGTCTTGGTTACTTCACTGTTTCCTCCTTGGCAGAAAACTTTAGCCTTTGCTAGGCAATGCAATATCACCCATAAAGTTATACTCAGTTTCCCAAATGTGAAGTAATCCTCTCCCCCAGGTGATAGACATAAAAGTTATTGTGCCAAAATTCATTAACGGAGAAACATGTGCTTTTTCAGACCCCACCACCCTTCCAGGCAGATGTGAATAATGGAATCATTCCATTAATGGTAAATCTGAATGTGACTGGAATATCATTATTTAAAGCCCAAACTGTCTTGAATATTCTGCTCTCTGAAATGATCTATAAAGTAACCCTTTAAGGAGGTTAAATAAAAACTTTCACTAGATAAATCATAAAGTTTAAGAATTAATTGACCATTGGCAGTTCCAAACTTAGAATAAGTTGCCCCTACAGTGCTAGTGGCTGAGACATGGTGTTAACTTTAATCTTAGGTTGATGTGTGTGTATTGTAGGGGAGATGGGGCTGTCTCTTACCCCAGGTAGTTGTACTAAGGCATTTCTTATGTACACATCTTATAAACTACATTACCCTCTGTTTTTTTTTTTCACTTGATGAGGGGCAACTATTTACAAAGTTATTTCCAGACTTCTTTGAATAATTTTATCAAAAAAATTCTTTGAAAA
This sequence comes from Homo sapiens, assembly GCF_000001405.40. Taxonomy (NCBI): domain Eukaryota; kingdom Metazoa; phylum Chordata; class Mammalia; order Primates; family Hominidae; genus Homo; species Homo sapiens. Next base: position 171,897,683 of record NC_000005.10, on the reverse strand, counting down.
GAATGATGTTTAAAGTTAATTATGAACAAACAGGAACCTTGAAGAACTCTGATCAGGTTGAAGATGTGGCAACATAGATAGTTTGATTGAATCCTCATGACTGCTGTTAGAATTGACAATGTGAATTCAGTATTCTGTGGCATGACAGTATCTGACACCACCTGCCATCATCACTTCTTCAGGCTGAAATGATAGTTTAAAGTAGGAGAGGAGGCAGGTGTGAGGGGAAACAGCTCTGTGGGAAAACCCTGTGCGACACAGCCTCTACATCATGGTGGTCTACCCAGTGGTTCTTAAAGTGTGGTTTGGAAAAACCCACTGGTTGGCCACAAAAGTCTTCTCCAGATTTTTGTGGGCTAGACCTCTTGATATAAGGGATGATGTTTATACTTTGATATATGTGCTACTAGTAATAATCATAAAAGTAATGTACCACTAATAGCATTTACTTATGCCAGATACTTTGTTAACTACTTTATAATGCATTTTCTCTTTTAACATTTTGGACAAAACCTGAAAGGTAGGCCAAGTACTTATTTAAATTTGAGGAAACCTTAGAAGGTTAAAAAGGTTAAACAGTTTAGTCAGGATCACACAGCTAGTGGGTAATTGAGAGTCTGTGATCAACCATGTACCCTTCTACCCTTAATACGAGTTTTTAACAATAGACCACTGCTACCACCTCAAAATAGATTTTTTTTTACTCCCATTTTGAGAGTGTGTTTTATTCTGTCTGGAATAAAACAGAATATATAGAGTTTTATGTAGAGAGTTCTTCCAGTGATCCATGGATCAAATGAGAGCCTCTCACGGGCTTGGCTCTGTCCGTATGACTGGTATGAAATCCTCACAAGCAGACTATAATAATTACAAATACCCACTTCGAGTTTTTGCATATATCAAACCACGTTGGGTGATTTACATAGATGATTGTTTTTTATTCTTACAACAAGGTGCATGTTATTATCTTTATAATAAGGGGAAACTGAGACTAAAAGAAGTTTTAGGACTTGCTACATAGTTAAGTAGAAGAGATGGGATGGGCTTTTAACTGAGGTCTGTCTAGCTCTATCCAGGCTGAGAGTTGTTGTTTGTCATTTTCAGAGTGGAAAATTCAGGAAGTGAGGGAGAAAGAGGCATGTTTTATGCCTGCTGAATTTCAAGGTGGCCTTTGCCTCTTTCTCTAATTGTGTGAATACGCAGTGTCCTTGACTGTTCGTTGAAAAAAGGGTATGAGTTAAGATCTGATTAGTGGGCCCTGTTTTAGTCCAGTTATGGGAAAGTAGTAGGGTTTTAAGCACATTGCAGAAAGATAAATGACACTTGGAATGTCAAGTGGCTGTTTATGTCCCCCCTCCCTCCCCAGTTGCCTGTACATAGCTTCAGAGTCTCTTGTGTTGTTTCCCTTAGACTTTGCAAGGTTGCCAGTTCACAACACCTTTTTCTTTTTTTCCTTCTTCCTCCACCTCGACAGCTTGGCTTATGTGCCAGCTCCTGTAATCTGTACGTTCCCAGATTTGGCTCTGATGAGGAGAAAGGAAATGTTCATCTCTGAATCTGCGCTTCTACATTGACCCACCGAAAATTGGCTTAATTTTAAGGGAAAATAGAGAACCTGGCTTAGTGCAGCCAACTCCTGTTATTCAGGAAATGAGGATGTGAGAAATGGAGTCTGGGGAGAATAAATAAGTATTGTAAGCTTTCTGCAAAGGCTCATCTCGCCTGGGTGTTCTTGCCACACATAGAGAGGGTTTAGAGGGCCTCTGAATTGAGAAGGAATTCCTAGAAAACCTGAGGCTCGCTCCTAAAAGAAGCAGCCATATTCTCCTTTGCTGTCTAGAGTCTTAGTTGTTGCTGTTATTATTGTTGTTGTTACCATTAATGGTGGGCTGACTGCTGGATACTTTGCTACAAGTGATTTAATTTAATCCTCGAATTGTCAAAGCTGAGATTCTTACTTCAAAGCCCATGCTGCTTTCACTCTAGCGTGCCCCCAATTGTCTATTAACAGAGAGATAGGAGTTGTTATAACAGCCCTAGAGTTCTGGTATTCTGAACTTGGATTTTTCTCTTTTGCCATTTGAGTAGTGACAAACTCCTTCAAGTAATCTACCTTCTTCCTCTCTTCATTCATTGCATTAACGCCTCCGAAGTGCTCTTCTTGGACAGACACTGGGAAGATGATGGTGTGTTGTATCACACCTTTTAATAAGCCACATTTTATTCAGGGAAAGTGGGGAGCTTTTTTGTGGTTTGCAAACCTGATATTAACATTGTCCTGACCAGAAAATGTCAAAACTTGCCCACCCACCCAGTTGTGTTTAGGCTTCTAAAAATAATGTTATTCCTCCATACTCAGACATCTGTTTTCACTCTATTGCCAATTTAAATGCCGCTGTATACTCTGTGTATCATGGCTACTTTCCCAGTATTTTGAAAATTTGCGCAGGGTAAGGGGATTTTACAAGTTCTCAAAAACATGAAATATTCCTCTACAGTAGCCATACCACATGATGGCTAAGTGAAATGATAGGTATCCATATAAAGAGGTGCACCTGTGTATGACCTCTGTTCCTGCTGCTGGCATTAAGGTAATAGTTGGATTCCATTTGAAGGCTGAGCCTCTTCCTGGGAATGGTTAGGGAAGGCTCAGGCTTATTAGCATTAAATATCAGCCTAGACTGAGACAACAATTTCTGGCAACTTTGTGAGAATATATGTATTTGTTGTTGCAGCCCACTTTTTTTTGGTTAACGTTTTCAACAACTGAAGAAGAACATAACTGCTACCATTTGCTGGCACCATAATGAGAACTTATATACATAATCTCATTTGAACCTTACAGTGGTTTTGAGGGAGTAGATATTACTCTTCCCATCTTTACAGCAGCGAGTCCTTTGCCAAAGTTACTACTTGACCTAGGTATTTTCTACCACAGTGGGCTACCTGCCAGTTTTAAAGGTCTGGTTTTTCTAGAAAAAAAAAAAAAAAAAAAGACCTGGGTTATAAGCATTCAAGTAAGAGTCAAGGTTGTCAGACATCATGGGGGCAGTTTTTTAGGCCGGCGTAGTTGACAGGAAGTGCTGCTTTCTTGTGCCGGTGGCCTTGGGAATTGAGAAGAGGAGTTACCCAGGATTGGTGCGCAGCAAAGCAGTCAACTCCCTCATCTGGCTCCGTGTCTCTTTCGTGGCTTTTCAAAGCAAGCTGCACTTTGGGATTCAAGAAACTAATGATTCTAAAACAGGCCTAGGCGAGGACTTTGTAAAATGACACATCAAGAATTGGTTGACAAACTATTTCTTTTAAAATGCAGAAACTTATTTGAGAAAAGTAGGCTTTTTATAAGTGTTGAGAAGCTAAGCCATTTGCTAACTTCTGTTCAACTTAGAATGAAAGTCTGGTATCTAGCAGAGCTTTTGAGAGGTCCTGTTCCCTAGCTCTTACTTGAGGGTTGGGGATAGAGGGTATAGCCCAGCCTTTAATGTTGTTGTCGTCCTCTGTCCAGACATCTCAGGGGACTGATGTATCACAGGCTGAGTATGTACCTGACCCTGGCTCCTCTGTGTAGTCTTCTCTGCTGCGTCTTCAGGGTTTTGGGTACAGTTAAAGATTGTAACCACATCACCCACTTCTAGGAAACATTTTAGAGCAGCGGAGAGCATGGAGAAAATTCTTTTTGGTATAGAGATTCCCCCCCATCCCCTCTTTTAAATTAAAATAATTGTTTCCCCCTCAGACTCTCATGCGGTAGTAAATGTGCTTTTTCTAGTCATTGAAATATAGAGCATAACAAAGCTACTTACTGCTTCAGTGTCATTTTAAAGCAATTGTATACCTCTTAAACCTAAGAACAGCTTGATAACACTTGACATATATGTAAAGACATATTATGTATTCATCTCTGTCATACTTGTAATATGACATCATACATTCTGTAGCAACTCTGTGGGCCCCCAGAGGGTATAACGTGAACATTGGTAACTACTGCCAAGAGTCACTGGCCACAAATTAGACTTGTTACCAGTACATCTGCCTACTAAATCAGCATTTTCCTGGAGTGCTTAGCATGCTGAGATGGCACAGTCACTATCTAAAAATACATTGTTTCTCTAAATGATTCCATGCGTTGAGTTCTGCTTAAGAAATGCCTGTATTCTGGACCTCTTTTTAAAAAGTCGCTTATCCGGACAGATCTGTTGTCTACTTTGATAGAGGTAGCAGAGATGGTTGGGTTAGTTTTTTTTTTTTTTTTTTTTTTTTTTGGTTTTGAAGTGTGCTTTTGTATGTCTAATATTTTACCAAGTCACTAGAGATGATGACCCAGGCTAGGAAGTTCTGATTTGGTGGCAGATGGACAAATGAGTATTTCCCCTCTCCTGGCATCTCCATGGCACCTCCTTGTATCTCCTGAGCATTGGAAATATACCATCCTGCCCTCAGGATGTGTATGGGAGCTCCTTGAGGGAAGATACCGTATTTCCAGGACTCTTGCTGAGCACTGGGGCCACAAATGATGGAAATAATCGCTTTTTAAGTATACGTGTATCGATATCTCCAACCCTCCATTTCCTTTTCTATAAAATGCGAACAATGATTCCTGCTTCAGAGTCACGATTAAATTAGCTACAAAACATATAAAGTGAGTGGTATAGTGTTAGAAAAGCATAGTGCCTGGCATGTAGCTTTCAGTAAATTGTAACATTTTAGAGTGCACAGAAGGATACTATCTTCAAAATAAGAAGAAATACAGTTTGTTAGATGTCAGCAGAGCCAGTAATTAAGTACTCCTTCAACAAAGCAAATAATTAGACTTTTAGCTGTACAGAAATAATTAGCTACTCAGAGAGAAACTATATCCTGAACTGAAGTGTAACAGGTTATAGAAATCCCTGTTGTCCCCTAATTTCAAGGATCAAGAATTCAGACTTTAGTTACTCTTAGTAGAGACATTGTATCTTTTGAGCCTTAAAAAATCACTTATGTCTACTACCAGAGGTTAGGTCTTCTGGTGCTCTGGGTATGACCTACTTCTTCACTAAACTTGTCCCAGTGTCTCAGGCTATAGAGCTCATTATCTCCCTTAAGTCCTGCAGCACTTAGAATTTTTATCACTCATTTGGCACTTTTGGAATTGTTACTGATCTTCTTACGTTCTGTGTGCACTGCCGCAAGAGGCAGGCCCATCCTGCTTTGTGGGCATTGAATATGTTAGTAGCAAAAGCATGGGTTTGGAGTCGGAAAGAACTGAGTGTGATTTCCAGCTAGTCCGATTACTGATTTTGTGGCTGCAGGCAAATTAAACTCTGTTTTCTTGTTTGTAAAAAGGAAATAATAAGTACTTCCTTCCTTCCAAGGTTATTGTATGGATCATTTAACCAAATACACTTAGTTTAGTGTCTCTCTAGATCCAGACACCATGGGCCTAGATATTGGAGTGGTGCCTCCCTGAATGCAGTATGTCTCCTGTTGATCTTTTTATCCTCAGTGCCTAGCACACTATGTGGAATATATTAACATCTCAGCAAATGTTGCATGAATGATAAGAGGAATAAGAATCTAGGGCTAAAATGTACCATTTTTACTCTACAGAAACATTAGGAAGGTTAAAAATGATAAAATTCTTCCTATGTAGTTGGCTTATAGTAGTTGCTCACTATCTTTCCTCAGTGATCAAGACAATTCTTTGTTTGGATATGTAGATTGTCAATATATGCTTAATGATGGTTTTTTAATTGGCATTAGGGAGCGACCCAATGAGTTACTATTTATTTGCATGTTTTGGGTGCAAACGGCGTTCTTTAAACATACTGAATTCTGTCTAGGCCAGTTTTTTCAAGCCCAGTCCAAAACTCATTGGAAATCCTATGACGGTTGCCAAATGGGCAGGGAAAGTTTAAGAAAAAACATTGTTGGGTTAATGTCTTACTTGGAAAAGAGCATGATCCTATCCACAGACAGTTATGCAAACCAAGATTGGGGTATCGGTGGTATGCTGTTTCTGGAAGCAACGCCAAAGTCTGAAACCTAATAGAGTAAGTTGATTCATAAAAACTCATCTCTTGCCTCCTTTTTTCCCTAGACTATAGAATCTAACTGGCGGTGTGGACGACACAACTTGCAGAGGATTCAGTGCCGCTCTGAAAATAGTAAAGGTGTCTACTGTTTACAGTACGATGATGAAAAAATTATCAGTGGCCTACGAGATAATTCTATTAAGGTGAATGACTGAATTTTTTATGTATTATTTTTAGAATCGTGGCTATGTGTTAGACACTAGATGTGACAATCTTTCCATTTACTCTAGATTGGTTTTTATCTCTTCCACTCAATCTTGGCAGCTCTCAGTGTAGTTCTAAAGAACTAGAGCCAGAGCATTTCCCCGAAACTAATACAAGACCCTGGATTGTCTCACTTCTTATCCTTCTCTAAGCACATTCACATTCTATATTCTGTATTAGGTGTAAATAGAAAATATCCCAGTATCACAGGGCTCTTGATTACTTTGCCAGCTGGTATTGGTAGTTTATAAACCAAAGGTGTTACCTTTTATGGTTCCTGAGAAGGACTCAAATAATAATACCACAGAATGATAGAGCAACTTATATTGTTTTCATTAACTTTTCAGTAGTAGATAAACTGGATTATTTTTCCATGTTTAATCTGTTTGATGGCTGATCTGATCTGATTTTATTTTACATTGTTTGTATCTTATGTCCTCATATTTAAGAAAACATGTTTTTTAAACTTTGTAAAAAAACATTATAACTTACAAACAGGGAAGTTTGCTCTTTTGTTGTATAATTCTGTGAATTTTGATAAACACACAGACATGTATAACTGTTACAAAAATCACGATATGGAGCAGCTCTCTCATTCCCCCAATTCCCTTGTCCTGCCCGTTTCTTATCCTGGGCTTTTCTGCCTCTTTCCTGTGCTTACCCATTCACCTGTTGAAGGATGTTTGTGTTGTTTCCAGTTTCTGACAATTATGAATAAAGCTACCATAATTATATACCTGTAGGTTTTTTGGGGAACATAAATTTTTAGTTCATTGCGTGAAAACTGAGGAGTGGGGTTACTGGCTCATATGGTAAGTGTATGTTTCACCTGCTAAGAAACTGCCCAGCTGTTCTCCAAAGTGCCTGTACCATTTCACATTCCCATCTACAGTGATGAGAGTTTTTTTTTTTTTTTTTGAGACGGAGTCTCTCTCTGTCACCTGCCTCCTGGGTTCAAGCAATTCTCCTGCCGTCCTACCTCAGCCTCCTGAGTAGCTGGGACTACAGGCATGTGGCACCACGCCCAGCTAATTTTTTTGTTTTTAGTAGAGATGGTGTTTTGCCGTGTTGCCCAGGCTGGTCTTGAGCTCCTGACCTCAAGTAATGCGCCTGCCCCAAAGTGCGGGGATTACGGGCGTGAGCAGCCACCACACCTGGCCTGAGAGTTGCTTTTGTTCTGTATCCTTGTCAGCCCTTGATCATCTCAGTTTTTTTTGATACTAGCCATTCTAATAGGTATGTGAACATACCTCATTTTGCTTTAAATTCACATTTCCCCAGTGATGATAGTGAGCATCTTTTTATGTGCTTACCTGCCATCTCTATATTCTGTGGTGAAGTTTCTTTTCAGATCTTTTACCCATTTTAAAATGGGTTCTTTGTTTTTTTATTACTGAGTTTTTAGAGTTCTTTATGTAGTCTAGATACGTCCTTTGCTAGATATGTTTTGCATATATTTTTCCCAATTAGTGAGTTGTCTTTTCATTTTCTTTTTATTTAAAAAAAATTTTTTTTGAGACGGAGTTTTACCCTTGCCTGGGCTAGATTAGAGTGCAATGGCACGATCTCAGCTCACTGCAACCTCCGCCTCCCGGGTTTGAGCGATTATCCTGCCTCAGCCTCCCGAGTAGCTGGGATTATAGGCATGAGCCACCATGCCCAGCTACTTTTTTGTATTTTTATTAGAGACAGGGTTTCTCCATGTTGGTCAGGCTGGTCTCAAACTCCCGACTTTAGGTGATCCACCTGCCCCGGCCTCCCAAAGTGCCCCGATTACAGGCGTAAACCACCATGCCTGGCCGTCTTTTCATTTTCTCATTTTCTTAATGATCTCTTTAATGGAGCAAAAGATTTTAATTTTTTTTTTTTTTTTTTTTTGAGATGGAGTCTCACTCTGTCACCCAGGCTGGAGTGCAGTGGCATGATCTCGGCTCACTGCAACCTCCACCTCCTGGGTTCAAGCAATACTTGTGCCTTAGCCTCCCAAATAGCTGGGACTACAGGCATGAGCCACCATGCCCAGCTAATTTTTGTATTTTTAGTGGAGACGGGGTTTCACCATGTTGACCCGGCTGGTCTTGAACTCCTGGCCTCAGGTGATCTGCCTACCTTGGCCTCCCAAAGTGCTGAGATTACAGGCGTGAGCCACTGTACTTGACAGAAGATTTTAATTTTGATGAAGTCCAACTTACCAGTTTTTTCTTTTATGGATCATGCTTTCGATATTATATCCAAGAAGCCTTTCTCTGAGCTTCATGAATGTGTAAATTTACGTCTTTCATTCATTACATTTCAGAAGTCTTCAGCCATTATTTTTTCAAATATTTTTTTCTGTACCAATTTCTCCTTTCCTTCTGAGACTCTAATCACATAAATACTATATCTTTTGATATTGTTCCACATTGTTTTCAATCTTTGTTCCTCCCTTTTCTGGATAATTTCTATTGGCCTATCTTCAAGTTGACTGAATTTTTCATCTCTTCATCTCTATTCTCCTGTTACCCTCCGCCCCATCAAGTGAGTTTTTAATTTCAGGTATGATATTTTACAGTTTCTATTTCTCTGCTGAGAATTCTCTCTTTTTTATTTACCTCAAGCACGTTTATCTTTATCCTGTGGAGTATAGAGTAGGTGCTTAACATCTTTAACCATGTCAGCATCTGGGTAACCTCCAGCTTGACATCTGTTGATTGTCCAGTCCCCTGAGATTGTTCATCTTTCTTGATTTTTGTATGCCAGGTAATTTAAACTAGTATTTTGGGCATTGTGGATATTATGTTGTAAAGACTGTGGGTCCTGTTATAATCCTCTGGACAATGTTTTTGGGTAAGTGTGTTTTTAAGCAGTTAGTCAACTTAGTTGGGTTCAGAACACAAGTTCTGTCTTGACATCATCAGAGGGGTTGCGGGGATGGCTCTAATCTCTTTTCCACTGTTCAAAGCCTTTGCAATATGCCACTTTGCGTCTGTCATGGGCTTTCACTACTTAGAGGTTAATCTGAGGCTTCAGCAGTGCTTTAAATATCAGCTCATTGAGACAGCCTTTGCTGTGCTGGTTCAGTCTGTTCTGCGCATATACAGCTCAAGGGTAAGCCCAAGTCATGTGTTGTTTGGGTTCTTTTATTTCCAGTTCTTTCCTCTTGGATTTCCCTAAGTCTCTTCAGCCCATAAGGACACTTTTTTCCTTTTCCTCTGGCCAGAAAAATTGGGTCACTCTTGGAATTTTTTTATCTTTTCCATTGTTCTGCAGTGTGTCGTCATGACTGGAGCCATGAGCCCTGTGAGAGAAGAGAGAAAAGAAACCCCCAGGGATCTCTTTTTTTCCAGCCCCTCTGCCTAGAGGGATTTCTTTCAGAATTTTAGCTGCATGTTTTGCTATTTCACTGTATAGCTTCCTGGTCAAGGGCCTGCCTTTGAGCAAAAGCCACAGAAGGAAGAAAAGAGAAAAAGCCGGGTGTGGTGGCTCATGCCTGTAATCCCAGCACTTTGGGAGGCTGAGGCGGGTGGATCACTTGAGGCCAGGAGTTCAAGACCAGCCTGGCCAACATGGTGAAACCCTGTCACTACTAAAAATACAAAAAATTAGCTGGGCGTGGTGGTGGGCACCTGTAATCCCAGATACTCGGGAGGCTGAGGCATGAGAATTGCTTGAACCCAGGAGGCAGAGGTTGCAGTGAGCCAGGATCACACCACTGCAATTCAGAGCAAGACTCTGTCTCAATAAAAAATAAAAAAAAAAAGAAAGAAAACAGAAAACAACAAAGAAAAATAATGGCAAATTCACCCCCATGCAGATTGTTTCTTCACATTTTGACCCCTTGCCACATCTACCTGTTGTCCCCTCTTTCCCCTTACTTTTCAGAGTTCTTAACTAGTTTTTATCAGGAGTGTTTAGTTATAATCAACTGGAGAGATAGATTGTAGTGGGCTTTCTCCATCTTGGCCCTGTTTTCTGTTATTGTTCTATTTTGGGTGAAATAAAGCTTTTCTGCTTTTTTTTTTAATTTTTATTTTTTGTTTGTTTTTTAAAAAGTGAAATAGTGGAATTTTAGTAATTCAGCTACCTAGGTCAAACGCACTCTGAATTATAGAATATAAGAAACTGTTCTGTTGGTTTCCTATATGTATGGCAGTGTTTGCCAAAAGATATTCTGTGGATGTGAATCTAGAGGATGTTGGCAGGCATTCTAGGCAGAGAATAATAATGCCCTCCAAGGAAGTTTAGATAACACTGCATGCTGTGTCTCCAGCTTAGAAATTCACAGGATACAGTAGCATATAAAGGCTCTGAGAATGCCTACAATAGAGACAGACACCCAGTGTTTCCCAAGTTCCAAAACTTATTTGACCACGGAACTCTATTTTTAATTTTTTTTTTCTTACTTTTTGAGACAGAGTCTCGCTCTGTCACCCTGGCTGGAGTGCAGTGGCATGATTTCGGCTCACTGCAACCTCCACCTCCTGGGTTCAAGTGAGCGATTCTCCTCCCTCAGCCTCCTGAGTAGCTGGGACTACAGGTGCCTGCCACCAGGCCTGGCTAATTTTTTGTGTTTTTAGTAGAGATGAGGTTTCGCTATGCTGGCCAGGCTGGTCTCAAACTCTTGACCTCAAATGATCCTCCTGCCTCGGCCTACCAAAGTGCTGAGATTACAGGTGTAAGCCACTGCTCCTGGCCCACCGAACTCTATTTTTATATATACTTGATAGCCCTAACCTGTGGCTACCAGTATACTCTAGAAAGTGTGACATATGCTACTATTTAATACTGGTGGTTTTTCTTTTTTTCTATCAATATATCGTTTTATTTTATTATTTATTTATTTATTTATTTTTTATTATACTTTAAGTTTTAGGGTACATGTGCACAACGTGCAGGTTTGTTACATATGTATACATGTGCCATGTTGGTGTGCTGCACCCATTAACTCTTCGTTTAACATTAGGTATATCTCCTAATGCTATCCCTCCCCCCTCCCCCAACCCCACAACAGGCCCCAGTGTGTGATGTTCCCCTTCCTGTGTCCAGGTGTTCTCATTGTTCAATTCCCACCTATGAGTGAGAACATGCGGTGTTTGGTTTTTTGTCCTTGCGATAGTTTGCTGAGAATGATGGTTTCCAGCTTCATCCATGTCCCTGCAAAGGACATGAACTCATCATTTTTTATGGCTGCATAGTATTCCATTTTCTTAATCCAGTCTATCATTGTTGGACATTTGGGTTGGTTCCAAGTCTTTGCTATTGTGAATAGTGCTGCAATAATACTGGTAGTTTTTCTTTAAGGAATAGTTAAGAATGGTTTATAACAACTTTGTCAAAGCATAGTCTGGCTGTGGGCTTGGAATTCATTTACACTAGATGTGTTTTCTGAAGAATTCTCTTAATTGTGGCACATCCATTTGACTTAATAAGACATAGAATAGTAGAGCAGAAGTGCGCTTTGAAGAGATTATCTAGACCAGTGGTTGGAAACCTTTTTTTTGCTCTATTCTGCACCAATCCTTGATCACTAATCACTTTAAAAAATAACTCAGGTTCCATTAGGTCAGAAGTTAAAAGCAAGCTTTGCTATTGTAGATATTATATTTCAGTGTCTACCTCATTTATAAAATCTTGTTCACTTGCAGTAAACTGTAGAGTCACTACAAATTATGATAGTATTGTACATGTCAAGAAATAGGTGCACAGAGTCTATTTTAAATAGTTCAATCTTTGAAAACATTCTCATCTCCCATTAAATATCAACAATATTGTTAACTTGGGAACACTGGAAAGATTAAAAGAAGGGAGTGGGTTTGGTACGTAAGAAGTTGCTACTTGTCCTGACAACAAGTAAAAATCTGAACAAACTGAAAAATCAACCATTCTACTTAGATTCATAAGAGAAGTGAGGTCACAGGAGAAGCTGCTGCCCCACAAATTGGAGAGACAGGCAAATACAGAGAATCATAACTCACTGGAGCAGAAACATCCGGGAGAACCAGTGCCTGGGTAGGGTAACCTGAACCGTAATTGAAAAATTGCTGGAGGCTCAGTGTGGGACAAGTCTGAGAAATATAAACTGAGGAGGACCCAGTCATCAGGCTCCCCACCACACTTTTGTGAGTTTTACCTGCAAGAGCTCTACCAGATTCTCTCAGTGATTATCCCAGAAAAATCTCCTTGTGTTTCCAGCAGCGGGAAGGGAAAAGAAACTTTTAAAACTATACTAGGTTATTCTGTACTTCTTGATAAGGTCTACCTTCAGTAGAAACTGCTTAGCCAGAGCCTAAAGTGCTGAGATTTTATAGAACCTGACTGACCTGGGGAAGGGAAATACACAACTCCAGCCCCCTCATCCATTTGGTCACGCATAAAGGGGTGAGGAAGAACTGAGAAGTACTTGTGAAGTCTAGAGGTATAGGCTCACTAAAAGACTCAGACCTAGTCATGGAACTATAGAACGCTTCCCTTCTTGAAGGCCTGTTTATAGCATTTCCTTTTGATTAATGTACACAAATCAGTAGCTCTTCTGTAAACCAACAGTGACCAGGAGGAGAATCACATCAAGAACTCAACCTCTTTTACAATAGCTGCAAAAAAATAACATACTTAGGAATATACCTAATCAAGGAGTCAAAAGACCTCTACAAGGAAAACTACAAAACACTGCTGAAAGAAATCATAGATGACACGAACAAATGGAAACACATCCCATGCTCATGGATGGGTAGAATCAATATTGTGAAAATAACCATACTGCCAAAAGCAATCTACAAATTCAATGCAGTCCCTGTCAAAATACGACCTAATACCAAAACCAGGAAAGGACATAACCATTCCTTTCTCATTCTTCACAGAATTAGATAAAACAATTCTAAAATTCACTTGGAACCAAAAAAGAGCCCATGTAGCCAAAGCAAGACTAAGCAAAAAGAATAAATCTGGAGGCATCACACTACCTGATTTCAAACTATACTATAGTGCTTATAGTCACCAAAACAGCATGGTACTGGTACAAAAATAGGGATATAGACCAATGGAACAGAATAGAGAACCCAGAAATAAACCCAAATACTTACAGCCAACTGATCTTTGATAAAGCAAACAAAAATATAAAAGTGGGGAAAGGACACCCTTTTCAACAACTAGTACTGGGATAATTGGCAAGCCACATACAGGAGAATGAAACTGGATCCTCATCTCTCACCTTATACAAAAATCAACTCAATGTGGATTAAGGACTTTAAACCTAAGACCTGAAACTAGAAAAATTCTGGGAGATAACATTGGAAAAACCCTTCTAGACATTGGCTTAGGCAAGGATTTCATAACCAAGAACCAAAAGCAAATACTACAAAAACAAAGATAAATAGCTGGGACCTAATTAAACTAAAGAGCTTTTGCACAGCACAAGGAACAGTTAGCAGAGTAAACAGCCCACAGAGTGGGAGAAAATCTTCACAATCTATACATCTGACAAAGGACTAATATCCAGAATCTACAATGAACTCAAACAAATCAACAAGAAAAAAACAAACACAATGAACTCAAACAAATCAACAAGAAAAAAACAAACAATCCCATCAAAAAGTGGGCTAAGAACATGAACAGACAATTCTCAAAAGAAGATATACAAAATAGTCAATACACATATGAAAAAATGCTCAACACAGGAAAAAATGCCCGACAAACATGATAAAATGATCAGAGAAATGCAAATCAAAACCACATTGTGATACCACCTCCTGCAAGAATGGCCATAATAAAAAAATCAAAAAACAGTAGATGCTGGCATGGATATGATGAACAGGGAACACTTCTACACTGCTGGTGGGAATGTAAACTAGTACAGCTGCTATGGAAAACAATGTGGAGATTTCTTTTTCTTTTATTTTTTTTATTATACTTTAAGTTTTAGGGTACATGTGCTCAACGTGCAGGTTTGTTACATATGTATACATGTGCCATGTTGGTGTGCTGCACCCATTAACTCGTCATTTAATGTTAGGTATATCTCCTAATGCTATCCCTCCCGCCTCCCCACACTGGGGCCTGTTGTGGGGTGGGGAGATTTCTTAAAGAACTAAAAGTAGAACTACCATTTGATCCAGCAGTCCCACTACTGGGTATCTACCCAGAGGAAAATAAGTCATTATTTAAAAAAGACACTTGCACATGGATGTTTATAGCAGCACAATTCACAATTGCAAAATTGTGGAACCAACCCAAATGCCCATCACTCAACGAGTGGATAAAGAAACTGTGACTGATATATATATGATGGAATACTATGCAGCCATATAAAGGAATGAATTAACAGCATTTGCGGTGACTTGGATGAGATTGGAGACTGTTATTCTAAGCAAAGTAACTCAGGATGAAAAACCAAACATCATATGTTCTCACTGTTATGTAAGAGCTAAGCTATGAGGACGCAAATGCATAAGAATGATGCATTGGACTTTGGGGACTTGGGGGGACGAGTGGGAGGGGGGCAAGGGATAGAAGACTACAAATATGGTGCAGTATATACTGCTTGGGTGATGAGTGCACCAGAATCTCACAAATCACCACTAAAGAACTTAGGTAACCAAATACCACCTGTACAATAGCTTATGGAAAAATAAAAAAATAAAAGCAATAAAAAAAGAAAGGCTAGAAATTAATACAATGTCCAATCATACCACAGTGGATATAAACTAGAAATCAGTAAAAAAAAGAAGCTGGAAAAATTCCTAAATACTTTAAGGTTACATAACATAATTCTAAATAGCACATGGATCAAAGAAGAAATCTCAAGAGAAATTTTAAAAATATTTTGAGGCTGGGCACAGTGGTTCACGTCTGTAATCCCTACACTTTGGGAGGCTGAGGTGGGAGGATTGCTTGAGCCCAGAAGTTTGAGACAAGCCTGGGAAACATAGGGAGACCCTGTCTCTACAAAAAAATTAAAAAACATTAGCTGGGCATTGTGGCATGCGTCTGTAGTCCCAGCTACTCAAGAGGCTGAGGTGGGAGGATCACCTGAGCCCGGGAGGTCAAAGGCTGCAGTAAGCTGTGATTGTGTCACTGTATTTCAGCCTGAGTGACGGTGTGAGACTTTCTCTCCCTCCTCCTTCGCTGTGTGTGTGCACATGTGTGCATGTGTGGGTGGGTGTAACTAAATGAAAATGAAAGCCCAAGTTATCAAAATCTGTGGGATGCAGTGAAAGCTTAGAATTTTATAGTATTGAGTGCATATATTAGAAAAAAGACTAAAAATCAGTCATCTAAGCTTCCACCTTAGGAAACTAGAAAAAGAACAGTTTAAATCCGTAGTAAGCAGAATAAAAGAGTTAATGAAAAGTAGGGCAGAGATCAATGAAATTGATAACAGGAAATCCATAGAAATAGGTAAGGAAACCAAAAGATGTGTCTTTGAAAAGATGAGTAAAATTGATAATTACGTTAGCTATGCTAACATAGAAAAAAAAGCACTCAGATTCCTAATATTGAAATGAAAGAGGAGACATCACTATAGCTCTCATGAGCGTTAAATGAATAATAAAATAATATGATCAACTCCCTGTTTACAAATTTGATAATTTATATGAAATGAATTAATTCCCTGAAAGACACAGTCTTCCAAAATTGACATAAAAACAAATAGGTAATCTGAATAGGCCTTTATCTGTTGAAGAAATTGAGTCAATAATTAATTACTTTCCAAAACAGCACCAGGCCCAGATGAGTTACTGGTGAATTCTGTCAAACATTTAAGTAAGAAATTACACCAGTTCTCTACAATCTCTTCCAGAAGATAGAAGAAGAGAGAATATTTCATCACTCATTCTATGAGGCCATTGTTACCTTAGTACTAAACTAGATGAAGACATTCAAAGAAAACCACAGACCAATATCTTCATGTTTAACCTTCAAAAATCAATTAATCCGTCATATCAATAAGCCAAAGAAGAAAATCACGTCAATAGATGCAGAAAGGGCGTTTGAGAAAATTGAACACTCTTTCGTGATAAAAACCCTTAGTAAACTATGAATAGAGGGGAACTTCCTTAACTTGATAAAGAGTATCTACAAAAAGCCTATAGCTAACGTCACACACAGTGCTGAGAAATGTGAAACTTTCCCACTAAGGTCAGGAATAAGACAAAGATGTCCCCACTCACCACTATGTTTCAACATTGTATTAGAACTCCTAGATAACACACTAAGACAAGGTATACAAATTGAGAAGGAAGAATTAAAACTGTCTTTGCTTGTAGATGACATGATTGTAGAAAAAAATGAAAGCATCAACAAAAAAAACCTCCTAGAACTAATAAATGATTATAGCAAGTTTGCCGGATACAAGGTTAATATACTTAAGTCAGTTGCTTACCCATATAGCAGCAATGAACAAGTGGAATGTGAAATTAAAAACACAATAACATGGCTGGGCGCGGTGGCTCACGCCTATAATCCCAGCACTTTAGGGAGGCCGAGGTGGGTGGATCATCTGAGGTCAGGAGTTTGTGACCAGCCTGGCCAACATGGTGAAACTCCGTCTCCACTAAAAATACAAAAATTAGCCGGGTGTGGTGGTGGGCGCCTATAGTCCTGCTACTCAGGAGGCTGAGGCAGGACAATAGCTTGAACTTGGGAGGCGGAGGTTGCAGTGAGCCGAGATCGCGCCATTGCACTCCAGCCTGGGTGACAGAGTGAGACTCCATCTCAAAAAACACAATAACATTTATATTAGCACCTCCCCCACCAATGAAATACTTAGGTATAAATCTAACAAAATATTTATAAGATCTATGTGAAGAAAACTATAAAACTGATTAAAGAAATCAAAGAACTAAATAAATGGGGAGAGATATTTCATGCTCATGGGTAGGAAGACTATTGTGAGGATGTCAGTCATTTCTTCCCAAATTGGTCTGTAGGTTCAATGCAGTCTCAATCAAAATCCCAGCAAGTGATTTTGTGGATATCTACCAGCTGACTGTAATGTTTATATGGACAAGCAAAAACCAGCATGATACTGAAGTAGAATAAAGACAGAGGACTAACACTACCCTACTTGAAGAATTACTGTAAAACTGCAGTCATCACAGTGGTGTGGTGCTGGCAACAGAATGGACAGCTAGATCCATGGAACAGAATAGAGAGCCCAGAAATATATACCTTCATAAATATAGTCAGCTGATCTTTTACAAAGGAGCAAAGACAATACAGTAGAGAAAAGATTGTGTCTTCAACAAATGGGGCAGAAGCAATTAGACACCATATTGCCTCCCTTACCCTTAAACAGTCTAGACATAGATCCTATATACTTCACAAAAATTAACTCAAAATGGATTAAAGACCTGACTGTAAAACACAAAATCTTAAAATTCACAGAATGTAACATAGGAGAGAATCTAGATGATCTTGAATTTGTTGATGACTTTTTAGATATAATACCAAAGCCATGACCCATGAAAGAAAGAATTAATGAGCTGGACTTTGTTAAAATTAAAAATTTCTGCTCTGTGAGAGACATTGTCTGGAGAATGAAAAAACAAGCCACAGACTAGAGAAAATGTATGCAAAAGACATACAAAGAACTCTTGAATCTCAACAGTAAGAAAAAAAACAATTAGCTTAACCTGATTTTTAAAAATAAGGCATAGACCTTAACAGACATCTCACCAAAGAAGGATATACAGATGGCATATTGTAAGTATGTGAAAAGATGTTACACATTGTAAGTCATCAGAGAAATGTGAATTATAACAGTGAGACACTACTACACACCTGTTAGCATGGCCAAAATCCAGAACACTGACAACACCCAATGCTGGTGAGAATGTGGAGCAATAGGAACAGGAACTTTCATTCATTGCTGTTGGAAATGGAAAATAGTACAGCCACTTCAGAAGGCAGTTTGGCATTCTTACGAAACTAAACATACTTTTACCATATATACCACTTAGTATTTACACAACAGAATTGAAAACTTAGGTCTACACAAAAACCTGCACCCAGATGTTTATGGCAGCTTTACCCATAATTGCCCAAACTTGGAAGCAACCAAGGTGTCCTTCAGTAGGTGAATGGATAAATAAACTGTAGTACATCTAGACAGTGGGATAATTTTCAGCACTAAAAAGGAATGTATATCAAGCCATGAAAAGACAGGGAGGAACCGTAAGTGTGTATTACTGTGTGAAAGAAGCCAATCTAAAAAGGCTACATACTGTATGATTCCAAATCTGTGACATTCTAGAAAAGACAAGTCTATGGAGGCAGTAAAAGAAGCGAGAAAAGGAACACTCAGAGTGTGAAAACAACTGTTCACAACATTTTACCTCCTTTAATCCTTTCTTCCTTTTCTAAAATATACATAGTCATTGTGTCACTTTACAGATAATTTTTGTTCTGATTTTTAAAATGCTTAACTTTGTAATAAAGCATGATATTTTCTCATTAAACACTTCATAGTTTACTTTGAGACTTTTATGAAATGCTGGACATTTCATTTTCCACTTTTTGTTTTTGTAAACGTAGGGGTATGCATTTGTAAAACCTCTTAATAGACGTTGTCATGTTGCTTTCCAGAGAGTGAGCCAATTCTTTTTCATTAATATTTTTATGAGACATAAAAATAAAATGACAAAGCAGAGTCCTGCTTTGTTGCCCAGGCCGGAGTACAGTGGTGTGATTATGGCTCACTGCAGCCTTGCCTTCTGGGCTCAAGCAATTCTGTCACCTCAGCCTCCTGAGTAGTTGGGACTACAGGCACACACACCACCACACCTGGCTAATTAAAACACACACACACACACACACACACACACACTCTCTCTCTCTTACACACACACACACACACACACACACACACTCACACACTCTTATGGAGATTGGCTTGGTATGTTGCCCAGGCTGGTCTTTTAACTTCTGGGCTCAAGCGATCCTTCTGTCTCGGCCTCCCAAAATGTTGGGATTATAGGCATGAGCCACAGCACCCAGTCAGTGAGCGAATTCTTTTCACAGATTTTATTTTTAAGAAGTCCCCTTTATGAGGCTGTTGATAAGTATACTGAGATCAATAGCTAAGGGTTCAAATTAAGCAAAATAGCACATCTATCCTAGTAGTTAATCACTATTGTCTGTATTCCTTCTTGTCATTTCTTACCTGTTTGTTATTCAGTGTTTCTTATTTACTGTAACCCAAGTGTGTTTTATTTTATAATCAGAACATAAGGTGGGACAGTAACATTCATCAAAATATAGTATAATTAATCATCGTTTGTGGCTAATCTTGTCTCAATAGATATGGGATAAAACCAGCCTGGAATGTTTGAAAGTGTTAACAGGACACACAGGCTCTGTCCTCTGTCTGCAGTATGATGAGCGTGTCATTGTAACTGGCTCTTCAGATTCTACGGTGAGGTGAGTGATCTGGCTTCATTGTTCTTAACTTGTAAGCCTTCCCTGAGAAAGTCTGAGATTGACATCCTCCTCTGGGAGAGGCATACACAAACTTACATTTTTACATGCTGTATTTCAAACTACTTTTATTGTAGACATGTTTGCGCAAATTAGGCAGGAAAGCTAATTTTTGTTAAGGGTGTTCTATTCCTATTGCTGTTCATTGTAGAGATGACAACATGCTTTCCTGTAAGAGCATATACCAAGTATTAGGCTGGCTTTCTTCTTTTGGTTATGTGGTCCAGAGCAGAGAGGAGACACTCACTTCCAGGAGTCACTCCTGGACTCTTTCGCCACCCCTGCTGGAAGCATCGCCACCCCTGCTTGAAGCATGCTTAGTATCCTCTCCTGGACTCAGTGCTTCCGTACCCCTGCTTCTGCCAGAGATCATGTCTCAGCCTCAGAGGCCTGAGTCTTTCCCCCTCTGCCCTATGTGAACTTGTCCTCTTAGGAGATGAGGGTTACAGAAAAGCCGTGATGTGGAAATGCTGCTTCCAGATCCCTGGATCTACAAAGCAGTTGGGAGACCCTGGCTTTGTCCATAAAGCAGCTGGGTAAAGAAGTGGATGCGGTGATTGATGAGGCATCATGACTTACCCAGTTTGCAGTGGATAACTGATAGACTCAGAGGCCTGTCAGAGGTCAACAAGAACTAAGCTTGGAACCATTCTCAGTTCTTCAGCCAACAAGCCTCCTTCTTCCTGTCATCTCAGACTCAATACAAAATCTACTATCTAGAGGAATCATCTTTTGCCATCAGCACGAGCCTGCAAACACCGTCCCTAAATACCTGACTGCTAAATATACCTAAACTCAGGCAGAGCCAGAATTAGCCACCTTTTCTGAAACCATCTCAGCACTTCTCAGCAAATAAAGAAATTGCTTTTAGGGGCCCCTTTTAATCATGTCCTTAGGTTCATTAAGAATAGACCCTGTCTTACTCCATTTGTATTGCTATAAAGGAATACCCGAGGCTGGGTAATTTATAAAGAAAAGGGGTGTATTTGACTCATGGTTCTGCAGGCTCTGCAAGAAGCATGGCACCAGCATCTACTTCTGATGAGGGCTTCGAGCTACTTCTACTCATGGCAGAAGGCAAAGGGGAGCCAGCATGTGCAGATCACATGTGAGAGAGAAGCAAGAGAGAGGGAGGAGGTGCTAGGAGGCTCTTTTCAACAACCTGTTCTCTCAGGAACTAAGAGTGAACTCCCTCCTATGAGAATGGCACCAAGCCATTCATGAGTGATACACCACCATGACCCAAAACATCTCCTGCCAGGCCCCACCTCCAACATTGAGGATCAATTTCAACATGAGATTTGGTAGAGTCAGACAAACTATATCCAAACCATTGCAGACCCAGACAGAGCTCAGATACCAGAATCATTTCCTGGCTGTCTCCATAATTAAGCATCATGCTTTTCTCTTCTCTCCTAGAGTGTGGGATGTGAACACGGGTGAAGTTCTTAACACATTGATCCACCACAATGAGGCTGTATTGCACTTACGCTTCAGCAATGGACTGATGGTGACCTGTTCCAAGGACCGCTCCATTGCTGTGTGGGACATGGCTTCTGCGACCGACATCACTTTACGCCGTGTCCTGGTTGGCCACCGGGCTGCCGTCAATGTAGTAGACTTTGACGACAAGTACATCGTGTCTGCCTCTGGTGACAGGACCATCAAAGTAAGTATGTCTGCAGTCATAACCCTACCTGTTCCTGTCCCTTTTAGAACAGAGACAAAGCAGAGGTGGCTTATACCAACCTGGTACCTGGCAAGATCTTTATTCTCCTCTGTGCTTATGAACCCTTGAGGCCATCCCACTCTGTATATCTGTAGAGTTGTAGGCAAGGTAGGAGGAAAAGCCATCGGTCCAGAAGAGAGAACAGTCTTCTGTTTCATGACATGAAATTCTTGATCACCTTTTTAAGGGGAAGAGTGCTAACGTGTTGATCATGTATTGTGTGTTGGGAGCTTTACATTATGGTCTCAGTTAACACTCAGCACTTTTAAGGTAGGTGTGGCCCCATTTTACACATCTGGCTCAGAGAGTAAAGGATTGTGTTGGTGATCATCACAGCTAGTTAGTGGCAGAGCTTAGATGTTTTATTTATTCACCTAATTTTGAGGACTCGCAGTGCGGTGGACTCTGGGCCGGATGCTAGGGATATGATGATGAAGAAGACATGTCCTTGCCTTCAAGAAGCTTAGCATGCGGTGAAGGGGGAGGCAGACTTGTAACAAGGAGTTGAAGTCTAGGGTGATTCCCTAGGATATGGTAAATGCAGTCCTGATTCCAATATCTCAGCTAACTTTTTTGAATTTTAGCTTTCCTATGCTTTTATAACATCTTTACCGAGATATAGTTTCCATGCCATAAGATTGAACATTTTAAAGGGTGTAATTCCGTGGCCTTTAGTACATTTGCAGCATTCTATAACATTACCATTGTCTAGTTCCAGAACATTTTCATCGCGCTCTAAAACCCTCACACTCATTAGCAGTCAGCCTGTGTTTCTTCCCAGTCCCTGGTGATCACTCATCTACCTTCTGTCTTGGGATTGGACTATTCTAAACACTTCATATAATTGGAAGAATACCTTATGTGGCCTTTTATTTCTCGCTGCTTTCACTTAGCATAATGTTTTCAAGGTTCATCCATGTGCTTTGTAGCATGTATCATCAGCTTTGTCCCTTCTTTTTTTTTTTTTTTTTTTTAAAAGTACAGATGGGGTCTTGCTTTATTGCCCAGACTAGTCTTGGACTCCTGTGCTCAAGCAGTCCTTGGCCTCCCAAAGTGTTGGGATTACAGGCATGAGCCACCACACCCAGCCAGTACTTTGTTGCTTCCAGTGGCTGAATAAAATTTCATTGTTCATCTGTTTATTAGTTGATGGACATTTTAGTTGTTTCTATTTTTTTGACTATTACAAATGATGCTGTTATAAATATTAGTGTAGAAGTTTTCATGTTTTTAATTTTCTTAGGATGGTAACTCTGTGTTTAGCTTTTTTTTCCTTTTGAAGACAGGGTCTCACTCTGTCACCCAGGCTGGAGTGCAGTAACACAGTCATGGTTCGCTTCAGCCTTGACCTCCTGGGCTCAAGCAGTCCCCCAGCTCAGGGACTCCTGAGGCTCCCACCTAAGCCTCCCGGAGTAGCTGGGAGTACAGGCACTACCAGGCCCGGCCCTTTTTTTTTTTTTTTTTTTTTTTTTGTAGAGACCAGGTCTCACTTTGTCACCCAGGCTTGTGTTTAGCATTTTGAGGAACTGCCAAACTGTTTTCCAAAGGCGCTGTACCATTTTACAATCCTGCCAGTGGTATATGAGGGTTTCAGCTTGCTCAGAAGAACCTCCTTTTCATAACCAGCACTGGATAGCACTCTTATACCTAGCCCCACAAATCACGAAGTGTGTAGCATCAGGCTTTGCATTGGATAGCTGGGAAGCTAAACAACTAGGATTTATATGCGGCAACTTACTCCCACAGTCACACCAATTGGTATGAGACCAGTGCCTGGAAGTTGAGAGGGTTTGAGCTTTATTACAAAATAGCTGTTTCATAATATCAGCATGGAGGATTTCTCCATATCCTTGCCAACACTTCCTATTATTTGTCTCTTTTATTATATCTGCCCTAGTGATTGTGCAGTGGTACTCTGTGGTTTTGCTTTGCATTCCCTTGTTACTGATGATGCTAAACAACTTGTTGTATGCTTATTGGCCATTTGTGTACCTTCTCTGGAGAAATGTCTATTTAAATCTTTTGCCCACTTTAAAAATTGGTAATTTGCCTTTTTATTATTGAGTTATAAGTTCTTTATATATTCTGGGCACAAGTCCCTTATCAGATACATGATTTGCAAATATTTTCTCCCTTTCTGTGAGTTGTCTTTTCACTTTTTTGATGGTGTCCTTTGATGCACAAATGATTTTAATTTTGATGATGTTCAATTTATCAAGACTTGTATAGTTTCAGTGCTTATGTGTAGGTCCTTGATCCATTTTGAGTTAAATTTTTGTTTAAGGTATGAGGTAGGGGTCCAGTGCCATTCTTTTACTTGTGGAGATCTATTTATCTATCCCATTCAGCTACAAATGCAGCTGGTAAGATAATTCAGGGCACTCTGGTTGCTGTGTGTCTCCTTATTTGTCTAATAATATGTTTAGCTGTCTATGAACATCTAAGTCAGATACCACAAAAGAGGGGATTATTTATTCTGCATACATACAATTAGAAGTAATGTGTCAAAACAAATGGAGCTGTTCCAGAAAATATGCTGGAAAAGAGGATGATATGAAAGGTGAGACTTTTTGTTTGTTTTTTGAGACAAAGTCTTGCTTTGTCACCCAGGCTGGAGTGCAGTGGCACAGACACAGCTCACTGCAGCCTCAACCTGCTGGGCTCAAATGATCCTTTCACCTCAGCTCCCTGAGTAGCTGGGACCACAGGTGCATGCTGCCATGCCCAGCTAATTTTATTTTTTGTAGAGATGGGGTTTCACTATTTTGCCCAGGCTGGTCTCGAACTCTTTAGCTCAAGCAATTCTCCTGTCTCAGCCTCCCAAAGTGCTAGGATTAGGTGTGAGCTACCGTACCCAGCTGGAAGCTTTTTTATTACATTAGCTCCATGGGGTTTGAAATGTCAGCTGGTGTAAAAACATAAAATCTGGCCCAAACTCTTTCCTCCAGGTAAATGAGCGTTTGAACCATTCAGGAGATGTTCTCTTTGTAAAGATCTCAAAGACTGGAGACTTCACTTCCCTCCGTGTTTCATTCCAGTGTTATTACTCAGCAGCCAAGAAAATTTTATGCTGTCTAGTCTGCCCCCCAGCCTCCCAACTTTGAGTTAGAGGACACCGTATTTTATAATCACATATTTGGGTCATTATCAGAAGCTCTGTCTTTTTAAGAAAGGTATATTGTGAGAGGACTTTCCTGTGTTCATTCTTTAAAATACTGTTAATTTGTTATACAGGTCTGGAGCACGAGCACCTGTGAATTTGTTCGTACTCTCAATGGGCACAAGCGGGGCATTGCCTGTCTCCAGTACAGGGATCGCCTGGTTGTTAGTGGATCATCAGATAATACCATTAGGTGGGTAGAAGTTGGTGTGCTGACAGAGCAGGCTGATTTTTGCCACATTGTTGACTCATCTCCTAGTTCTAATGCTCAAAACAACTCAGGGTAAATGGGATGTTTCAGATAAGAAAGCTTTAGGTAACTTTTAGAAATGTATTTGGGCTCTGTATACTCAAGTGGGAAAACCGTGTGTGCCCTGGGTGTTCTTCCAAGATTCCCCCAGTACACAAAGTTTTTTAACCTCAGCTCCACCTGGGATCACTTAATACCAGAGCACTTCAGAACAGGCTAGGGTGCTGCAGTGCAGCCCAGCTCGCTCCAATTTCCCTCACCTGTGAGCTCCCACCTCCCTACCTAACACATGGGAGTGTACTTTATTTTCCTCTCCCAAGACTGCATCTGTTCCTGCCAGGTCATTTACCTCTCTTTTTCCTTCCCAGCACTCGGCCTCCCTGCTTTCTAATAAATCTGACTAACCTTAGACATTTTGTATCTTACTAAGAACATCCCTTCAATATCTACTTCATTATCCCATGCCATTTCCCCACTGTCTCAACACACTCTAGTGGCATTACATAAGTGACTAAACTTAACTTTGGTTTATAATCAAATTGACTAATGTTTGGTCAAAATAAAGATAGGATTCAAGATTATTAAAAAAAGTTTTTTGTTTTTTAAAGGCAGGCAAGCAAACACATGCTAGTAGCTTTACATAAGTGACTAAACTTTGGCGTTTATAATTGCCTAATGTTTGGTCAAAATAAAGATTGGGTTTAAGATTATTAAAACTTTTTTTTAAGGCAAGCAAATAACAAAAAAGCTATTTAAGTTTGCTTTATCACTTTAGGCTTCAAGATACCATAAATTTAGTTTAGAGCTTAAATCTTGATTCTCTTATATTCATCATGCTTTGTGGTATTGCTTAATGTTTCATCAATAAACAGTTCTTAACTTCCTCATTGGAATTGTCAAGGTTTTACAAGATAGTAATGTGTATTACTCTCCAGCTTATAGAAGGGAACTACTTTGGAGTCATAGTGGCAGTACTGAATGGCTTTGATCACAGATTAGAGATGCTATCATCACGGGTACTAAGAAGATTTGCTAAGGGCAGCTGTAATAAAATACATTCTTTGGATGTATCATAGGAATTACTGGTAGAGAGGCTAAGAAAAAGTTATAGAATTAATTTGCTCACTTTATTTTGTACATGCTAACTAGCTATGATTTTTTTCTACAAATACTGTAGAAAATCAGTCATAATAGGAAAAAAGATCTCTAACTCCAGAATTGTTACATAAATCATATGCAGAGAAAAAGACTTGGTGTTGTCAATGGGTTTATATTTCCACCAGAACACTGCGTGTACCTAGTAAGTCTCCCACTCTGACTTTGTAAACCGTCAATCCCAGTATTCAGCATATAGTATCAAGGAAGGGGTATCCCCAAGCCTCATCAAGAGACAGCCACCTCCCCTGCTGGTCCGCCAGTTCTAACCTCAGTGGTCCTTATGGACTCCACTGTGCTAGAAGTGCCTGGGGCGGAAGCTTAACCCCCTGGCTGTACGTGATATCTCCTTTCCCACCTTGTCTCATCTGTGCTCTTTCTCCTTTACTGCCTACAATCCCTGTCTCCCCAGAAGAGTCTTTCCTACACCATTTGTCTACATGGTTTTTATCAACTCAGACATCAAGAGAATGCCTAAGGATTAAATAGAATTGAAGTTTCTTGTTTGTTGATTTTATTTAAATAGTAATACAGACGCATGATTAAAAACAGTTTCAAATCATATAAAAGGAAATAGAATAAAAAGTAAGGCTTCTTCCTAGGTTAGTGCTTGGAAACACACAGATGGTATAAATGTACACATACAGCTTTATATGTGTGGTGTGTACTGGAAGTGAGATAGAAATAAAGAGCTCCAAGATAGTGAAAAATTGTATCTGTATGGAACAGATATAAAAAACTTACGGATAGTGTGAATCGTGTGTGGGAATTTGTTTCACAGAGGTCTGTTTTTCATTCAAGGCTCTGGGATATTGAATGTGGTGCCTGTTTAAGAGTCCTAGAGGGACATGAAGAATTGGTCCGATGCATCCGGTTTGATAACAAGAGGATTGTCAGTGGGGCCTATGATGGGTATGTCTTTCAGATTTTCAGATGTACTGCTATAACTGTATCAAGAAGAAAGAGAAATGTTATATATTAAGCAACTCTGTATGTACCAGGTCCTATGGTAGGTTTCTGTGTAATGGTGGATGGCAGGTATTATTATACCTGTTGTTTAGGTGAGGACACTCAGGCCCAGAAAGAAGAACTAAATCTTACCCCAAATCACACAGAGGGAGAGTCACTGTGGTTCCTAAACTTAGCTTTGAATCATCGCTGTCAACTCCAGCAATAGCTTAGGTTTCAATAGTTGATGTGGGGGTATTGACTTCTTTGCTTTATCCCTAAATTAAGCCAGGCTCTTTGTGTGTGTGTGTGTGTGTGTGTGTTCGTTCAACAATAAGTTTCTTCTTTTCCCTTTTTTTCCCTTTTTGGTAAATTGAACAAACCCTCTTTAAAACACCTCACTACATTTTAAATGAGCAAATGGCAACTGTAAATCTTTCCAGATGACCTTATATATACTTCCCAAATGGGTTAGTTGGTCTGTTTGTACTCCTATTACTAACTTCCAGCATTTGCTTAATTTGGAGAAAGGTATCCTTGGAATTTCACACAGAGCCCTAGCTTCTGTCAGCAGCACCTACTCAGCCCTAGAGAGTCCCCTGATGAATGAATTTGGTGACATAGGTTATCAAGTCCGGAACTGAATTTAGATAACCTGAAGTTGTTTTCTTATCTCCCTTAAAATAATATTTCTTTAAAATTTCAGCAATTCTGAGAATGTGTAGGTTCTTAATTTTTCCAAAATCAAGTGTAATTGGTTCAGATGATTTGTAAAAACATAAGCATGTTCCCCATTAGCTTTTATAAATAGGCAGTTCAGATGCACTACTTTTTTTCAAGGAAATGTTTGACAGCATATAAATTGTTCACTTTTCCACTAATCACATCTCATTTTCCTTTCTAGGAAAATTAAAGTTTGGGACTTGCAAGCTGCTCTTGACCCTCGAGCCCCAGCAAGCACATTGTGTTTGCGCACATTGGTGGTATGTGATCTCTTGAGACGGGAATTGGTTCCCTGTGCTGGAGGATGACCATTTGCAGATAGTCCTGTCTAGGTGTATCACAGGAACGCTTGTGTGTCTCACAAGATGCCTTCAGAGAATTTCAGTCTTCATTTTGTTTAGCCAAAACCAGAGAATATTTGATGTTTACATTACTGTGAGCACTTTCCTAAGGGGAGACATAATGCAGCTTAAGATATGAAGGCAGGCTTCCTGATTTGTAGGTGGACTGGTTTCCTCATAGGGCAAGCAATATTTCCTTCTTGTAGGTTTGGAAGATTTCTTAATATGGCTATTTGTGGTTATGTTTTAATAACAGCACATTTTTATACTATATATAAATTTTTATACCATTTATAAGTACTGTTATATTTTTGAAGAGATAGTCATTTGGAAATATTGGTAGATTTAAAAAAGATTTTAGTAGTTTTATTTCTGTTTCTTCACTTCTTGCATTTACTAGAAGATGCAGAACTGTCTTCTTGATTTTAATGGGAACTCTTATATTATTATTTCACCATGAATTTTGATGCTGGCAGCAATTTGAGGTAGATCCTGGTCATGTTAAAACAAACTGTCTTTCTGGTTCTAGGTTTTCCAGTGGATTTTTAGAGTGTATCAAGAATGGGTATTATGTATTGTTGTTTACTTTTATAAGGCCCTTTTTGAGATGATCTTTGAAATATTGGTAGACTAGAGTCTAAGATACAAAGTTTAATGAAAGAAAAGGCCTAGCAGGAAAAGAAAGAAGAACATTTGTTCTTGGGATGAAGGACACAGTTCAGTGAGCTCTGTACAGTCGTTTAGGAAGTCTGTTTAAGTGGCTGCATTTTCATCTTCTGCCCAGTTTCTCATTGTGAGATATCAGGGGCTGTAAAGATCTCATTTTATTCATGAAGTTTTGTATTTCATAGGAACATTCTGGACGTGTGTTTCGGCTCCAGTTTGATGAGTTTCAGATCATCAGCAGCTCCCATGATGACACTATTTTGATTTGGGATTTCTTAAATGTGCCTCCCAGTGCCCAGAATGAGACCCGTTCTCCCTCCAGAACATACACTTACATCTCTAGATAACAGTCTGCACTTTCACCCGTTTCAGGTGAGTACTATCCTCTCCCCTTCCAATTTTGCTGATTGAATTCACCTTCCCTTTGGGGAAATTTTGTGATTTGGGTTCCTTGGTGATGTGTGAACCAAGGTCTCTCTTAGACGTGTCAACTTTTGCAGAGTTCAAGTGTAAGGCTGGATC
The DNA here is from genome assembly GCF_000001405.40 of Homo sapiens. Taxonomy (NCBI): domain Eukaryota; kingdom Metazoa; phylum Chordata; class Mammalia; order Primates; family Hominidae; genus Homo; species Homo sapiens. Next base: position 171,868,459 of record NC_000005.10, on the reverse strand, counting down.
TTTATAGTCACATCCATACAAGGCTTGAGTTGGAATCCTGCCTATTGTGTGGGTTTTCATCTTGGCAGATGATGAACATGGTTCCTGTTTTTAAAAACTGTTCCTAAATGATTTCTTAGGTCATAATCAATTTAACACCAGTAAAATGTCTTGAATTTTATTTTGGGGTACAAGAATCTTCTTTTTCTCTTTCTTTCCTGTCCTTCAGTTCTTTTATTAAAAAAAAAAAAAAAATCACCATCTGACAAAACATTCAAAATCCCTCTCTTCCCCACTACCACAATCCACCCACCACCATCCTTTCCTCAAGGATGAATCAGAGAAGAGTATCTGTTGAGAGACCCCTAAAACCTATTCTGCTTCCATGAAACACAACAGATACACTGAGAAGCAAAGTCCTTTCCTCTGGTTACAGGAACACTGAAAGTCATTATAACCATTGATGACAGAATGTTTTGATTATTACTAAGCGTGTTCAGTCTGGAAGATGAGAAGTCTTACTTGGCTGTGTCCTAGGAACTGATGACTTAGGAACAGTATTGACAACTCTGTGTTCTGCTGAGGGCCAGTGAATTCTATACACATTAAACTTTGTAGATTGAATAAATGTTTACATATAAACATACTACTATGGATATATGTATATAAAGACTGTTGTGATTAATAAAATTTGTATTTATTTAAAATCGTTACTTAATTCTTAGTGGTCTTTTATCATTACATATTTTCCTGTTCATTGAATTTCAAAAGTATAAGAAAGTCCATGTGCAGAATTAGGAATTTTTTTGATGGAGAGATTGAGAACTCTTGGTACCTATTCACTAAGTTACCATCTTTTCAGATACTCTTTCATCAAGATTCCAAGATCCAATAAATAGAACTCCACCAGGAAGTTTGTCTTACCTAGAGGTCAAGAAACTATATAACCAGGGGCCAAAATTAACTCACTACCCGTTTTTTTTTTTTTTAATTAGTCTCTGCTTATCCATTAAGTTTTTTTTTTTCCTGTCTCCACAGGCTAAGAATAGTTTTTACATTTTTAAATGCTTAAAAAAATTAAAAGAATTTTTTTCATGACATGCAGTAATTAAATGAAATTTAAATTGCAGTGTTCATAAATAAACATTTGTGCTACACAGCCATGCTCATTCCTTTATGTATTGTCTGTGGCTGTTTTTGTGCTTCAGTGGCAGAGCTTAGTAGTTGCAACAGAGACCTTATGGCCTACAACATCTGAAATATTTACCATATGGCCCTTTCAGAAAAAGTTGGCTGACTTCTGGTCTTGCCCCTGCTCCATCTATTAGCGGTAAACCAAGGGTCTACATCAGGAATGGCAAATAAGTGTTTTCTTCATGCCAACTCAGTTTGGTCAGTAGTGACTGGTGGGTGTGTTGCCTTTGGAAGGATTCTGGGACCCCACGTGGACCCCAAAGGACTGGTTGTGGTTGGTTATGTCTGCCTTGCAGGAGTGACCTGTAAGCCACTTACCTATTTGCTATTATGGGTCTCGAGTGTGTTCAGACTGTTCCTGATCATAATCTTCTGCCCTGCTGCTTTCTTTCTGGATAGATGCTTCATAAGTCAGTTGAAAAATCCACGTGGCAGAATTACTGTAATTATTGAATGGAGCTTTAAAATAGGAATTACAGAGGAAGGAGACAAGGATCTCTTGAGTGATTGCTCCTCCCCCTGACCTCCCCTCCCAATAAGCCTAAGAAAATATAGGGAAGGAGGAATGGACCCAAGTAAAAACTGCTTAAAGAGGCATATGGCAAAATTCAAGACATCCATATTATGGTTTTCTTTTTCTGGTGTATTACAATAGATGAACTGACAACATCTATATATTACCTAAAAGTGCCCTGAACAAGATTCCTTTGGTTGAGAGATGAAGCAGTGATCACCAATGCTGTTTCTTATTGGCTGTGGTAGAAAGGAAACTTGTGTTACTTCCTCCAGGCCCTCCCTCCTACCTACCTTTTTTGGAAACCTCAGAACAACTGCCTAGTTGTGATCAATTATAAGTCAATGGAAAAATCTTATCTGCTTAAGCTGGAGGTTCCCTGTATCCCAGCACAAGCAGTGAGACCACAAATGTGTTTGTCTCTTCAATTTTATTACTTTTAACAACCTTGGCAGTCAACTTTATAGATTTTACTGCTCTTTTCTAATTTTTTTTTTTTTTTCCCTTTGAGACAATGTCTTGCTCTGTCACCCAGGCTGGAGTGCAGTGGTGCAATTTTGGCTCACTGCAACCTCCGCCTCCCAGGCTCGGGTGATCCTCTTGCCTCAGCCTTGCAAGTAGCTGGGGCTACAGGCATGTGCCATCACACCCAGCTGATTTTTGTATTTTTAATGGAGATGGGGTTTCACCATGTTGGCCAGGCTGGTCTCGAACTCCTGACCTCAATTGATCTGCCCGCCTCAGACTCCTGAAGTGCTGGGAATAAAGGAGTGAGCCACCGCGTGCGGCCCCAAATGCTTTTCATTTATTGTAACATGAAAAAAATTATAGCCATGTGATACCATAAGATTTATGCATAATAAGAAACACTACCCTAATGATGATTTAACCTTGCAGTAAAATACTCACCCGTAAAATATCAGGTGAGAGTCTCTCCATGTCAGCAAATGCAGCAGTAGATCTATCTGCGGAGTCGTTTTTAAAAAAATTAGTAACATCTAAGAGCTGTATGTTGTATTATATATTCAGTAGCTCAAAATTTATTGTTTTTTCTTACTACAAGACAATATAAGATCGTTATTAGGAAATTTGAAAAAGTAGATAAGCCAAAAGAAGAAAGTAAACTCCTGCTCGTGGTTTACCACTAACTCCTTTTTATAGATCCTTTCAGGCTTTTTAAAATGACGCTTTATAACTGTACATTTTCAAATGTGTTTTTCTTCTTTATTGTGAAATGCTTGCATGTTAGTAATGTATTTGTCCAAATTATTCCTAATTGCCAAATTATATTAGATTGTTTGGATATGCTCTGTTGTTACATATTTATCCTCCCCAACCCCCAGTTTTTAGTGATTATAAAAAACAATGCTATGATCATTCTTTTAACCTAATATTTGTCCAACCCTTTATCATCTTTGGAGGGATTCTGGAAATGTCTGGAGGGTCTGGGTTAAAAGGTATCACGTTTGAAGACTTTTTTTTTTTTTTTAATTATACTTTAAGTTCTAGGGTACATGTGCGTATGTAGGTCATTTTGCCCTCCAGAAGAGTTCAGTCAGTTTATGCTCCCCTCAGCAGCATTTGAGAGTGTCCACTTCTGGTCCTGGGGCATTAATGTTTTTGAAATAATTCAGGTTCCCTTAAATATCCTTAATGGGAAAACAGTAGCAAATGAAATTGAATCTTAAATTCATTGAGAAGACTTAAGATTCTTGATCTTTGTGTAAATTGACAACTTTCTGGGAAAATCACCTTTTAAAAAAAGCATTCAAGCTTTAAAAAGTCTCTCTTGCTTTTTTTTTTTTTTTTGCCACCTAAGGTGACTTTAGACTTTCTGGCCAGTGGTTTAGTGCATCACTTATTGTGACAGTATCTGAGTGGGTTTTGACTTTATTTTGATTTAGAATAGAAAATGTCAGCCTGCATTGTATGTAAAAATGATAAATATTGTGAATATCAGTATTCTCATGAATATTGTTTTTTTGTGTGTGTGTGTACATATTTACATACATGATGAATGTAGAAATTGTGATTAAAATGTGTTTCAGACTCAAAGCCATAGTCAAAAAATTATGGAACATTCAGTGGCCTTTCCCCCATACTGTTGTTGTTTTACCAATGATTTACTTATTAAAAAGGAAGTAATTTCTGATTACTAGCATTCTATTTTAGAAAGGCTAATTTTTGCATATTTTTGTTTCCTTGTGATCGATGAGGGCTCTCGTGAGGATGTGAGACTGGCCTCTTGTAGGTTCTGAATGTCATAAAAGATTATGCTAAATATAAAATCGAATGTGAAGCATCTTTTGTTATATGTGTACTTTTTCAGAGCAGTACTGAGAGAGTGATAGGTTATAGGGTCAGCCCTCTCCTTGAATCCCCTCTCTGTCACTTGTTGACTCTTTGAACCAAACACTTAGCCTTTCTGAGCCTTAGTTCTCTTATTTGTGAAGCAGGTGTCATAATAGTTTCTTCCTCACAGGATTGTTGTGAGGTTGAAATAAATGTGATACCTGGTATGTAGTACACTCAGAACAACTTACAGCTTCTGCTGTTAATGCTAATAAGTTTTGCATGTAGCTGTGTGCAGGGGGTGGAGTGGAGTGTGTGTATTCTCATCTAAACGGAATGTTCACCCACACTCCCTTTGCTTCTGTTTTTCTTTCCTCAGGGTTTTCTAGTCTTGAACTACTGGCTACGTGGCTACCAAATGCCTAAGGGAGTTCGTTCACAGCTGAGTTATGAAGCTGGAATTGGTTCTAGACGCTGGGTAGATGCAAAGCAGCCTAACTCTTCAAGTACCGACATTTCTCACCTCTGATTCCGGCTCTCCTTTGAGAAGGAGACCTTAGCTTCCCCGGCTTCAAGTAGAACAGAAGCCCGTTTCCTTCCCTCATCAGTGAAAAAATCTAATGTTTCAAATGTAAATTGTTCATAGAAAAGGAACATAGAATCTGTTTTACAGAAGTAAATCGACCGTCAAGAGAAGACTTGGCCTCTAATTTATATTGCTTTGCACTTTGGTTTGATATTAAGAAACAGCATTCTTCTTCAGTGAAATTTTGGGTGCCAAACACCTACCCAGAATGTCCAGGGCTTTCATTTTCAAAAGTTAGCATTCTCCTTTTGACCGTCCAAGTCATTATGAATTCTGACTTGTTGTATTAGGAACATGTTGGACAGTGGAAAATTTTCTCTGGATTGTTTTAGTAATATTTTTGGGATTATACTTCCTTTCTGTACCAATTTCTTTTAATTTAAAGAACTATAAGTCAGTTATATTATCTACCAACAGGTAATATAGCTCTTTCTTTTATTAACTGTTCTCTGTCCCCCAACCATCTCCTGATATTTGGTAGAGTAACACCTTTATACGTGTGCTTGCCTCCTAATTTAAAATACTGTATTCGCATGTAGATATAATGTACATAACAGTTTAACCTCAAAGTTGCTGGAGTCAGGGCCCCCTGTGCTTGAGACACTAATACAGAGTGTGTTCGCACTTAGCCATGGGCTGGGCTCAAGAACCTGATACCTGGGTTGATGTGGATTACCTAGAACCCTTCCTGCAGTATTCATACAGTGTTTTTATTTTGTTGTTGTCATTGCGTGTGTGTGGTTTGTGTGTGTTTTTAATGAGAATCTTGTTTTAAAATGTAATTTCTAAGGTTTAACACCAAAATGTTTTATTTGTTGTGGAGTATATATTATACAATAGAGAGGTACCTTAAACATTTTTTGTTCTTATTCTTTTTCTCATAAGTACTCCTGAGTACAAGTGGTCACCTCCCATAGTATTCATTTGGCTTCGCTGTCAAAAATCATTATTCTGTGCAGTCGTGGCCCTGGGAAGGGGAAATAAGAAGGCCCTGTTGACGGGCTGTCTTGGCTCTGGAATTCATGCATCCTGGCCTTGCCAAGGTTCTGGCAGGGCCTGCTGGTGTGTTGGAGCCTGCAGGGCAGGTCAGGCTGGTTCAGAGGCCCATGCTGAGGGGTGGGTGCTCTGAAGTGGAGTGAAGCCTCAAGCCCATGAATGCCACCCCAGTCATCTCTGGTGTCAGCTGCTGCTGTGGCCCCAGCAGGTTCTCAAAGCTCCCAAGTCCTCCCTACGACACAGCCCAAATGTGTAAATGGCACTGTTGCCCTGACAGTGCATGGAAAGGACGTTGGCATCCAATTGGCACTCCTTCTCCCTTATTCAATATTAGGTTTGATTTGCCCTTCGCCATTGTTTCCAAAGATCAAGGAATGTCAATAACATTTTAAAGGACCAATAAACAGCCTCCTATAAAGTAAACCTCTTCCCGTGGAAGCACACTCTACTACTAAAGGGAAGGCCCTGGGCTCTGATTTGTCCTTTGCATTGAGAACGGTGTGGGGATCAGTGTGTGTGTATGTGATTTGTTTATTGAGTTGGCTTTGCTTTTTTAGTTTTTCTTTTAAAAATAAAATCCTTCCTTCCCATGTTACTAAATTAATTTATGTTTTTGAGAGGTTGAGTCTCAAAGTGTAAACAATAAACCTCCATTCATAAGGTGGATGTTGTAAGCTTGATGGTGGTTGTGAAAGTGATTTAGCTTTGACCACTTTTCATCCTACAGCTTCAATATCAAACTGGTTAGGAAAGCCCAGGGGGAAGGGAGGGGGCAGGGGAGGAGGCAATTCTGAATGAATGAATGGATTTTTTGTTGTTTTTGCATGTTTAATATAGAAGTTCCCCTCGTTCCTTGGGAGATGATGGCCTTTGAATATGCAGACAACCTTTGAATTGTGCCTACTAAATTATAGCAGGGGACTTTGGCACCCAAGGAGTTCTGACTTTCTGGGATTATAATAGTAATTCCCAGCCATACTCTGGACTTTATTTTGCTAACCATAACTGAGCAAATGTAAATTACTGCTATATTAATGTTTTAAAGCACTGGGATAGTCTAATTCTAACTTGTAATTAATTATGTTTGCCAATTATCTGTTTGAAATAAATTTGTGTCTGAACAGCTATTGAAACTGTTAAATTGTACAGATATTATTCATGACAGCTTTGTACTGTGGAATGTGCTTAATAAAAAACAAAAAAGTTTGACTTTTGTCCAGTAAATTGCTAAGTAATGTCAATAAATCGAGTATGGGTATTATGCAGTGCACCTAATCTGGCTTCATGCAATTGTTACTTCAGCTACTGATTCAAAGCCAATACTCTTAATAAAGTGTTGCAATACTCTGACGTTCTGTTAAGAAATTTTTCAAAGAAACTGTTAAGTGCTGTTAGGAATTCAGTGACATACAATTAAAATTTATAGATCTTTAGAATCATCTGTTCTGTAAAATGAGTTTGAAGGCAAACTGGTTTTGGCGTGTGAGAATGTTGTAGTAGATGATATGATTCCTTGTCTTGGGCTTTTGCCGAAAGCTAGCTTGAACTTCAGGAGTTAGCTGAGGGCTAGCTAAGAACTCTTGCCCTGCAAATCTGCTTCCCACACATAATTAATTGCTTCACAAGTTACTGTCAACATGAAAATGGCCTCTGAGACATCCCAAGTGGCTTTCAGGTGTGAGTGGATCCTCCCCTTCTTGAAGAAGGGCCATGGAGGTGTGAGGGGCAGTTTCGCAGCCCTCTCCACCATAGCATCAGAAATGAATAGTTTTGTGTGTGCAAGTGTGTCACTGGTAGAGTATTGAAGCAGAAAAAGTCGAGTTAGTATCTGTAGGATTCTACTCAGAAATTCTATTCAGTAGGACTGAGTAGAAGCTGAGTTTTTTTGATAGCTAGGCTAAACTTCCCCCATTAGTCAACCCAGTTGGTAATGCGGACTTTTTGCATGAGATTAGAGTATTTCTATGTAATTGTTCCCACCCGTTTTTCTTGTAGAAAACGTTTTTCAAATGTGTCATGCATGTGGTTAAGAGAACCAATTTACAAATCACAAAAAGATAAGAGTAAAAAGTAATTTTTCCTCTCCCCCTTAACCCCCAGTCCCTCAAATGATGGTTAACCAGTTTCTTTCATGTCCTTCAATAGATACCCTCTTTTCTATACACAGCTTGCTCTTCCAGCCGGTGAAGACTCTGGGAGCTTGTCTTGTAGTGCTAAGATATTGGGGCTCCTGCTGGCTTGTTGCACAGAGCTGAATCCAACACTTTGTAGGCACTCAGTCAGCATCTGTGGGATGACTGAGTATATGGCCATCTCAAGGTGTTTACCTGCCCACAGATAGGACGACGGACCCCATACACCAAATGCACTAATTCAGTAATTTAAAAATTATATTGGTTAGGTGTAGCCATGTGAAAGATTTGTAGGGCAGGTCATAAGTAACTTTTTCTTAGTGCGTGCCAGGTAAACTGGAAAGTAGAATCCTATAAATGAGATTGTACATTATTTTCAGCTTTGTGGTCATCTGCTTATCCTTTCTCTAGGAATTGTTTGATTTTATTGCTCAGAGTATGTGAGTTATTACTGGACTGGCCTGGGAGAACCTGGAAATTACAAGGCCAAAGACTTGAGTGGGGACAGATTTAGGAACAGCTTAAACTTGATGTTCTGGTGAGATCTCAGTGTGTACAACTTAAGCTGTCTCTACCCTTCACCACCACCTTCAGATCCAGTGGACTTTGCCATTTCTCGCAGGCTGTGTTTGTACTTCCAAATACCACCAACGCAGGGGATTGGGAAGGATTATTTTTTTAAGCATCTAGCTCTGTTGCCCAGGTTGGAGTGCAGTGGTGCAGTCATAGCTCACTGCAGCCTCGAACTCTAGGACTCAAGGGATCCTCCTGCCTCAGCCTCCCAAATTGCCGAGATTACAGGCTTGAGCCATCACGCCCAGTGGGAGGGATGTTCTTAGAACACCATTGAGACCATCCTGTGGGGGCCACTTCTCTACCGAATGGCAGAGAGGAAAGAGCCTGGGCTTTGGGGCCCAGAGATCTAGCTCAGGATTGGAGCCCTGCCACCTAATTGGCAGCAGGTCCCACGGGCAAGGGCATTTATTATCCTGAACCCAAACTCCTCAGCTGGGGAGCAGAGACAGTGTTTTAAGATTACTATGGGGATGAAATGACATCTCTAAAGTGCCTAGCACAGTGCCTTGCAGCTTCAACTTAGACATTTAAACAAAGGGAACAGAATGCTCAGAGGGGAGGAAGGGACAGGAGTTAGTGGAATCTGGGGTGTCGTGCTGTCAAATAAACGTGCTCAGGCAAACCTGAAGCCTGTCTGGACCTCTTGAGGGGAAATACAGGAGCTGACCCTGAGGACTGGTCCCAATGAGGACTTGAGTTTGTAATCAGGGCCTGGTTTGTTCAGTGGGTGGAAGAAAGGGAGATGGGCCAGTGAATAGGTTTATACTGAGTTATATTTGTTAGTTTTATTATTACAAATAATTATAAAGGTAGTCAACCTATCATATCCCCAGCTAGTATTTCTGGGAAGAGAATGAGGTCTAAACATGTCACTGTCCTCAGTGAATTGTATTGTCTCCAGAGGGGACGGGAAAATTTCATGCCTTCAGGGTGTGTATAGGTGGTGGGTGATGGTGGGGAAGAGGTTGGATCATGCCAGCTACAGCAAGAATGAAGATAAGTGAGTGAATAAAAAATAAAGATTCGTGGGTGCCAGGCTGCTGGTGAGGGCTTTGTGTACTCTCATCCTTCCAGTAGCCCTGCATGGTTTATGTTCTTACCGTTTTATGGTTGAAGATACTGAGGCTTGGATCTGTCTTTGGGAGCGGCTGAACTTAGTGTTGATTCTGGTCTGCCTTGGGGGCCACAGCTGGCCTCTTAGCGCGCTGCCCTAGCATCTCCCTCTTCATGCTCCGTGGGCCCCTGGATGCCCGCAGAGTCTCTCTGAAGAGCCAGGCTCAGACTGTGTGGTCCCTTGGCACCCACAGACCCTCTGCCCTTCTCTTCTCCCCTCCACTGATATGTCCCTGGCATATGTTCTTGGTGTGTCTTCAACAGTGCACAAAGTGCGATGGAGTGCAAGGGGCCGGACAGGTGCAGGGGGACCCGACTGTGGCCGGCCCTGTGGGCCATTCTGAGGGGTGGGGGCTCCATCCTGGGGGCAGGGGCAACCACTGGCTGGTTTTAGGCTCAGGAGTGACCAATTAGAAAGCTAGAGTTAAGATTCAGGAGAGAGATGCTAAGGTCCAGAATAGGGAACATGAGGAGGTGAGAGAGGGTGTTGGGAGCCACGGGGCTTAGTGTGGAGGGAGCTGGAGGCGCTGACAACAGCATTCATATTCAGTGCGTGTCTCCTGGGTGCCACTAGATGGGGCTATAATGGAAGAAGACACAAGGTCCCTGCTCTCAGGAAGCTTCCGTTCTAGAAGAAAGAAACAGTGCGCAGTGATTGCTGTAGTGTCCACAAACATGCATTTACAAGATAAATTCAGATAGTGTTGATTGCCGTGAAGAGGTTACACTGGGCAGTGGTTAGGTGTGGCCTGGGGGACGTTGGATCCAAGATCTCAATAAGCAGGCGCTGGTCATGCACTGAGCTGGGACAGGATGATGTTCTAGGCTGCGGGCGTGGACACACGCCAAGGCCTTGAGGTGGGGATTTCTGGAGTGGGCAATGGGCTGCAGGGGTGTCCAGCTCTCCCAGATAAGGGAATTGGGGTTGATCCGGGGGGTGGAAGGGGGATGCATTTGGATGTGGACATTGGAGGGGCCCCAGAGAGGTTTGAGTGGAGCCCCTGGGCTGCCTAGAAGAGAAGGAGAGAAGTGGTGGTTTCAGAAGAAAGAGCCCAGAGGAACATCTGCATTTAGGAAAGGGGCACGGGAGGACAAGCCTGTGACAAAGGTGGGAAGGAGCAGCGGGAGAGGCAGGAGCGTGATACCCAGCAGTCTTTGCAGGGCCTGTGGACGCTCTCAGGACTTGGAAACTCTCTTTTGCAAACACTTGCCTCCAAGCTGCCTGGGCCTCCTGGGGAACAATGCCTGTCCACTAATCACACCGCAGGACACCTAATCCCGCTTCACACTTCTTCCAAGACAGCACCACACTCTCCTAACGGCCAGGGCTCTGGCAGCAATAACAAACAGGCGCCCGGGAATAGCTTCTCCACTCCGGCCCTTGCCTGGCTTGTCCTTGGGAACGCTCCCTGCAGCCCATCTGCACAAACAGACGGGGGCCAGGTCTGTGCCTCAGGAATGAAGAGATAAAAGGGACCATCGGGGCTTTTTCCACCAAAGGCGAAAGCATTTTATTGAACGGGCTGCGAGTTTTTGTTTCAGGAAATTTCATCATGTCTCCAAGAAGAGGAGGGGGAAAAAAGAGAGAGAGAGAGAGAGAGAGAGAGAGAGAGAGAGAGAGAGAGAGGTGGGCAAGGGGAGAAAAAGAGAGAGAGAGGGAGAGAAGTTAATTGGCCTCAGATTTTCTCACTCCCTTTTCATGTTGGTAACACGAGGCAGCCCAGGTCAGACTCAGGTCAGCGACGTTTGGGCTCTTTAGTGCCCCTCTGTGAATACCTCATTTCTGTAATAGTTTTTCCTTTAAAAACAGCTCTGCCTTCTTTGGCAGATGGTGACATTCCATTAGCATATGGAATATTTTTCAAAACACATCCGAAAGCATGTCTCTTACGGAGGAGACTGGGCAAAGCGAACGAATGTCTGAAAAGTATGTTGGGAGCAACTCAACATTTAACAGAAGGCCTCACTCCCGCCTTCGCCCCCGGCCTCTCCATAGTCTCTCCTGGGTTGTTACCGTAACCAAAAGGAGACAGGAGGATGTTCCCCAAAGCTTAGTCTGTTGGCTTCCCTGGGACTGTCCCAGTATACAGGGTAGCTGGAGGGAGGCTGAACCCAGGATAAGAACATGATTCTTGGCCTGGATTGGATGTTGGCAAACCATGTGGATGTGGCATTGGGGCAGTGACGGATATCTTGCACACTGAGCACCTATTATGTGCTAGACGCTGTGGGTAACATACATTATGGTCTTTCCTGCTGAAATCCATCTAGCACACAGTGGGCACATGTCAGAGCATGTCACCCCCCTGCCCAGTACTCCCCAGTGACTGCCACTGTGCTTAGAATCAAGTTCAAACTCCTTGTTATGGTCTGCAGTAATCTGAGCCTTCCCTGCTTCCATGCCATTTTATGTCATGCTTTCCTCTCTCACTCCCACTCCAGCGACATGAGCTTTCTTTCCGTTCTTTTTTTCTAGCTCAGGGCCTTTGCACGCACTGCATGCATTTCCCCAGCTATTTGCACGGCTGCTTCCTCATCATTCAGGTCTCAGCCCAAGTACTGCCCCCAAAGAGGAGGCTTCTCTGACCAGACAATCTAAATTATCCCACATTACCCCCTATTGCATCCTGCGTTCCACTTACTCTATAGTACTTACCATTACTTTATTTGTTGACTTGTATTTATTCAAGACACATTTATTGAAGGCCTACTATGTGCTGGGTGCTAAGCTAGGCCGTGACAAAACGGACAAATATCCCTGCCTCCAGGAAGCCTACGTTATGACACAGCAAGGCGGATGAGGAACAAATGCCATGCTTCTTGACTTTCCTTACCAGAAATGTCACCTGAAGTACCAGGACCTTGTTTGTCTTGTTCAGAGACCATTTTGGGAAGTGGTAATCACAGAGCTCAAGAAATTGTAGTTAAACGAAGAACTGAGCCCACATTTTATAAACAATTGCATTGAGGCATAGACAGGAAGTGGCTTTCAAGATTGCTCCGCTAGTAAAACAGCAGAGCCAGGATCTGAACCTTGCTCCTTCTGACGCTGAGGCTGGCCATCCATGCCGCCTGCCCGGCCCAGGCATCTTGCCAGGTGCCTTCCCCACTACTTCCTTCTCCTCAGCCCAATATCTAGGTCCTCCCCCACTCCCTACATCCCAGCTGGCTTATCCCGGGGCTGTTCTCTAGCATCCTGCTCTCAGTAGGGTGACTTGCTGTCTGCAACACGTTGGGTAACATCCTTTGACTCTTTGAGCCCCAGTTTCCTCGTCAAAATGAGAATATGAGCCACAGTAGATCTGCTAAGGCACATACAATTCTATTATCCTGGCTTCTGACCAACCCCTCTGTAAATTACGTTCAATAAGAGGTGATAAATAAGAGGTTAAAAAATAATTTTGATTTCTGCAGTCCCAACTGAATAGCAATGACCCATGTAGTCTCAGCTGCTTCCTCCTCTCAGACCAGTATTCCCAGCCCTCCACTCTGCTCACTCTATTGATCCAGGGCTAGAAGTCCCATTCAACTGGCTTCTGCAAAGAAGGGCGTTTATTGGCTTGTGTCACACATACCCAAGGAATGGGCTGGTCGCAGGCATGGCTGGATCTAGGAGCTCCAACTGTGTCATCAGCTCTTGGGCCTCACCTCCTTGCCTCTCTGTCTGGCTCTCCTTTCTCACAGTTTCATTCTAAAGCAGGCTTGCTTCCACATGGTATCCAGGTGGCTGCCAGCAGCCCCAAGAGCATGTCCTATCCTTTGAGTGTCTCTGGTGGAGCAAAATCTCTTCCCAGCAGCCGCAAGAGCATGTCCTATCCTTTGAGCATCTGTGGTGGAGCAAAATCTCTTCCCAGCAGCCCCAAAGAGTCATGGGACTAAGTGTCCTTGGCTCAGGTAGAATCATGTGCCCACCCTTAAAACCCACGGAAATAATCCCTGGTGGTCAGGGTTGGGGTCGACCCCACACAAACCACACGGGCTGAGAATGGAAGGGAGGCAGATCCCCAGAGGATTAGGATTCTGGGGTCCAAGCAAAAAGGGGAATGGAGGCTGGCCAGTGTCCCCTGCTGCTGCCACTAGGCACGCCTTTTCCTGTGGGAAATGACTACTTTTGCATGTTCGTCAAGGCCTAGCTCAAATATCACCTCCTCCCTGGTCCACAGAGCAGGAGCTAAAAGCCCTCAGCCCCTGAACTCTTTTTGAGCCGTTTTCACTTTCTCTTTGGTATTTTAGCTTTTAATGTGCACGAGCAGAAAGGGTCAAAATAGTCTGCCTTTGGGGTCAGAAAAGTTTGGGTTTGAATCTCATCGACGCTCTTCAGGGGTAAGGTGACCAAGGACAGGGCGCGGCTCCTTTCTAATCAGTCCTCCCTCCCGGACCTGCTCGGAGCATTCAGTGAGATGAAGTGAGCCCAGCCAGGGTTTATGGAGGACTTTTGATTTCTTCCATGCCAGGACCCATGTTTTGGTCCTCTCTGTGTCTTCAGCCCCAGTCGCAGGTACTAATAACGCAGATGTGTTGAATGAACAAACTCCTGGATTCCAGAACTTTGGGCATGCAGTGGAGTTTCCCCTTTCATGATGCTCAGATTCTAAAGTGAGCACTGCAGGTGGAAAACCATAGAGTCCAAGATGCTTGAAAAACCCTTAAAATGTGGCTTCAATACAGTACACAGTGTGTATGGATGGGACCCAGTGCAGTGATTCCTGCACCCATTGAGAGTTTGAGTACCATCAAGCTGGCCAAGGGCAAAAAGAGAAAAGTCTACATGCAAGCACTCAGTCATGCAAATGATTCTGCTTTTAAACTAACTATTGGGAGGGATAGGGAAGTGAGAAGGAAGAGGGAGACAAGAAAAGGGTAAATCCTAAATTTTAAATTGCCTGCAAGTTTCATTCCATTCGCTTTTTTTTTTTTTTTTTTTTTTGAGATGGAGTTTCACTTTTGTTGTCCAGGCTGGAGTGCAGTGGCACCATCTTGGCTCACTGCAAACTCCGCCTCCCAGGTTCAAGCGATTCTCCTGCCTCAGCCTCCCAAGTAGCTGGGATTATAGGTGTGCACCACCATGCCCAGCTAACTGTGTATTTTTAGTAGAGACCAGGTTTCACCATGTTGGTCAGGCTGGCCTTGAACTCCTGACCTCAAGTGATCCACCCACCTTGGCCTCCCAAAGTGCTGGGATTACAGGCATGAGCCACCATGCCCGGCCCCGTTCTGCTTTACTATGTAGCCTTTGTCATAGCTTTACTATGTGTGAGGAAGCTTTGTTGTGGGGAGAACAACTGTGATCATACACATAACTAAATGGAAGAGCCTGTATAGCAGGACATGGGGGCTCAGTGAACCCAGTGGGATTTGAACCCAAGTCTTGCTGATAGATGCATGGTTCCTGGAAAGCTGTAGAGGAGTTCTGGGCCTCTGCTGCCTGTGGGACCCACTGGTGGCCTCACCAAACTGGCTCTCACCCTCATGCCCTGAGACAGCAGTCACTGAGACTTAGGTTCTAAAACTGCAAGTGAAATTCAAGGGGTATACAACATGGTTCCCTTTTTTCAAGAATTTCAATTTTTAGTTTGGATTCGGGGGCACATGTGCAGATTTGTTACCTGGGCATATTGCATAATGGTGAGGTTTGGGGTACGACTGATCCCATCACCCAGGTACTGAGCTCATACCCAATAGGTGGTTTTTCAACACGTATCCCCTCCCTCCCCCCGTCTAGCCATCCCCAGTGTCTACTCCTGCCATCTTGGTGTCCATGAGTATCCAAAGATGTGGTCCTGTGGCTGCTGCCCCCTCTGTAACTCTATTGGTTGGAGAGCAGAATTCAGGAAAGCAAAGTTGACCCTGGCCCCCTTTCTGTAAGCCTTGGTGGCATAATTTCATTACCCAGGCAAGTACATAACCTTGATTACCTTCCTCATCTTGACCCCCACCTCCCAAACCCCATTCAGCCCTGTCTAGAACTTCTGGATACAGCACGTGGCCTTATTTTTCCAGGAACAAGGTTCATTGTTGTGCTTCTGCGGTGCCCACCACATGATTTCTGGGACAGCCTTGTCAACCCTCTGGGTGTGATCTCAGCCAGAATGTGTCACGATGGCAGACATGGGATGAAAGGAACTGGGAAGAAAGGAACTGGGATGTTCAAATGGTCCTAGACTCCACAGGTGCCCTCAGAGGCGAAGGGGCTTCCTGCTGAAGCCCAGACCCATCCCAGCAGCATTTGGACAGGACTGTCATTACTACTGAGGTCCCACTTTTGGTGACTGTGGGGTTCCAAAACGGTGCCTTTCCCTGGGCGAAGTCAGGCTGAGCTGGCACTGGCTCTTCGAGGAGCAGCCGAACCCCAAGTTTCCCGTGCTGACTCACGGAATAAGAGCCAGGGCCGTGGGCCACCTGCCTGGGGTCTGCCCTGGTTGTGCCACGAGGTCAGGAATTTGGGCAGGCTTTTAGCTCTCAGATCCCTCCGTAGCCGGAGTTCACAAAAACTTCGCTGCATCACTCCAGTGTCAGCTTTTGGTTTCTTGAGCAACTTCTCCTCCGCCACCAATTTGCTGATTCACTCAGTCTCTTCCTATTTAAATCCAAAGGGACAGAGCCTGATCAGCTCCATGACTTGAAACTCCTGGGTGGGGCTTTTTGTTCCAGCGTCCTCATAGGTCACCAAGCAGCCAATGGATGCGCTGCTCTTGAGTTCAGGGGACCCTTTTGACCAATCAGGGGGCATTCCTTGTTCAAGCGCAGCCTAAAGCCATTTCCCTCCCCCTGGGCCTCCTGATGGGATGGTTTCCCTTAGGAGGGCACTCAGGTGTGGCTGACACCATCACTCACAGATCAGGACCCAAACTCCGCCAGGAGGCTCTGCTCCTCCCCATCCACCCCAGCTCCTTGCTAAGCTTTGACAAGGTCAGTATAACTGACTGAGATCCAAGGGACAAATGCGCCCGTGTTTCATGGCTCCTGGAAGTGAGAGGGCTCAGCAGGAAGGCATTGGATTCACAGAGCAACATCATCAGCTCTGCAGCCAGGTCTCTGACTCCTACTCATTACCGCAGTGTCTACTGGAGTCTGACTTATCTCTTTTTATTTTTAATTTTAATATTTTAATTTTTTGTAGAGAAAGGGGTCTCGCTGTGTTGCCCAAGCTGATCTTGAACTCCTGGCCTAAAGCATCCTCCTGCCTCAGCCTCCCAAAACGCTGGGATTACAGGCACGAGCCACCACGGCCAGCCCATGACTTATCTTTAAATCCCAGTAGGTAGCCCAATGCCTGGCACTTGGTTGGCCCTCAGGATACTTTTCTTGGAGTAGCCATAAATAAGTGGGTGCCCCAGGGAGGTTGGGATGAGCAATACTGAGAAGTTTAAGGCACAGTTCTCCTGCCAAAGCGGTTGGTCTCTTTCCACCGTCACCTGGTTTCCCTGGATCAGCTATTACATCTCATTAATATCTTATATTTCATTTTCTTTGTAGTTCCCTTGCAATGTTTCCCAATGTGTGTCCTGTGGGACAATAGTTCAGTGGAATATTAATTAAGTATTATAGTGCAAAGGGATTCTGAGATCAAGTGAGTTTGGGAAATAGCAAGTTAAAGAAAAGGAAGCAGGTTTATTTGCTGAGGGACTTATCAGAGCCTTTCATGTGTTCATGGATGTTGTTACCATCCACAAAGGTAACAGGGGCTTTCGTGTTTCCCACACCTTTTTGACCTTGAAATCATTATTTTTTCCCCTTTGAGTATCTCACAGGACTAGTGTTCTGAGGAGCAGTACACTGAGAAATGGTCCTCTAGACAGAGAGGAAATGCTGTCTTCCCCCTTTATTGGCTATGTGGGATTCGTATAATTTGCTTATTTGTCGGATCCATTATTGCTGGGTGTGGGAGAGCAGGCATGTGTTAGACTGTCCATCTTCAGAGAGGTTTCCTGCTCTTCCTGTTCGTCCAGTAGTTATGGGCTGTGATTGTTATGGTGATAGCAGGGAGGCTGCAGACCCCAGAGGGGATTAGGCATATCTGTGTGTAAACTTTGGGCAATGTCTTTCTTTCAACTGGGCTTGAATCACAGCATTGCATACCCTAAGAAAACATCATGAGGTATATAAAGTTCCCATACTCCCATTAAGTGGCCTGGTTTTCGTCTTTAAGTATGGTGGGGCTGGTAGGAGTAGAACACGGGATGATGTATCACTTCTCCTGGGTTTCTCAACCTCAGCACGACTGACATTTGGATGGGATCATTGTTTGTGGGGTCTGTCCTGTGCCTTGTAGGATATTTGGCGGCATCCCTGGCTTCTACCCACTAGATGTCAGTAGCACGTATCATCCCTCCTGCCTCCCCATTGTGACAACCCAAAATGTAGGCAGACATTGCCAAGTGTCCTCTAGGGGACAAAATCCCTCTCCCATTGAGAACCACTGCTTTAAGAGAAGATTACCCAAAGTCTGTGCAAGGCTTTTGGAATACTCTTGGAAGGATTTTTATCATACTCTTGGAAGAAGGAAGTAGTGCTATCATGCTCAAAGCATGGTCTGAGAGCCTATAAGACGTGCCAGCTAATGAAACTCTCCCCTGGGGTGTTTTCGTAACTCATCCTTAAGGCTCGTATATCTGTTGAGTTTCTTGGTTGCAAGTTACAGAAAACCCAATCCAAAATGGTCTAAGCCAGAAAATGAATTTTTTGGCTGTGGTAACTGAAGAGTCCGACACAGTGCTAACTTTAGGCACAGCTGGATCCAGGTGCTTAAGCAGTGTTATCAAGAAACAAGAATTTTTCCAAATCTTTGCTCTGATTTCCTCATTATTGATATCATTCTCAGACAGGCTCTTCCCATGTGGCAGTGAGAAAGCTGCCAGCAGCTCCGGCCTACTCCTCACTAGAACAGATCTGGTGGAAAGGGAAAGCTTCTCTTCCCTCATGGTTTGAATGCAAGTCCTGGATCTGATTCCCATTGGCCTGGGATACTACGCTATTCTCATTAGCTGTGCCGGGTTCACACGCCTGTCCCTGGAGCCTGGGGAGGAGCCAACACCAACGGAACCATTTGGTGGGGAACAGGAGAGGAATGGTTCTTTAGAGGCAAACGGGGCAGTTACTTGAAGAGAGGTCAGCGGATGCTGGTCAGACAAGCACCTCTATTGCCTCATTCATAAAAATAACTAAACGACAGCCAATAACGGCAGCTCCCACTTGTCGAACATGAATTCTGTACCAGACCCTACCTATACTGCGTGATCGCTAATCACCACCAGCATCCTGAGAGGCAGCTGTTGTCAACCTATTTTACAGATGGGTAAGTGGAGTCTCAGAGGCAGATGAAATGACTTGGCTGAAGTCACAGAGTGGGGCAGTGGCTGAGCCACAGACCGGAGGCATCCTTTTACCTCCTCTAGGACACCCTCTGTAACTGACTTTCTTCCTGCTGCAATCCAAAAGGTCTCCCAAGGTCGCCTGTTGCTATTTTGGAAAGAGGTGGACAGATACTGGAGGGCCACTCTTCAGGCCACTGCCCAATCTTTTCTTGTCAATTTGATGTCAGCTTGTGCCAATCATCCCTGAAGGGCCATTCTGACACAGCAAGTAAGGGAAAGCTTGGCCGGCGTTTTCTGGTTTGGCTCTGTTCTGCCTGCTTGGTCCATTTTCCTCACCTCCGTTTTTGCCCGTTGCCGCTGTTTTTATCTTCCATCCCCCCAGGGAGCCTGCAGAGGGTGCATTAGTAATAAAGCTAACATTTCCAGAGAGAGAGAGAGATATCAAGGAATTTCCATGACATGATTTCATGAAGTTTTCTCAAATATCATATCAAGTAGACACTACTATTATCCCCATTTTACAGATGGAGCAACTGAGGCCTGGAGAGGCTAGAGGACTTGCCCAAGGTTGCCCAGCCAGCAGATGGGAGAACTGGTGTTTGAATCCAGGCAGGACCCATTGCTTTTATTACGGTACCAAAACTTCAGAAAATTGCAAACCAGTGGCCTGTGAGTCAAATCTGGCTAACAGATATATTTTGCTTGGCCCACATAGTATTTCAAAACCCATTTGAACTCATTGCCAATGTTTAAAAATTGAGAACCTGCACATCAAAAAACAAAATTTGTTCTTTTCTGCTTCTCTTGAAAAAAAAAAAATCAGAGAAGATTGGCACCACTGGGCCTACATTCCTGCCTGGCAGAGACCGGCTGGAGCTGCAGCTCAGTCCCAGGTGCCTGCTTTGGGTGGGGTGTGTTCCTCCAGCTGGATGCAGTCCCCACCACTCCCTAATACCTTCCCAGTGCTGAGGCCGGTGTCATTTGCTGTGGCTCACTGTGTGTGCTCTGCGGTGTCCCTTGCGCCCCTCCTGGCTTACCTGCCTGGCTCTGGAGGGCACATGGGCTTGCTGCTCCTCCCCCACATGCAGGAGCTCCCGCCAGCCTCTGACCACAGTGGTTTGGGGTTGCTGTAATCTCTCTCCACACATTCAGTGGAACGGTCTTCTGCTGGTGAAGGTCTGACTTAGGCACTAGAAGAGTTGGACAGAGCCCCAAATTTTCCTTTCCTCCAGTACCCCAATCCCACCCCCTCCCACACTTTGGTTTATTGGTCAGCAAAGGCCACTTTCTTGGCAGTGTTTGTCTTGGGTACACAACCACTTTTTCTTGCTCCCCGCAGAGCCCCCTAACGTTTTCTTCCTAATCCTCCTCAGGAGAACCATCACTCGGATTATCATGAAACCCGAGCGTGTGCGCATGAGGTGCGACCCTTTACAACCGGCGGACCATCTCGTTTCTGCCCAGTTCTGTTTGTTTAAACTCTTTGCTGGCAGGACCCCAGCGCAGGGGCAGAGTTCCATGGCGTTCACAGGCAGATGTTCTGGCCTGTTGCAGGGACCAACGTTAAAAGCCGGGGCAGGAGAGCTGGTGGCCGGAATCCAGGCCCTGGGGGCGGAGGGCACTTCACGGAGGAAGGAGAGGGAGTTCAGGGAGGGAGTTCAGGGAGGAGAGGGATTGGGGATGAAAACAACAGCTCACTGTCCTTTTGCAAATGGAATTTACAGGCCCCATTTCATGCATGAGAACACTGAGGCTTAGAGAGGTGGGGTTACTTGAACAAGGTCACAAGGCTGGTTAAAGTAGGGAAAATAAATGAAATATTTTACAGTTCATGGCATAAGAATACGCCAGTTTCAGGCATGTAGATGATGATGATGGTGGTGGTGGAGATAATGATAATGATGATGACAGGAACTGAAGGGCACAATTAAGGCCTTAAAGATCTCCTGGATGTGGTCACTGTAACCTGTCAAGGCATGACCTGGAATCTTTTACAGCATGGCTTCTCTCCTAGAATCACAGAGTGGCCAAGAGTGAGGACGTTGACACTACACAGACCTGGGGCAGACCCGGCCCTGCTGCTGAGTGGTTGACTGGCCCCAGGTGAGTTCTGTAACTTCCATGAGCCTCAGGGTCCTCATCTGCAAGATGGGAGGAAAGAGGAGATCACAGGAATTTTGTGAGGAATAAATAAAAGAATGTATAGAAAGCACAGAGCCTGTGTCTGGCATGCAAGACTTGTTGAGTAAATGTTAACTTTTCCTGTTTTACTGTGAAGTGGCAACATGAGGTCCTGCACACAGCCAGGGTTCAGTGAATATGGCTAAGCCCAGAGTCCTTATTGGGAGAAAGTGGCCAGAAACCAGGCTCAAACTCCAGTGCCTCAACTTCCTAAGCGTATGCAGCTTGAAAGAACATTACACCCCCTCAAAGGGGGTAAAGTCAGTGTGGGGGATGACACTTCCCTTCAGGTTTGCTGGGGGATGAGACGCTGCCTGTAAAGTGCTCAGCACATAGTAGGTGCACAACAAAGTTATTGTTCATGTTGAGAACTAGTCTCATGCCCAGACTGGGCTCACCTCAGAGGGGTCACACACATTCCTTTTCTTCTGGGAAATCAAGGTGAACTGGATGAATGGCTCAGCACCTTCTCACATGCAGACCTGCTGGGAGTGGGAGGTGGACCTACGGGGTTCTGCACCATCTGGAGCTCATTTCATGGACAGAAAGGAAACAGAAAGGCAGGCACGCTCTCCTGAGGGCCTACTATGTCCAGATGCTTTGCTTAAACAGAGAATATTTATTTCTCAGTCACAAACTCAGGTGTGCAAAAATGCAACTTTGTGTCCAGAACGCAGTTAACTCTGGTTTCCCACCCACTCCATGTGCCTCACCACAGGCTGCTTAATCCAGTTCTCTTCTGGCTGGAACTCAGGGATTTAAGCTCTGATTTGGGTTTGTAATTCAGGTTTCCTCCTCCCTCTCTGGGTGGTGGAGGTGGGATGCGGGGGATGGGGGGCTCTCTTCTGGCTCTGCCCCTTCTCTCCAGCCTGGCTCCCTGGGTCTGATGACTGCTCTACCAAACGGTGGCCTTGACCTCTGTCTGGTGCTGGCCCTGGAGCCCCGTGAGATGTCAGCCTGGATGTAGTGGGAGGTCTGCAGGAGCCCCGCTCAGGAAATGCGGATCCCTTGAGGCCCTCTGCAGGTTTTCACAGGCGCTGACACCCAGCGCTTTCATCCTGTGTCCCAGGGTGGGAACATCTGCATCCCCATATTTCAGGAGTGCCGTTGCCTGTGCACCCACAAGAGGTCTCATCTTATCCTGGCAACAGCCTGTAGGGTTGGGAGCAGCTGCGAGCCATTTGTGCAGGAGTGCCCGGGGAGATGGTTACGTGCTTCATCATTCAAGCTTGCCCTCCCTCTCCTAGGTAGCACTGCCTTGAAACTACTCCTAGCAAGAAACACAGCTTCTGATCATGGGAGAACCTATTTGCATCACAGTTCACAAACATGCTTTTAGACACTCTCCACTTCAGTGGAGGAAACAGAGCCCCAGCGAGGGGAAGAGACTTACCCAAGTCACGTAGCTAAGAGGCAAAATCAGGATTCAGACTCAGCCTCCCAGCGCTCACTCCACAGTGCCTTGTTGGCCCAGCCCTAGAAGGCCTCCTGGCTGGAGGCCATTGCCTGAGCCTGGGGATGACACATATGTCCACTGGATGTCATGATTTCTCTACTGAAGCTAGCTGGACCTTCTTGGCAGTGACATAGGATTTTCCCCCTTCCTGGGGCAAAGCAGTCTCATATGGGACACTCAGGTGGTGGCTCTCCCTCCTTTTGGCTCAAAGACAGGAGGTAAGGCCTGCATCCTGTTTTCCTAGGGTGGGGAAAGTCTGCACACAGGTGGATCCACTCTTTCCTGGGGACCTGGGATCATTGCAGCCTTCTCCACCCCACAGGCCCCTCCACAGCCTCTGCCCAAATCCCCTTTCCCGGACTCCAAGTTGTATCACCTTAGTTAACGCTTCATTCCCCAGGTGTCTAAGAAAAAAATGTTCTCCCCATGCAGTTTCTCCACCTGGGAAACAGGCGGCCTTCTCTCTCTCTACGTCATCAAGTCAGTGCAGAGCGCATGGAGCAGCAACGCCCTGCCCAGCTCTGGGCTGCCCGCTGCGTGCTGAGGATCCAGAGACAAACCAGCCATGCTCCTGGCTGAGCGGAAGGTCCTCCCGAGCCTGCACAGTCTGAACTTGCTGAGGTGAGCGCTCTCTGCATTGAGATGACAGGGAAGGAAGCACAGGCATTTCTGGGGGAGTCACGGGGTCGGCCTTCGAGGCCTCTCAAAGTGCTGAGGCTTAAATGACAGGGCATGTGGAGCTGGAGCAGGAAGTGAAAGGCAGGGGTGGGCCTCCTTAAAGAAGAGCCCTGCGGCACTGCCATCCATCACCCACACCACCTTCAGCATCACCTCCCCACTAGGCCCTACCCCACCACCCCAAGGCAGTGGGGAGCCAGGCCAGGGCTCAGCACAAGAGAGCCTGGCCTCTTGTCCTTTGATTCTATTATCAGCAAATGACCTTGGGAAAGTCAGTTGACCTCTCTAAGCTTTCGTTTTCTCATATGCAAAGAGAGAACAACACTTAGGCAGTGCAATCATATATACAGAAAGTACTTTGGAACAAGCAAAAAATAAATAAATAAATAAAAACACTGATTTGGTGTTTGTCAATTGAATGTTTTGATAACATTTATCAAGATAATCTTCATTAAATATTCTAAGAGTGGGCCGGGTGTGGTGGCCGAGGCAGGCAGATCACCTGAGGTCAGGAGTTTGAGACCAGCCTGGCCAACATGGTGAAACCCCGTCTCTTCTAAAAACACGAAAATGAGCCGGGCGTGGTGGTGGGCACCTGTAGTCCCAGCTATTTGGGAGGCTGAGGCAGGAGAATTGCTTGAACCCAGGGGGCGGAGGTTGCAGTCAGCCGAGATCACACCACTGCACTCCAGCTTGGGTGACAGACCAACACTCCATCCCCACCACCCCATCTCCCCCAAAAAATATATATTCTAGGAATGAAGCCCGAATGGCCAATGGACATGCAAGGAATGGGGAAAGATCCAAATTAACCAATGGGGCACATTTGGCAATAACTACTGAGTCCTGATTTTATAAGCCGGAGGGAAAGAGCTTTATTCTTTACCAAATTTTAACTAGGGATGGCTCATGCCTGTAATCCCAGTGCTTTGAGAGGCTGAGGTGGGAGGGATTGCTTGAAGCCAGGAGTTAGAGACCAGCTGGGGTAACATATCGAGATCTTGTCTTGACAAAAAATTTTAAAAAATAGCCTGGAGTGGTAGTGTGTCCCTGTAGTCTCAGCCACACAGGTGGCTGAGGCGAGAGGATCACTTAAGCCCAGGAATTTGAGGTTACAGTGAGCTGTGATTGTGCCACTGCACTCCAACCTTGATGACATGGTGGGACCCTGTCTCTAAAAATAAAACAACAAAATAAAAAAAACTTTATCTAGTGCTGGGAAAGTGCAGTGAACAAGACAGGCAGCCAGCCAGACAGAAAGTATGTCCACCCTTTTCACATGCAGTCTCTCCTTCATCTTTCCATGAATCCAGTGAGGAAATGGGCTTGGAGAGGTAAAAATGAATTTTCAAAAACATATAGCACCAATAGCAGACAGGTGCTTCACAAAGAAAAAAAAAAAAACACAAAGCAAATAAATGTTAGCTACCATTTCATGACCACCATGAAAGGAAGAATTATTTAATTATTTTACCCCAGAGCCTACTTTTTCCCCCTTGCAGTCTCCCTAGGACTGAACTCTCTTTCATTGCACGTATACCTGTTGTATTCATTGGGATGCATTCTGCTGTAAGCAAATAGGATTAACCAGCTAACAGAGGCCTATACAATCAAGACATCTTTTTTTTTTAAACAGAGTCTTGCTCTGTTGCCAGGCTGGAGTGCAGTGCTGTGATCTCGGCTCACTGCAACCTCCGCCTCCTGGGTTCAAGCGATTCCTCTGCCTCAGCTTCCCGAGTAGCTGGGACTACAGGCCCACGTGACCATGCTTGGCTAATATTTTGTATTTTAGTAGAGACAGGGTTTCACCTTGTTGGCCAGGATGGTCTCGATCTCTTGACCTCGTGATCCACCTGCCTCGGTCTCCCAACCCAAAGTGCTGGGATTACAGGCATGGGCCATGGCACACAGCCAACATCTTATACTAGATATCTGCAGGCCGGCAGTCAATCCCAGGTTGGTCCAATGACTTGAAGTTAGCATCAAACTCTCTCTTTCTCTTTATTCTGCTGTCCTCAATGTATTTCCTTGAAGAGTCCAGACATATCCCCTCACAGTCAAGAGGCTACCACAGCTTGGATCATCATGTCTTCGGACGCTGTGTTCGAGGCAGAAAGTAGGGGCTCCTCATTTACTAAGAAGAACAGAGGTTCTGCAGAGTCCAGGCGTGTCTTTGACCAGAACTGGATTACATGACCATCTCTAGCTATAAGGAAAGGGAAAGGATCAGTCAATGAAGGGGAATGGGAGTGCCTGGCTTTCTTAGATCAAGCGTGCATCCCCTAGGGCACCTGCTAACACTTGGGGTTCTGTTAGCAAAGAGGAAGTGGGAGGCTGGCTGCTGGGGGCAGGAGGGGACCTAGGCAGCTCCCGGCCCCCATCTCCTCTCCAGATGGTTACATTCCAGAAATGAGGGAGGAAGTCTAATCCAGCACTTGGGGTAACACTGCTGTCATGGTTGCTCCTGATGGGAGGATGGGTGTGATCAACTGAGGAGTGGGGGTGTGGGGCTGAAGGTAGAGGGGGAGAATTGGAAACCTTGAGTAGCAGGGACTGTGTCAGGCATTCTCTGTGGCCCCAGGTGAGGCCAGACACAGCATGAGGGTTCAACAGGTGTTGGTTGCTTGAATGAATGAACGAACGAATGCAGGGACAGGGGCAGGACTCATCTGCTCTGTCACCTGGTGCTCTTAACCCCGCAGGGCCCCGATACATTCCTTCTAGAGCCTGGTTCCAGGAAAAATGTTGTCTCTGCCGAGGTCTGAACATGCTTTCTGTTGTTGGAAAATGAAAACTATGCAACCCCATGTGCTTCTCTTTCTGCCTTAGCTGCCAGAAGCCAGAGCCAAATGTGTCGCCCAAGTATGGGGGCTGCGCTCCCTGGTTTCTGAAGCACCACCTCGGCTTCCTTTGGGGAGCACTGTTCAGATTCACCTGCCTTGCGCCAGAATCTCTGGGCACCCCCATGCCTAGCCCAGGGCAGGAGCCAAGTCTGAAAGAAACTCAAGTGCTTGACAAGCTCATCCGGGAAAGCACAAAGCTGTCGGACCTGAGAAGGACGTCTTATCAAAGTCCACACTCTCCGATCTTAGAGGAGACGAAATAGGAGGGCAATGGCTTCCGTCAAGGCTGAAACCAAACATTTTGGCTATATCTGAACGACCACTGAATCACCGAGTCCACCGTATTTTTCCACTTTCAAGTTGTTTCTGGGCTGCTGTGGAGACACGCCCTTCCTGGGTTTAATGGCCCTCGTGTCAGGCTGTGGGGAGGAGGCGTGTTTACTTTTTGCAGGGAAAATAGTGGTTAATGGTGGACGGATGGACCTGATTAGTAATTGGGTGATTTATCCCATGAACGTTCTTTGGGTTTTCCCGGTGGTTTGCACTTGAATGTCGGCTGAATGAAGTAGGAGGAGGGACTAAGAGGAAGATGGTTTCGAGGAGAAAGGGGTGGGGTTGGCTCAGGGTTGAGGGCTGTTTCAGGGACAGGTGGAGGTTTGCGCAGATCAAGGGAGAAGGTTGTTCCATCTGTTGTCCAAGACTCTTCCTCTATGTTCATTCACTCACTCGCTTAATCGCTCACTCACTCATTCACTTATTGAAAGCTATGAAATTCTGAGCACCTTCTCTGTGCTGGGGATACAGCACACCTCATACCTCCTAAGTACCATGCAGCCAGTGTGATGAATAAGCTCTCTTTCTGCCATGGACTGAGCCTTGTGTCCCCGGCCAAATTCCCGTGTTGAAATCTAATTCCCAAAGTGATGGTATTTGGAGGTGGGGTCTTTGGGAGGTAAGTAGGTCTTGAAGGTGGATCCCTTGTGAATGGGATTAGTGCCCTTAAAAAAGAGACTGAAAAGAGCTCCCTGGCTCTCTTTCCACCATGTGAGGACACAAGAAGAAGTCAGCCTTAACCCAGAAGAGGGCCCTCACCAGAACCTGATCATGCTGGCACCGTGATTTCAGACTTCCAGCCTCCAGAACTGTGAGAAATACATTTCTATTATTTATAAGCCACCCGGTTTCTGGTATTTTGTTACAGCAGCCTGAGCTGGCGAAGATGCCCTCCTTTAGAGGAGCGTGCAGACTTGATAAGGGAAACAGATGGGCCAACAGATAATTCCCAGCAGAGGTGTGTTCAAACATGAGGTAATAACAGCTAACGCTTACTAGGCATTTTCCATGTACCAGACACGGTTCTAAGTGCTTTTCATGTATTAATCATTTGTTTCTCTCAACAGCCCTGGGGACTAGGTACTAAGCAGATGGAGGAACAGAGATGTAAGTAACTTACCCAAGATCACACAGCCAGCAGATCTGCACCGAGGCAGTGTGTCCAGCTTTTTATCGTCATGGTATCCAGGTCTACTTTGGAAACGAGGCGGCTATGCCTCAAAAGGGAAGGGTTCCCAGAGAGAGTGATGTTGGACGTGGGCCTTGAGGAGGAAGTAGAGAAGTTTTAGAGGTAGAGGAGGCCACAGCAAGATGCCCCAACAGCTGAAAGTGCCTGTCACGTGCCAAGAGTGGCAAGGGGTGGAGGTTTCCTGAGAGGGGAAGTGGAGGAGAGGCCGGCAGGGCCAGACTCTGATCCTTTCTTGAAGGAGTGGCTTGGGTAGTCCGATTTTAAATGAAGAAAGAGCTCTCAGCGGGGTGCAGTGGCTCACGCCTGTAATTTCAGCACTTTGGGAGGCCAAGGCTGGTGGATCACCTGAGGTCAGGAGTTCAAGACTAGCCTGGCCAACATGGCGAAACCCCGTCTCTACAAAAATACAAGAATTAGCCAGGCATGATTGTGGGTGCCCGTAATGCCAGCTACTCGGGAGGCTAAGGAGGGAGAATCGCTTGATCCCAGGAGGCAGAGGTTGCAGAGAGCCGAGATGGCACCACTGCACTCCAGCCTGGGTGACAGAGTGAGATTCCATCTCTAAAACAACAACAAAGAAAACGAAAACAAAACAAAAAAAAGAAGGAAAAAAAAAGGAAGAGCTCCCAGGCAGCTCAGTAGAGAATGGCTTGAGAGGTGGGGGAAGATTAGAGGCAGGGGAAAGTGGACACCTGCTGTTTCAGCCCCCTAGCACCTGCTCTTCCCCAGGAGACAACCTCCTTTGTTCTGAGGCCTGGTGTTTTCACTGATGCTGACTGCTTGAGGGGTGGCACATGACTCAGGTCTGGCCAATCAGCCTCTTCCATCCCCCTGGCTGCAGGGACTGGCTCAGGAGGGTGCATGTGACCAGAGGCCGACCGATGAGACTCAGTTCTGAGATTTTTGTTAGACTTGTTGCAGAAAAGAGACTGTCTCCTGAGGTTGCTGAGCTGGGTATCTCCACCAGGAGCTGCAGGGGCCATGCTGTCACCATGTGAAGACAGGTTGCTTGACAACAAAGTTGCATTAGTTTCCTTGGGCAGCCATAGCAAAGTATCACAGACTGGGGAGCTTAAACAACAGAAATTTATTTCCCCACAATTCTGGAGGCTAAGTCCAAGATCAAAGTGTCAGCAGGGTTGATTTCTTCTGAGGCTTCTCTTCGGCTTGTAGATGGGTGGCTGTCTTCTTCTGGTGTCTTTACATGGTCTTCCCTCTGTATGTGTGTGTGTCTGTGTCCCAATCTCCTCCTTTTCTTCTTCTCCTTTTTTTTTTTTTTTCTTTTGGGATGGAGTCTCTCACTCTGTCCCCAGGCTGGAGTGCAGTGACCTGATCTCGGCTCACTGCAACCTTCACCTCCTGGTTCAAGTGATTCTCCTGCCTCAGCCCCCCGAGTAGCTGGGACTACAGGCACAAGCCACCATGCCCAGCTAATTTTTGTATTTTTAGTAGGGACTGGCTTTCACCTTATTGGCCAGGCTGGTCTGGAACTCCTGACCCTGTGATCCGCCTGCCTTGGCCTCCCAAAGTGCTGGGATTACAGACGTGAGCCACTGTGCCCCGGCCATACACAACTCATAATGGATTAAGGTCCACCTAATGACCTCACTTAACCTTAATTACCTCTTTAAAGACCCTGTCAGAAAATATAGTTACATCTGAAGTACCCGGGGTTAGGATTTCAACATACTGGAGGTGGGAGGAGCACAATTCAGCGCATAACAGAAGCTAACACAGAAAAAAACACAGAGATGGGGTAAGAGACTGAGGCTTGACTTTGTTTGAGCTCCTGGATCCAGCTGTGCCTGAAGTTGAAACTAATACTATCCAGGACTCTTGAGTTTCATGATCCAATAAGTACCTAAATCCCACCTCTCCTTTTTTTTCCCCTCTTGAACCTAGTTGAGTTGGATTTCTGTCACTTACAGTTAAAATTCCTGAGTAATACACAGGAGAACTAGTTAACAAATTATTAAAATAGCCCACCCCTAATTTAATCACCATGTGCAAGGACAGTGCTTGTATGTACACCCAGGTATGTCTAATTCTAATAGCTAGAGGTAGCAAATATGGTAAAAATTGAGCCAAGTTTGCACTAGCCTCTTCCATTAAGCAGGAATTCCCACCTTAGCTCTGAAGCCATGTAGGACAGGGCTGGAGAAACTACTATTCCTACCAATGTTTCTAATGTGTGCAGTAGGCTGGGGTGCTGGCAGGGGAAAATTAAAAATGTAGTTTGGGTTAAAAAAAAAAGAAAAAGAGCTTTCTAGGCCAGGCGCAGTGGCTCACGCCTGTAATCCCAGCATGTTGGGAGGCTGGGGCGGGTGGATAGCTTGAATCCAGGAGTTTGAGACCAGCCTGCGCAACGTGGTGAAACCCCGTCTCTACAGAAAATACAAAAATTAGCCAGGAGAGTCGCTGTGTGTCTGCAATCCCAGCTACTTGGGAGGCTGAGGTGGGAGGATTGCTTGAACCCAGGAGGCGATGGTTGCAGTGAGCCGAGATGGCGCCACTGTACTCCAGCCTGGGTGACAGAGTGAGACCCTGTCTCAAAATCAATCAGTCAATCAATCAATCAAACAAACAAACAAACAAAAAACAGCTTTCCAGAAGGGAAAAATCATTTTGGGAAGCTTTGAGTAGGGGCTGTGGAGAGTGGGCTCCAGACGTCACTTCATTGGTTGGCAGGTGCTGTTAGGGGGTGCCCAGAGGGGAGCTCGGGGGAGCGGCGGCTTTCTTCCAGCAGATATGGACTCGGGCAGGAGCCACTGAGCAAGTACTCCGATGGGCTGGGCTTCCTGAGGCTTCATGCCTGGGCTGAGCAGGGCGGGGCTGTGGTCCACGTGGTGCCCATTGGCCTCCCAAAAGGAAGGAGCGGGGAGAACTAGAAATGTGGCTGGAAAAAGTCAGCATCTCCCTCCTGGGCGGGCTCCCTGGTGGTCCCGGGAGCTGGCCATGTCTGGAGGAGGAGGCTCCTCTAAGGTGTGCAGCTGCCTTTCTCAATGCCGCTGAGTTGGATTGGGATCTCTTTCAATGAGAGTGTTTTGAGGGACCCTCAGCTCCATGCTCTGCTGGCTTCCTCCAGGGATGCTGAGAGGTGGCCCTTCTAGTGGTAAGATGAGGGGCCCATGGCCTTGTGGAGTCAGACACACTGGCATTCACTGAAAGCTCTGTGCCTGACCTACCTGGTGACTTGGGGCAAGTGACTTCACCTGACTGAGCCTCTTTCCTTCATCACTGGCAAAATGGAACCAACTTCACAGCCTTCTCCTGAGGCTTAAGTGAAACCAAGCAGTCATAAAGGGATAGGCTTTGGAGTCCCTGGGTTTGCATCCCAGTTTACTAACTGAGCTGGGTGGCCTTGGGCAAGTCACTCACCCTCTCTGAGCCTCAGTGTCCTACTCTGTAAAATGAACCCACCAATGGTACTTATTTCCTAGGGCAAATGTGAGGATTGACAGATAAAACATGTAAACTTCATGAAAGCAAGGGGTTTTGTTATTGATTTATCCCCTCTGCAGTTCCTGGGACATAAAGACACTAAATAAATGGGATCAGCTTTTATTGTTATTATGATTCACCGTCACCCAGCACTGGTTGAGGCTGCTCTCTGTGGCATCCTGTAGACACACTTGTATGTGAGTTTCTGGTCAGGATGGGGAGGACAAGACCACTGTCTCTGGCACACTTAGCAAACTCTATCTCCAGGGATAGAGTAAGACTCCTATGGTGCAGGAGGGGGCATGAGGGAAGGCTAGGAGTGCCCTCTGCACTGTTTAAGCACCTCACTTGTGTCATTTCACTGCACCCATACCCACGCCCCATGAACTAGATTCATTTATTACCCCATTTGACGATGAGGAGGCTGAGGTTCATCAAGGTATAGCCATTGAGATCTTACTGCCAGGGAGAGGTAGAGCCAGGGTTCAAACCTGAATTTGTACTGTTCCAAATCCCTTTTTTAAAAATTTTTATTTTTATTTTTTTTTTATTTTCCCAGGCTGGAGTGCAGTGGGCAATTAAGGCTGACTACAGCCCCCAACTCCTGGGCCCAGACAATCCTCCCGCTTCAGCCTCCCAAGTAGCTGGGACCACAGACGTGTGCCACAGTGTAGGCCCCTTCTTTTTAAATAGCGTGGTATGCAGGAAACAGTGAAGGAGGGATGGAGGGTCAGAGTCACCGGGTAGAGGGTGCGTTCCTGGGCCGACTGGGGTGGGGCCTCTAGGAATGAGCCACAAGGGCAGGCCCCACCGCCTTCTCTCATATTTGGCAGGTGCTGTGTCCCCTGCTCCGTGCCCCTCAGGATTCTTTAGGAAGTGGCTCCATCGACCCACTCTCAGTTGAGCTGAAAGAGGACTCGAGGGACTCTTTATTGGGAAAAAATGGAGTGCAAAGCCTACTCCTGCCCCTGCCAGCACCAGCCTTCGGAGGCAAATAAAAAGCAGTGGGCACTGGGACAGCAGCCCCAGAGGTGCACTAAAATCCACCTGA
Organism: Homo sapiens; assembly: GCF_000001405.40. Classification (NCBI taxonomy): domain Eukaryota; kingdom Metazoa; phylum Chordata; class Mammalia; order Primates; family Hominidae; genus Homo; species Homo sapiens. Next base: position 171,836,591 of record NC_000005.10, on the reverse strand, counting down.
CAAATGGCCCCTCTCCCATGAGCCCACGAACAGCAGAGAGGAAGGTGGCCAGGGCCAAGTAGAAAGATTTCTACAGCATGGCCGAGTTCTCCAAGGTCAAGAGCAAGCAGAGCTGCCGCCTGTATTCCTGAGAACTGGCCTCCTGGGGATGTGGCCAGCCCTTTTTAAGGGATTTGGGTCAAGGTGGGGATTCTGACCCTCACCGCTGTGCTGGGACTGGCCTGGGAACTGGGAAGGAGGATACACTTGGGAAAACTGCAGTGAAGAATGCATAATAATGGAAGGAATCTCATGGATGATTATCAGGTAGCTCTCAGGATCAAGAGGAAAGCTGGAGACGGCCTTTCGGCAGGAAGGGGGAAACTGAGGCAGAAGGCAGACCCTGCCCAGTGATGGTCCCTTTCACATGTCACTACTGGCACCATCACTGTGGGACATATACTCCCACCATGGGCACTACAGGCTCTGGGTCTTGCTGTGCTCCCTGGACTGTTGACTGCCTGGAAGCCTCTGGGAGTCACCTCTCGCTCTGTAGCTTCAGGTCTCTCCTCCCAGAGTCAAACTCCCCATGGGCAGGGCTGCTGGATAAAATACAGGATGCCCAGTGACATTCTACTTTCAGATAATTGAAAAAAATTTTTTAGTAGAAAAAAGTTATTTATCTGAAATTCAAATTTAACTGGATAGCCTGTATTTTTATTTGCTAACTTAGCCGCCCCACTCAGAGCGCTGGGCCCTGCTCTGGTGCCTGGTGGGGAGGAACTCTGTCTCTTCCACTTCTGGGGTAAGAATGTCAATCTTGTTGGATTGGATTGATTACATTGTTTGGATGGAAAATAGAGGAAAAAGAGCACATACAACTGCGACTCCTTAAACCTGTCCCCCTATTTGTTTTTTTTGTTTTTTTTTTTGAGACAGGGTCTCACTCTGTCACCCAGGCTGGAGTGCAGTGTCATGGTCAGGGTTTGCTGCAGCCTTGAAGTCCTGAGCTCAAGTGATCCTCCTGCCTCAGCCTCCAGAGTACCTGGGAGTACAGGCGTGCGCCACCACACCCAGCTAATTTTTGTAATTTTTTTTTTTTTGTAGAGATGGGGTTTCACCATGTTGGCCAGGCTGGTCTCAAACTCCTGGGCTCAGGTGATCTGCCCTCCTCGGCCTCCCGAAGTGCTGGGATTACAGGTGTGAGCCACCATGCCTGCCTGTCCCATTTCCCCATTTTAAAAAAGTCACCTGCCCGATTGGTTTTCAAAGCTGCCTTCACTCAAAGAGGGCCTGGAGGGTAGGAATGACTCATACAGTCATTCATTGTCTGTGCCCGCTTTTCATAGCACAAAAGATAGGTCCTTCCCATCCCGCCCATCCTCTCCCTGCTGGTCATCTTGTATGCGGAGAATCCAAGGATCTTCTTACCAATGAGTTCTTGCCGCTCATGAGCAGGTGAAGGAGTGGAGCTGAAGTGGAAATAATCTATGGGCTGGACTGTCTAGACAGCATTTGCTCCTCTGGATAGGGAGGAGAGCAGACAGAAGCGGGCTTTGGCCAAACTGAAACTCAAGCCATCACTGCCAGCCCTTCCTGAGCCATCTCAGATGAGCCTTGTCTCTGGGCCACAGCCAGAATTGGCCTGGGCTGTTTCTCACTCCTATTTCAAAGGATTTGTGCTCCTAGCAGAGGAAAAGCTTGAACATTTACAGTGAAAAATTTAGTAGAAGGGGGAAGAAACAGAGGGTCTTTCTTTCTTTCTTTCTTTCTTTTTTCTTTCTTCTTTTCCTTCTTTTGTCTTATCTTTTGGTTTTGGGGCAGTGAAAGAAAATTAATTTTTTAGCTATAAAACTTTGTCTTAAGATCAGTTTTGGAAAGAAAAGCATCTACTAATTGAAAACGTCACTTTTCGGGCCCTTAAGTCAAGGGAAACAGGTGCAAGTTTGTGGTTTTAGACACAGCATTTCTTTTGGAAAAAAGTAGTAAAAGTACCCCAGATAAGTTCTCTCCAAAGCTGGATAGATTTTTATTTTTCAGCCCTTTATTACATAGAAGGTGACAGATTAGCTGAAAAGTTAAAAGAAAAATCAACTCTCACCCTTGTAGGTAACACTCCAATCTCTCTCTCTCTTTTTTCTTTCCAAGGCTGAAGAGAGGGCAACTGTTTACTGCAATTTTGATAAAATTCCCTTTCAATACGGCCTGTTCCTGGATAGAGTCCCACCTTTCATCTGCTTTTATTCCTAATCCTGTGGCAAAGCCTGGACCTCCCTTTTCTTCTCATACAAGCTCGACAGAGCTGGCATTTTCCTTCTCCATTTCAGTGACATGTTTTTCAGTGTTTTGTCTGTTTGTGAAGGGGCAGAAATGTCAAGGTCAAAAAAGTCTTGGAAAAAATGAGTAGTATTTCTGTACCTGCTGAGGGTTAGGTGCTTGGATGTTATATATCTCTGCATTCCCACAGTAAAACCATGTGTGGTTGGGGAGCTTTTCCTTTTTTAACCTCTCTGGGTGGTTGAGGAATTGGAGGCTCAGAGAGGAGAAGTGACACAGCCCAAGGTGACGCCACCAGGAGCTGAACTTGAAAGCCAAGCCAAGTCCGTCTGACCATCAAGCGTTGCTCCTATAATCATACTACCTTGCCTTCTGCCTTTGTAAACATGAGGTGACACATCAAGCTAGGGCTATTAAAATACCCAGAAGCACTTTTCTTCCAAATAACTCACAATATCTTGTCTTTGGGAAGTATTCAATAGGTTTATTTCAGTAAAAGATACACCATTGCCATGGTTTTAGGGAGTGATTCTGAATTTTATGTTACTGATTAAGAAAGATGGTTAATGGAACCTGTTTCCTTAAGAAATTTACATCATATATTAGTAAGCTGTTGCTGTGTAGCAAATCACACCAACACTTAGTGCCTTGAAGTAACAACATGTATTATCTCACAATTTCTGTAGGTGTGAAAACTGGACATCATTTAGCTGGGTCCTGTGCTTCAGGGTATCTCACAGGCAGCACACAAGGCTTCATCTGGGCTATACTCATCAGAAGGCTGGATTGGGGAAGATCTGCTTCCAAGTTTACTTACATGGTTGTTGGTGGGATTCAGTTCCTGGTAGGCTGCCAGCTTTAGCTCCTCATTTCCTGATGGCTGGAGGGTTCCCTCAGTTCCTTTCCATGTGGGCCTCTCCAGCATGGCTGCTTGCTTCATCAAAGTGTACAAGAAGGGAGACAGCAATAGGAACATGTCAGCAAGATGGAATCCACAGTCTTTTTAAAGCTAACCATGGAAGTGATATTCCATCACTTTTGGTGTATTCTGTTTGTTAGGAACAAGACACTAGGTCCAGCCCACCACTCAAGGTATGGGATTACACACGGCATGAATACTATGGGGTGGGGATCACTGGAAATTATGTCAGCAGCTATCTGTCACACATGAGAGAAGTGGAGATGGTAGTCATAATAATAGTCATCATCATCATAATAATAAGGCTGGTGAGGATAGCCAGCATTTATTGGGTGTTCTTGATGCATCAGGCACTGGGCTAAATCCCTTCTATGCATTGTCTCCTTTAATCTCCTCATCACTCTCATTAACTTCCCTGAGTTACTACAGCAAAGAGATTAGGACCAGACTCTGTTGTTTCCACTCCGAAGTCCATCCCTTTACATGATGCAGATCATTGATAAGAATCCACTGAGCTGCTGAGGCTCCAGGAAAGACCTGATTGAGAGAGGAGTCTGATAAACGAAGCTGAACTCACTGCTCCTCAGAAAACTGCAAATGAACACAACCAGAAGCCATTTCTTACCCATCAGATTGGAAAAGAAAATGTAAGTTGGTGAGAGTGTGGAGAATTCTCACGCCCTGCAGAGAGGCTATAAATTTGTACTGCCACCTTGTAGGGAAATTTGGCAGGACATATTAAAATTTTAAAAGGACATAAAAATTAAAAATGTGCATAGCCTATGACCTAGAAATTACATTTTTGAGTATCTGCCTTAGAGAAATACTTGCACATGTGCACAAAGAACTGTATACAAGAATTTTCATTGCAGCGCTGTTTCCAAGAGTAAATAATACATAGTAACACTGAGACAGAGTGTAAGTGCTCATCAGTTTTAAAAATGGCTAAATAAATTTTGCAAATTTTTCTACCAAAAAGACACATGCACTTGTATGTTCATCACAGCACTATTCACAATAGCAAAGACATGGAATCAACCTAGGTACCTATCAATGGTGGATTGCATAAAGAAAATGTAGTACATATGCACCATGGAATGCTATGCAGCCATAAAAAAGAACAAAATCATGTCCTTTGCAGCAACATGAATGCAGCTAGAGGCCATTATTCTAAGTGAATTATCTCAGGAACAGAAAACCAAATACTGCATGTTCTCACTTGTAAGTGGAGTTAAACAATGGGACTCATGGACATAAAGGTGTCAACAGTAGACACTAGGGACTACTACAGTGGGAGGAAAGAAGGAAAGGATTGAAAAACTAACTATTGGGTACTATGCTCAGTACCTGGGTGATGGGATCAATTGCACCCCAAACCTCAGCATCACACAATAAACCCAGGTAACAAACCTACTCATGTACCCTTTGAATCTAACATAAAAGTTAAAGTTATTTTTAAAAAATACATTGTGGAGCATTCATACTATGGGAAACTATGTAGCTGGTAAAGAGAATGAGGAAGATCTATGTATTAGTTCATTTCCACACTGCTGAAAAAGACATACCTGAGACTGGGCAATTTACAAAAGAAAAAGGTTTATTGAACTTACAGTTCCACATGGCTGGGGAGGCCTCACAATCATGGTGGAAGGCAAGGAGGAGCACGTCACATCTTACATAGACGGCAGCAGGCAAAGAGAGAGCTTGTGCAAAGAAACTGCAGTTGTTAAAACCAACAGATCTCATGAGACCCATTCGCTATCATGAGGACAGCACAGGAAAGACCTGCCCCCATGATTCAGTCATCTCTTACTGGGTCCCTCCCACAACATGTGGGAATTATGGGAGCTACAAGATGAGATTTGGGTGGGACATAGAGCCAAACCATATCAATCTACAAGTATGGTATGGAAATATCTCCAAAACATGTTACTGAGTAAGAAGAGCAAGTTGCAGAGTTATACCCTTAGCATGATACCATTTAGGTAACTCCCAACAATATTACATATCTTCTTTCTCTCTATCTCTCTCTCTGTGTGTGTGTATAGGTATGTATGTATTCAAATGCATGAGAAAAGGTCTGGAAAGGTGCACACTAAACTGATAACAGGAGATGAGGGGAGGGTAAAAGACTAGAGTTGAAGGGTGAAGGAGTCTTCAACTTTGTATGTAATATTTTTGTTATTTTTGAAAGAAAAATGTTAATTGCCTTACTTATGTCATCTGAAACTATTTCTTTTAAAAACCTTCCCTGGAAGCCTTGTCCAGCAATTTTCCTTAGATTGTATTGGCCAGAACTGGGTAATATGGCCACCCTTGGCAGCAGAGGTGTCTGGGAAGGTGAATATTTTAACTTTGCTGCCAAGAAAATTAAGGAAGAAGGTTATGAATGGCTTTTAGGTGGCCGATTAAAAATGTCTGCCATAGTTCACCCTTTTAGTTACCCAACATCCACTTGCTTTTATTTCTATACATATACTTTATGTACAGTCCAAAGTCCAAAGGCAGTTACTGCATCCATCTTGAAACTCAGGATCTCTGAGTAATAATGTGCAGTCCACTCATCAGGACAAGATGTGGGAGGATACTTCCTGCTTATTACCTTAGCTACAGCTGAAAGATATTGGGGTTGCTGTCTTTTCTGGGGACTGCACATTTCTTCTTGGTAGAAGTTTGATCCCCAAGGATTATTTTTAGAGTTGAACAGTCACAGGCTATCATAGATTGTTTGGAAATATACATTCCTCAAAAATGTAATAGAGATCCAGTCTTTGGTTTCAGAGACTTCCATATGTAAGTAACCACAAAAGATTTTATCTAGACAGAGTAGGTAAGCCTAAATGGTTTTTTTTTTTTAACCCATTGTCTCTCTCTGTGCCCTATCCAGCCCTTTAGCCCTTGGTTTATTGGCTGATTCTTCAGGGCAATTTAAAATAGCAACCTTGGGTGGAGAAACATCTCCTTTAATTTGATCTTTGTGTGTTGGTGCTCCCTCTTTATTTGGCAGGAAACTCTTAAGGGAAGGTACTAGACAACAGCTTTGGCACTGATATAATTTCCTGCTAACACTGTGGCTTTATGGCTGTTGTTTGTGCTGTTACTTGAGCTTTTTCAACCCACCAGACTTCAAATTATGGGATTCTCAGTCAATTTAGATTAGAGGTTGTAGTCAGATAGTGCCTCCCTTAGCAAAGCTGTATCTTTTCCACTGGCTTGAAGAAGACTGGCTAGCTCTTGTTGGCAATCATCTCTCTTGTAGGACTCTGTTAAAATAGTAAGAAGTGGCCAGCATGGATTAATACTCTGGAATTTTCAATAATTTCTTTGTACTCCATATCCCTAATAGATATAATGTCTTAAGGCAGAGCAGGCAGCACTTTGACCAAATGTTTGCAACTGCATAAGAATGTTCATCAGCTTCTGTCAGTAATAATCAGATCCTTCTTCTGCCATATTTTAGGTTCTGTTACTTTCATTACCCTACTCCTTGTACCAATTAAAAAATTTTTTTTAATCAGAGAAGACTTTTAGTTGTGCATGATAGAAACTGACTCTGACTTAATAAGCAGAAAAAGAGCTTAATGAAAGAATAGCAATAATGTAGAATTGTTGCAAAGGCAGAAGAATCAGGCTCAAGGCTAAGTTTCCAGAAATAATATTCCTAAAAATGCTGGAGAACTGATCTGTTGAGAAAACTGTGGCCATTGCTACTACCAAGCACTAAATTCTGTATCTCACAATGCTGTCAGGAACTCAACTTCAGTGCAATGAATACTGCTGCCAGCACTGATGTTATTTCTGTTCTAGTAATTTCACTTTTAAACTACTACCAACACCCTCACAACCAGATGTTTCTGGTGCTACCTTCTCTAGCAACTTGGATTTTGAGAAGAGCCTCCTTTTCCATGTTCTTACATTATATTCAAAGTCTACATGAATACATCTTGTTGGTGGCACCTAGAATAGACTAGCGGCTAGGTGCAAAGGGGGCTAGAGAAATAAGTTTTCTGAATTCTACCTTAGAGAGAAAAGATTCATAAGGCTGAAAATTCCATAAACATATTAAGAATGTTCAGCAAAGAACACGACAAATCTACACATCAGCTTTATTCACAGGCTGTACGTGGTGTCTGCAAAAGTTTCAGGCTCTTCTTTTATGGTGACAAGAGGGCTGAGAAGCTCCAAACTCACATCAAGTTCAATCCCAATGGAAAAAAGTAAGAGTTTCCCCCTTACCTCCACAAAACTTTTGAGATTCACTTTAATTGGACTGGTGAGGTCAAGCACTCATCCCTGAACTAGTTCAAATGGCCCAAAGCATGATGTGCCTTATGGGCCAGGATTGGGTTATGTGTTCTACCCCTGAAACAGGGATTTTTATCCAGAACTCATGGCCTGAGAAAGGAGGGGAGAACCACAAACAAATATTGGGAAATGGGGAATGGATTCTGATAAAGAAACAAATAAAGAAGAGTTAATGTCTTCCATTCTATATAGAGAGCAGGTCATTTTGCCCATGTCTTCTAAAACTTCCTCTGAACAATTTTTTCAGTACAAGAAATATCATTGATTGATTGGATTTATGGGTTCCTATCTTATTCGACAGGTTACAATCAGTTGCTATCCTCATTTATTTGATAATAAAATTGTCCCAGATTTGGGCAGTGAGAGCCCCTTCACCTTGAATTCTGTATCTTTTTAGATGAGTCCCTATCTTTCTCTAAGCACTACTTTATGTTTTGGTAAAAGATAAATCTTAACTTTTTCTGGGCCAGCCCTGGAATCAGTCCTCATTGAGTCTGTGATTTTATTTTACCCTACCTACAAGCTAATAAGAGACTATTAGTATTTCATGGATGTTGGCAGAATACATGAGACTCCTGAGTCCAAGGCAAAGGACTTTATTACTTATGACACAGGAAGTAACATGAGCAATAGCATAATTCATTGGTTTTTCTGCACCCCAGTCTAGGGGAGCAACGTGATATGACCTGGATGGATGTCATGTGTGGAGTGTGTTTGCATGGCAACAAAAGAACACCGAGCTTGAGGAATCCACCACTTTTTTTTTTTTTTTTTTTTTTTGATAAAGGGTCTCACTCTGTTACCTAGGCTGGAGTGCAGTGGCACAATCATGGCTCACTGCAGCCTTGACCTCCAGGGCTCAGGTGATCCTCCCACCTCAGTCTCCTGAGCAGCTAGGGCTACAGAGGTGCACAACCACACCCAGCTAAGTTTTGTTTTTTGTAGAGACAGGCTTTCACCATGTTGTCCAGTCTAGTCTTGAACTCCTGGGCTCAAGCGATTTGCCTGCCTCGGTGTCCCAAAGTGCTGGGATTATAGGCATGAGCCACCACGCCCAGTCCGATCCAACAATTTTTTTTTTTGAGATGGAGTCTCACTTTGTCACCCAGGCTGGAGTGCAGTGGCGTGATATTGGCTCACTGCAACATCTGCCTCCCAGGTTCAAGCAATTCTCCTGCCTCAGCCTCCTGAGTAGCTGGGACTACAGGCACGTGCCACCACGCCTGGCTAATTTTTTTGTATTTTTAGGACAGACAGGGTTTCACTGTGTTAGCCAGGATGGTCTCGATCTCCTGACCTCATGATCCACCCACCTCGGCCTCCCAAAGTGCTGGGATTACAGGCGTGAGCCACCACCCCCAGCCCAGATCCACCACTTTTATAGCAAACAATAAGCAAGCCTAATCTTTATTCTGGAAGGAGACATTACTTGCTCTGCAAAGTTGCTCACTGCAAACACAATCGTGATATGGGCCTGGGAAGGAGTAATCAGGTCTTCCATTCTTGGCACACCAAGCAAGAATGTGCAGGTGTTCTTGGGCCTATAGCAATTTGCCTCTTCAGGAGCCATTTCTCCATTGACTCTTGGTTTATTTTAGTGGAGGATGGTATTTAGAAACCAAGATCTACTTGCTAAGCTGCTCATTCTATTGAGTTGTTGCTTCTAGATGCACTTGGTGGACAGAGCTAGGGAATACATGTATACACACACACACGCACACACACGCACACGCACACACGCACACACGCACACGCACACACGCACACACGCACATTCTAATCTCTATGCATCTAATCATCTCTCTTTTTCTCTGTCTTCATGAATTCACACTGATTTCTTCAAGCCAATACAACAAGTTCATCCTAGTTTTCTGCCTTTTCGTATTTGTAACACTTCTTGGACAGTAAGAAACCCAGAACATATTTACTAATTTGCTTAATGCTCCTGCAAGTAACCAATCTGTTATTACTGCCACTGCTACCTATTCTACGGTCGTGTGAATTACCTCCTGACCCACTCGTGCTCTGACCTGACGTGCTGGGATGCATCTCTCTTCCTCCTATATGGATGCCCTCCTCCCCTCAGTGTGGCTCCAACACCTTGTGCTGGTCCACTGCAGCTGCCACTACTCATGGAGACACTCTCCTCACCCACTCAGACTCTGAATCCCCATGCTAGGCTGTCACCAACACTGCCTCCCTTCATGAGTCCCCTTCTTACCCTACCTGGTGAGACACCTTGGGCCAGGCTATCCTTGCCACATCCACCACTCTGTGTAGACACGCTCCTTACCTGTCTCAGGTTCTAGAACTCCCATCTTCACCTTCTGCAGACTCCTACCTTGCTCAGCCACACATGATGGCTTTTAGACTCAATCAGGAAGGGAAAAAAAGGAGAAAGAACACAAATGATCAATTTTAACAGCTGTAAAACACTGCGTGATGTGGATGTAACCACCTAGTTACACCACCTCCATGTTTGCTTAACCGCTTCCCAGCTGTATTAAGTAGAGTTATTTATGTTTTTTCCTTTTCTAGTTACCATTCCAGGAATCAAACTATAAACATAAATCTTTGTGCATCTCTCTGTACACCTCCCTGATGACTTTATTAGGACAGATTCCTAGAAGGGGAATACTTTCTGGGTCAGAGGGTCTGGATGTTTTGAAAGCTCCTGGTCTTTGTAGCACAGCTTCAGTGTTCATCTTACGATTCATGCAACCTTAAATAAATAAACAAGTGTGACTGTGTCCCCGAGGCTGCTTGGGATTTTCTACAGATGATACTTGTTTCACCGCTGAATGACATCACCTCCCTTTTTACACCAAGATTGATGTGGGAAATTCTGTATAAATACCCTGCATCAACAAGCCATTGTGTCACCAGGCCTCTTAAAGATGGGCAGCCCACTGCAGTGTGTTGGCCCAGCCTGTGCGGGACAGGCGCCCATGATTTATAAGGTCCAAGCATGAAGTCTTCAGGAAAGTTGGTGAAGTACTTTATAGGTCACCTGTATTTTTCCTACCATAGATGTTTTGACTCACGGGTTTCCTTTATGTCACTCTGTCCATAGTCTAGGTATTATTAAAATGGAATAAAGAAGTTACTGTAGCAGAGGCTGAGTAGCTCGGGGGAGGGAGTTTAAGATTCTAAATAGGAGAAGAAAGAAGTAACAGGAGAGGGTATTAATTAATTAGGACAAATATTGGCAGCCAAGCAACTTAGTATTTGCTGCATGAGGACCACTGGCCCAGCTTTGTGCTAGAAGCTGTGGGGGAGTTCACTTGTTCATTCATTGAACAGACTGACTGGTCACCTACTGTATGTCAGGCACTATCCTAGGTGCTGGGGACCCAAGAGAAAATAGACATTGTCCCTTAAGGAGCTCAGAGTCTAGAAGAGGAGAAACCAAGTCTATTGTGGAATATCTGCTGGAGTTCTTGATCCAGCTTACAGAAGTTTCTGGCAAGGTTCTAAGCAGGATGCTTGAAGTAGAAAAATGTGTCTATTAGGTGGCTGTGGTGGGGGAAGGTCTTTTAAGTGAGACAGAACAGCTTGAGCAAAGGCATACGTTTCCCTGAATTCACCAGGAAGGATTTAGTGTGTCTGTTCCACATGTCCAACACCGTGCCAGGGACTGCAGAGAGGGTGAATTTCATTCCCCATATTTTAGCTCGGAAGGTTGTGAGAGGACTGTCTGCAAAAAGTTATTAAATGATTTTCTTCCACTTCCAGGATAAATTCCAAATATCTTACCCAAGCACCCAAGGCTGACTCAGTCAGCATTTTCTGTGTGACAAATAACCACACAACATCAGTGGCATGTCCACCTTGATAAGCATTCATTGCTCTTGCTCATGCATGCGTGGTTGGTGAGGATGTGGCTGATCTTGGCTGGGCTCGCCTGGGCTGGTCTCTGGGTGTGTGTTGAGTCCCAGGCCTACCCCATGTGTCTCTCAACCTTTCTAGGTCAGTGATGGCCTAAAGGATGTTCTTGTCATGGCAAAAGGCAAGAGTAGAAGAGGTCAGTTCTAACCTTAGAAGCACATTTCAAGCTTTTTGTTCCCCTCCTGTCTGCTAGTGTCCGTAGGTCAAAGCAAGTCACACAGTTGTGCCCAAAGTCAAGGTGAAGAGAGTGCACTCTGAGGGTCATGGCAAGGGTCAAGGAGTTGTATAATAGGTCCCCTGCAATCTGGACGGTGCAGAGCTTACCTGCCTCTGAAGGTAAGCCTCACCTCTTTCTTCTTCTCTTTTGGTACTTCTGCTATAGCCATGCGTGTTCCCTGGACATGCTACATATTGTGCACATGCTATTCCACAGACCTAGGATGCTCCTCCCTGTCTCATACATTTGGTCAACCCTATCGCATCATTCCTGACTAAGCAAGGCCTGGCTCAAAAGATCAGGGAGGACATCCTTATTTGTCTTTCTTTTCCTCTCCATAGGTATGGGTGGATCATGGGGATTCAGGGCCCCTCTTGGTACTTGGTTCTCTCTTTGGGTATTCTCTCTTTCTCTCCTCTCACCTCTCTCTTTCTCTCTCTGTCTCTCTCTTGCTTTTGTTCTCAGCCTGCATTGGCATGATCATTTAAAGATGAACATCTGGCATAGAGAGTTGGCCTTACTTTGGCCCTGAACCCTCACTAGGATGCTCTGCAGGGTAGAAGGCTCACCTGGGCAGCTGTTCATGGAGCAGCTCCTCTGGTTTCTCTTCCACCCTTGCTCTTCAGGTTCTCTGTGTGGGGAGGGTGGTGGTGACAGTAAAAGGCAGGATCCAGGCATTCCTGGGTCCTTGTGGTGACACCATCAAATAGTTCCCACTCTACCCATCCTCAAACTCAGGTACAGAGCAGGTTGTACAGAGTGGCTGTGAATGAATGAAAGGGTGAGTGAATTATGTATATATTTCCTCCATGCTGCTTTCCGCTCATCTTCAGGACTTTGGGTGAGCCTTGAAGTTGAGCTTCCAAAGGTAGAAGGAATGAAGGAGCAATGACAAGACCCAGACCTGCTCATCTTAATCAACTTTTAAGGTTGCCATCGCCAGCAGCAGCAGAAAGCAACTCCGAGAAGCAGGCATGTTGCTTGCAAAGCAGACTTTGGGGTGGAGACTTAGCTTAAAGCATCCTATTTATAGAGGTTCTAGAAAGTTATGGAGCTCTGGGGAGCCAGCCTGGGGCCACTCATAGCCCACTTAGTGCCAGTGTTGTCTTTAGGGGCCTCCAATTCCCTTTATAAAGAGCTTTTTTATATTTTTTAAACGGAGCCTGGATACTGTTAACGTGAATGTTGAACAGGTCAAGCAGTTCCAGCTATTATTGATAATAAAAAGAGAGATTCTGCAAATGTAACAGTCAACCCAGTGCCCCAGTAGGCAGCATTATTCTTGGTCTAAGTTGTGGGTTGTTCTTGCAATTTAATAAAGAAGAAAACTGAGGTTGGGAGAGGTGAAGTGATCTCTCATGGGTAGAAAGTTGCCACGGCAGGCTAGTTTCAGGTTGGCCTGGGGAGTGCTGATTGTCTTTTGCAGAGGTGTCGTGGTGTTGTAGAAGACCTAGGGGTCAGCTCAGGGCCATGAAGGAAGCAAATTTCAGGTCTGAGGACTGAGGAACCAGCTCTAGAAGGCAGAGGCTGTAAGGATTTGACATTTGCATAGGAGGTGGGGCGGGGTCAAAGTCCAGCATCAAGGCTGCAAAAAACGAGTAGGTATCAGAGACCAGTTTTAAGGTGGGGCCAGGGGCAGGTGTGTGAGCCTAAAGTGGAAAAGGGTGGCCAGACCCTGACCTGTTTGGCCTCCTCTATCCCCAGGCACCCGCTTTTTGTTGCAATTACAATGCTCCCCTGAGGCTGCTCCACAGAAAAAAAGTGCTCCTTAGAGCAAAGTTTGGCAATCAATGAGTTCAAGGAGTGGGCAGCCCCTGGCCCCTCCCACTAAAACATTAGTTGTCAAGAAGCTGCATCTACCCTGGACTAACCAAAACTGGTCAGATTTACCTGTCTACCTGCACGAGAACAGACAGCGGTGGGCACTTGTGGAAGGATCAGAGCTGATACATGATTAGGGAGGATGCAGCATTGGATGGTGTCATGCACATTTGCTGCTGTAGGTCCAGCAGCTACTCCTTTATCTTGGTATCAGCACCCCAGTTTTCATGTGGGTGCTGTCCCCCATGTAGCCCTTGTGTTTCCAAGGGAAGCAGGCCCAAATCCCAGCTCCAGAAGGTGGCCCTGGTTGGCCTAAGCTTGTGCTTACAGCTCAATGCCCTGGCATCAGCGATTGGCAGGTGTCTCAGGGAAGCATTTGCTGGGAAGTTCTGAAAAGGAAGCTTTTTCGGTTGTTCTTTCACAGAAACTATCTTCACAGAGCTGCCCTCTTTTCCACTGGACTAGGAAGCCCTCATGGCTGCTGGCAGCCATCTTGTGGCCAAGAGGGAGGGCAGGCAGATGCAGGAGGCAGAGTGGAGAAATGGAAGGGAATGAAGTTCTTGGAGACTCTGCAGAGCTGCTAACAAAGTTTTGCTGAAGCCTATCCCTCCTCTGGACTTCTCAGTCACAGGAGTTAATACGTTAACACAGTCATTTGGTGTGATTGAGGAATGCACTGTTCCTGAGTGATTTAGAGAGCTTCTACCTCCTCTATGTTCTCTTTGGAAGCATTTTCAGGCCATCTTGCAGATGCAGTCTCTGAGTTATGCCCCTGCCCTGGGCTCAGGGGACATGTTGAGGAGGTCATGGATCCCTGCATGCCTGCTGAGGACCAGCCCCTCCCCTACACCATTCTTCTCCCCTGCTCTGGTCCATATATCAGACCAGCCTAGCAACCATGATGACAGCAAAATCTCAGAAACTGGGGTGGGGGACATGCTTTTCAATATTTTTCTTTTCAATAAAATATTGTCTTGATTTCCTTTCTTGAGACCTCTCTACCCATGTTGGATGAGGTCAGCCATAAGACGGAAGCCTCAGGGGCTGTAAGAATGGACTCCTCAACTGAAATTTGGACAGAATGCTCTCTCTGGTGCTTCCCAACTCTGACAAGCTCTGGTTCTGTGAAAGTTGATCCAATGATGGTAAAGGGACTCCAGGAGCGTCTGCTGGGTGCCAGGCACCTCCTAGCCACTCTGTCCTTTGCAGAAGTGGAAACTGAGGCTGTGGATAGCTCAAGGCTACAAGGAGGCAG